>NC_000006.12:119313214-119616244 GCF_000001405.40 Homo sapiens
CCTGGAGTCTACCACAATTACATCTGAAAGTATTTAGCACCCTCTCATGCAACAGGTATCAAGATGCCACCCAAGACAGTCTTAGGAATGATCCTTGTCCTCACATCATTCCTCAGTGAGCGAGGGCCACCTCCAGTCACCTTCTAGCTGTCATCACCCAGTATGTGAAAAAAAGCCCTCTAGCCATGATAGTTTCCAATTTTACCCCATATGAAATTCAAATACTCATTCACATGCTTTGCTCTTTCAAATGCTGAAATAAATGTATCCCCTTCTCTCTTTCCCAAAGGCTGTCAAGGTGTTCTATTTTCAAGATTCTTTACCCCAATGTTACAATGACAATCACTACTTAGTAGCTACGGTTGCGAGGATGAGAATTATAAATGGGAATAAAGCAGTACTGCCAGATTTAGGAAATGGAAATATTACACAGAACCTACTTATACTAAAAAAAAAAAAAGTTGTTTATCTGAAATTCAAATTTAACTGAAAGTGCTATATTTCATCTGGCAACCCTAGGACAATGGGATAGGACACATTCAGTTCCTGGTTCTGAGTCCACTGTCTGCTCTCTGGTTTGTGCCCTGTTCTGTGGTAGGCTCGAAAAAGGGGTCAGAACATTTGAAGGGCCAGACAGGAACAGAACCACCAGGTCTAGGGCAACTAGAAGTGAATGGGAAACGTGACAAAACGAGAGTCAAGCCCCTCACTAAAGCTATTTAAAAAAAAAAAAAAAATCAAAACTACGCTGGCTAAGGGTTAAAAAAAAAAATCCGTGAGCCACAGTTAGCCCACAGCCCAGCAGTTTGCACTGCAACCTCTACTTTACAGGCACGCGTCTAGAACTAACCACTCTGTTTTTAGGTCTGTGGGCATGTGGCTTCCCACCAGCCCTGGTTCCCATAGCTCTGTGAGGAGCTTCTATTCCACTTCTAGCATAGGCTGCCCTTCAGGGCCAGCTTCCCGGACTGCTCTGGTAGCAACATATGTGCTATCTCTTTGCCACAAATTAGCAAAAGTCTTTGAGATCTGAGGTGCATAAAGCATTATGTGTAAGCTTCTCAACAATTCTTTCACTGGATGAGCAGTAGTTTCACATTTTAGAAGTATTATTTTGTTCTACAAATCAAACTGTAGGAGCTGTCGTCATCATGGGTTATGGAGGCCGAGGCTGTAAAGGAGGAAGTGAATTAACTTTGTCAAACAGCTACCACACTGCACTGTGAGGGGAATTTGATATAATTTAACACATCCAATCCTTACAACACCCTCTCTGGGGTATTATTATCCCTGTTTTACATATGAAGCTGAGGCCCAAGGTAGTGTAGAGAAGAGCAAGGCTGGAAACTCTCTCACGCTGATTTTCTCCACTATACACTGAACAGAGCCCTCACTTTTTTGCTGCTTGCAAACCTCAGACAGTCATCTGAGGCCTCTGAGCCCTCCTGCTCCTCCATGCACAGAAGGCAGCTCTATCTGGGGTCTGAGAAGCTGTGGCCAGGCCTGGCACCAAAATGACACATGCCGAATCAGGACTGGGAGCTGGCTCAACTGAAGACCCTCACAGCACCACCTTTCCTTGCCTGCCCTACATCCTTCAATTCTCACAGCCTTCCTCCTCCTCCACTTCGGCTCTCAGCTCCAGCTCTGTACCTAACTTTTCTCCTCCTGCCCTGTATGCTACTGGGGCAGACAAGATGGTGTTGTCCTATTCGACCTGGCCTGTCACTAGATTTATGGAAAACCATGAATTCCTCTCCTCATGCCAAGCTGCTGTCTACAGCTCTGATATTTTCTGAAGTTTACTACCACCACGGGAGCTAATGTGGACCAGCTTCTCTTTCCTCTTTCTGTATTACTCGACTTCTTGTTGCTATGTGTGCAATTCGTTTGTTGCCAGGTACTCGAGGTTGCCTCTTATCTACTGAGTGGAGAATATATATATATGGATGGGGATTTTCTTCAGATTGAGGTGTCCTGAATTCTCCTACAGCCAATTTTAATGTACTTCTAAGTTGGCAGGAGATATATAAAGAAACAGTAATTATTTAATGCTATTGCATGAATTCTAATGTGCCACTGAGCATTAATTCCCCAGTGAAATGAAAGCGTGGTTAGCAATAGCAATTTCTTTAGAAAAAGAGTCAGAATGACTGATAAAGCCAGTTTTAAAAAATGAGAATTCTAGTAATCACTACTTGTAATGGACAGATTGTTCTGTTTCTAAGAAGTATCTCGTTCTCCTAAGGAAAACCCAGTGTTTCCAGTTCTAGCTAAAAAAATTGGATCATATGCATTTAATGGTTCTCTTTTTTTATGGCCAAATTTTGACATTATTTTATAAAAACTCTTGTGCTGTTACCAAATGGCAGAGGGTACAGGGGAAAAGAAAAAGAATAAAGAAATACTTGACCAAAATATAAGTCCATTTCTCTAAAACATTCTAAGGGATTATAATTTAGCAACTCAAAAGTTAGAGGTCAGAAAAGGGCTTATTCATAGGTGAATATCTAGTCCATTCCTTTTTGGAAGGAAGCACTATTGCTGAGAACACTTTCCTTACATAGAACAGTTTGGCATCAGCTTAGGGTCTACCATTTGTAGTTATTTCCTTATCAAAAATATCTGTCTTGTGGTTGATGACTATGGTCTCCAGGCAGAAGCTGTCACTGAGTTCAGAAGTTGTCACTTTGTGTTTAAAGGTTTAACCTCAGGGTTTTTGGTCTGTTTATTCGGCAGATTTTTAATTAACACGGAAACTTTGAATTCATTAGATTAGCTGTGCTAAGACCTCTGTGGTCAATGTGAGGCCAGCAAGTGACCCCTTGCAGGCCTGTGGTGACAGGTGATCTCCCTCACTTGGTCCCCAGGCCAAGATCTTACAGGGCTTTCCCAACATGGGAAGCATCAGCAACTACAGATCTTTAGTGATCAAGAGAAAAAGATATTCATTTTTGTGGGTTTTTTTTTTTTTTTTTTTGAGATGGAGTTTTGCTCTTGTTGCCCAGGCTGGAATGCAGTGGCGCGATCTTGGCTCACTGCAATCTCCACCTCCCGCGTTCAAGCGATTGTCCTGCCTCAGCCTCCTGAGCAGCTGGAATTACAGGTGCCTGGCTAATTTTTGTATTTTTAGTAGAGACGGGGTTTCGCCATGTTAGCCAGGCTGGTCTCGAACTCCTGAGCTCAGGTGATCTGCCCACCTTGGCCTCCCAAAATGCTGGGATTACAGGAGTGAGCCACCATGCCCAGCCAAAAAAAGGTATTCCTTGCTGGGATATCACAGATGCTCCCTTAATATCCTAAGGAGAGCTAAAAAAGTGTGCCATAGAAAACAAATACTATTTTCATGTAATGTCTAATCTCAAAAGTTTTTTTTTAATACTTGTAATAAAAAGGTAAGCCCAAACATTCTAACTCATACATATATCATTCCACAACTTCAAATTTTCACATTTTAATTTTTGCAGCAGTGACAAAATGATTTTTAAAATTGAAATGTGCTATCTTTAAAAGATTTGTTTATAGATTTGTCAACCTTATAAAGACTAAGCTTTTTCTTTTAGATTCCTTTTTTAAACTTTACAAATACTATGAGGTTATCACTAGTATTACTAGTAGTTAATAAAGTTACTAATTATTTAGTGATCGATGAAAATGAATTAGCTTGAATTTCATTAAAATGAGCAAAGTCAGATATAGTTACCTTTTTAAATTACATTTTTTTATTATTATTATTCTTTTTTTTTTTTTTTGAAACAAGCTATCCCTAGAGTCAAGCCCCATTCTTCAGTTAGCAAGAGGAGAATTGTAGGGCACAAGTATTTCCCTTTTATCCTTTCTTTTGTGTGTGTATGTTTTCTAAAACAGACTTTTTTTTAAACAGAAGTTTTAGATGCACAGCAAAACTGAGTGGAAAGTACAAAGTTCCTATATATCCTCTGTACCCCAAAGGCACAACCTCCTCACTATCAACATTACGCACGAGAATCGTACGCTTATTACAACTGATGGACCTACACTGACACATCATTACCACCCAAAGTCCATGATTTACATTAAGGCTCACTCTTAGTGTTGTATATTTCAATGGTTTTGACAATGTATAATGGCATGTATTTACTACCATAGTATCATAGAGTATTTTCACTGCCATGAAAATCCTCTATGTTGTGCTTATTCATCCCTCTCTCCAATCCCCAGTAATTTACTGTCTGCATAGTTTTGTTTCATCCAAAATATAATTGGAATCACAAAATACGTAGCCTTTTATATTGTAGCCATGTTACTTCTTTCACTTAGCAACATGCATTTAAGGTACCTCCATGCCCTTTTATTGCTTGATGGCTCATTTCTTTTTAGTGTTGAATAATATTTCTTTTTAGTGCTGAATAATATTCCATTGTCTGGATATACTGCAGTTTAATTATCCATTTACCTATTGAGGAACATCTTTGTTGCTTCCAAGTTTTGGCAATTATGAATAAAGCTGTTAAAGAAGAGACTTGCACAGTATAAGCATTTCCTTTTTGAATTAAGGCCAGAAATCACTATTTTCTTAATTAAAGGATTATGAATTGTAATTCTGTAAGTTATTATTATTTGAAGGTAGAATTCATAAAAATAGATTGGCCATAAAATGTCACATATTATAGGAAAATTTGTTTTTCCTAAAAAAAAAACAAAAAAAACCTTCTGAAGTAACTGTCCTTAAAATTGTCCATTATTAATAAGTGGAATATCCGTTGTCATCTAGAATCCATGATCTTGTAAGATTCTGAAAGTAATCCTTTCATACTGCTGATAACAGTTTTACAAATTATTATCTGGGCATAACAATAATAAAAATGTATAAAAGGACTTTACTTATGAAATGTAATACTACCAGAAATGCTGGTTCCTAAGGATAATCTTGGAGTAGCAACTAGTGATTCCACAAGACTTAAAATCCATAATTGGTGTGTCCCAAAAATGTATTTTCTTATCATCATCCTTGTCACAGAAATAGCATTTACTGAACACTTACACATCAGGAAGTATGTAAAGCATTTCTCCGCTCATCCCTTACAACAACTCTGCAAGGAAGGTAGTCTCCCCAGAGAGAGTCCCATTGCACAGATGAAGAAATCAAGAGGTAAAGTAATTTTCCCAACATCAGATCTTGGTGGTGGAGGTTGGCTATGAACTCAGATTGAGTCTGAAGCCTAACATATATTACCTTGTACACTGTCCTGAGCCAAATGTGTGACCCATGCAATCTGGGGGAAACTTGGCTTCCAAATAAAGTGTTACTCATGTGCTGTTGATATATATCTTTGTATGTTTCTGTTACTTATCTCATTATTCTGGAAAAATTTACATTATGTTTAAGAGTGAGGCTTTCAGAAACATGACATGCAAAACCAACTTCCAATCTTTCTTTTTTTGAAAACCTTGCAGATACAGGGAAAGCATTAAATGTACTGCTATATTAAAAAAGTGAAAATATGAGTATCTCTTACTTCTGTACCCTGTAGGGAAAAAGTTACCTGACATATACTGAAACAGAACTTTGCTTTACATACATTTTAATAGCTAAAAGTTCTTTCCTTTGAAAGGTATCTGTTCACCTCTACTTGGGCATCCTACACGGGTTCTTTCATCACCATGAGTCTTGGTTTCATTGAGGATTGTATTTCATCACCAAAAGAACACCCTAATAATTTCATTTTGTGTTACTGAAAAGAGACATATTGCTCAATATTACTAGCTTGAATGTCAATAATACTCTAAACATTGCCACTAAATGGCAATATCAGATTTCTCATTAAACACATGCAGAAAAAAAGTACTGAGATATGGATTATTTTTCAAAGCTCTCTTCTATGGTTTCATCTAGACTTCTACATTACTAAGATTATCACTAAAAATGGCAAATGATTATTTTAGACTATATGTGATACAGTACCATCTTTAAGGCAAGCACTAACATCTAATATGCCTGTATCATTACCACCCTAAAATCATATTTTCTATGGACTGAAGATCATCTGAGGTATTTTGTAAGTGATGGCAAATATTTCCTGGGCCTGCAAATGCATTACTCTAACCCTTCTGGTAGGGTTTTAAAATCTGATAGAGCCTGATTTTTTTTCTTCAAAATGGTAAAAATAATAATAATAATAATAATAATAATAATAATCATCATCATCATCATTCATTCTATTGTTGATGGATGGCAAGTGGCCAGCAATAAATATATGCCAGATTCAGCAACCTGTTAAAATAGACTGCATTACTTAATATGAGCTTTGAATGCAATGACTTCCAATTTTCTTCAGCTATTTTATGGCTTAAAAATTGGGCAAAGACCGCCATAAATTTAGGAAGTAAAAGAAATGTCAAGTTTGTCAGCAGAGGTGAAATTGTTTTATTATTCCAAAAGACTACACAAAGCTGCAAAACAATAATAAAAATATGAATATATATTAGACCTACTGCAGATAATATAGATATATTTACCCCACAACCAAACCTCTTTTTCCTTTGCTTCTTGCTGAAACTGACAACTGTAAAAGCCTAATGTTCTTTCCTGGCCTCTTCACAGCTAGAAGTGGCTATTGGTCAAAGTTCCAGCCAATGGGACTTTTGTCAAGGTCAATGGGTATCTTTGCTTTCCCTCTTCCTTCTGCCTTGAAAAAAGGTGTGGCACATGCAGATATGCTGTCGCAGTGGTTGTTCTGCTGTCATAAATGAATTAAAAGCCAGGAGAACTGCAGTGGTATCTTCTTTTTTTTTTTAAGAGACGGAGTCTTGCTGTGTCCCCAGGGTGGAGTGCAGTGGCACAATCTTGGCTCAGTGCAACCTCTGCCTCCTGGGTTCAAGTGATTCTTCTGCTTCAGCCTCCCAAGTGGCTGGGACTACAGGCGCTCACCACCACGCCTGGCTAATTTTTGTATTTTTAGTACAGACGAGGTTTCACTATGTTGGCCAGGCTGGTCTCAGACTCTTTACCTCGTGATCTGCCTGCCTCCGCCTCCCAAAGTGCTGGGATTACAGGCATGAGCCACTGTGCCCGGCCAGTATCTTCTCTTAAGGATGGGTCAGCCAGTTGTGTTTAAAGTTCAAACTAAAGTTTGAACCACCACCAATCACTAAGGCATTTAGCATTTAAGTAGTTATACTCTGGTTGTTTTTTTAAAACTAGAGTGATCAGCTCAAAACTGGGCTATGTACTATTGCCCCAATTTGAGAAAACAGAAGTTTTTCTCTGCAGTATTTTTCATATTATTTGGCAGCTGAAACTACTCTAAAGGTTTGACAGTGACAACTGTGTAATAATAAATAGTATGATTTACCAAAAAAATTACAGTAGCCAAGTCCTCTGATTAAGTTTTAAAGACTGATGTGGGCTTGGGGGAAGGCACAAACGGTTAAAAACAAAAAAAAAAAGAGGTATGTGGTCGGGGTTCCAGGATTCACTCAGAAAACAGCAACATCATGGAATAATTTGAGGAGTTTTTCTCCACTTTCTTTGAAAAAAGTAAAATATTTGACCAAAATCAAATAAATTATTCAAGTAAATATTGTTATCAAAGAAGGCTATATTTCTTGGTATAAACCTCAAATATTAAGGCATCTTCTATAATACAATTTATCTGTAGTGCTAGTAAAAACTGAATTACCCCAATAATTACATACCACTCTGTTAATAACATTAAACAGCTTCAGCTTTGTGAAAAGGGGGTCTTGTTAAAAAATATTTTATAATAGTACTTGCATTAAATACTACGTTTCTAGTCAGCAAAACTGATAATACTATTTGAAATGTTTAATTTTTACCTAATTTTACAGGGTATCATAGCTGAATTACAATTTCTCTTTCTCAAATGTAAAATTTTGGACTCTCAAATATGTATACGTGAAAGAATACAACTTTCTCCCCAAAGTTTTACTGTAACTACATGAAATCTTATTTAAAATAGGTCAGTATACTTGTGATCTTCTACTATCGATTTCCATATAAACTGACTCTCTCACACTGTTTTCTTTTCAATGTTTGAACAATATTAGAATTCCATATCCTTCATTTCTGGAAACAAGACTGTTGTTCCAAACAGAGAAGTATGACCTTCTACCATTGACAGAAAATACCTTCCCAGTACTGAATATAAAATGCTGTCCTTGGCTTAGGACTCTCTAACTTGATTTAAAATATCCTTGTGTAAAATGCTCCTCCAAACCAGAAGGATATTTTACCTTCTACAGGATCCTCTGTCAGGATTTATGAAGGATCTGTCCCTCTCGCCTGCTTCCTTGGTCCTGTCTCAGAAGGTCACCTTCCCAACAACTAACTACTCACCTTTGAATTTTACTGACAAAGAACCAAGGTCCTGAAATCTAGTGGATTGACTACATGGCCTGCAATTTTTTTTTTTTTTTTTTGAGACAGGGTCTTGCTCTGTCTCCCAGGCTGGAGTACAGTGGCACAATCTCAGCTCACCGCAGCCTCAACCTCCTGGGCTCAAGCAATTCTCCTGCCTCAGCCTCCCAAGTAGGTGGGACTACAGGCATGTACCACCATGCCTCGCTAATTTTTAGTATTTTTAGTAGGGACAGGATTTTGACATGTTGGCCAGACTGGTCTTGAACTCCTAACCTCAAGGGATCCACCCACCTCAGCCTCCCAAAGTGCTGGGATTACAGGCATGAGCCACCGCCCCGGCCCTGCAAATGTTTACTTTGAGCAATGGTAAAAATGTTCCAGGGGCCGCAGCCCTCCATAACAGTGGCCCACTCCTATAGAACTCACAGAGAAGGAAGGAGATCACAGCTTCCTGAGCCAGGCAGAAAGCAAATTCCCTAAGAGATTCAGTTGGGCAGCAGGGTGGAACCTGTCCTAGTACTGGACTCTCCAGACCAAATGCCATTCCCATGTTCCTTTGTGCCAGGCAGAACCATTCATTCCTTCCACAATCATCTTGAGCACCCACAGCTACATGGCCTATACTGCATTCAATTCCTGTCCACAAGGAGCTCACTGGTGTACAGCTGTATGTCTGTGATGATCTTATCCACATTACTAAGTGTTGTCATTCTGGTTCCATTTCTGCTTTTTTTCTTCTCCTAGGCTTGACCCTCTCAGTACTGGGCCCTGCTCAGCTTAGACCAATTACTACTATGATATGCCTTGCCAGTATTCTTTGGAATCCAGACTCAGATCTCCGTTCTATTCGCAGAACTAATGGTAACCACCTATTGTAAAGGAATTGTCTTCCTAGTATGAGCTCTAGTCTTTGGGACCCTCTAGTCACTGGTCCAGAGTACCACAATAAAATGCCACTATGTACACCGAAACGAGGCAAGAAACATGGTCCTGTGTGTGCTATTTGCTACTACTCGGCCAGTCCTATTTATAGAAATTATATAATATACATAGACACTGATTCACTATAATCCAAGTCTCTCTTCCCCAGTGTTTAATCCGTCTCTTTTCCCCAGATCAACTAATTATTGATGAAGACACTTAAGTATTTCCCCATATTTCACTGATAAAACTGTTGAGTTTTTTCCAAAAATGTCTTCAGCATAAGGCTCTGAATTAGGAAGTAGCAAACCAAGCTGTGGGTAACAATCATTTCAAAGTAGAAGGAAGGCCTTAACTAGTTTTCAACCGCTACGTAGCTGGGTCTTTGATGTGGTGCTCAGCACATAACTGAGCCCACAGCAAGGTGGTGGCTGACAGAAGACGTTCTCTGTTCTAATACCCTGACATCACAGGACACTGGCTGGACTTTGCCCAAACCCTTGAAAGGTGCCAATTATATTTAAGGCTGATCTCTCTTAATTACAAAGTCTGTGAAGAAGTACTTATCACTGTTACACCACTTTAGAGAGTGTCAGAAAAACAAACTAGTCAAATTGAACAAAAGATCGCATTATAAAATGTAGTTCTGCTGTAAGCTGCTTTTCCCAGGTTCTAGCCCTAATTTAAAAATATGGCAGACATGATCTGAATCAAAAAGGTTTTGTTTCTTCCTTTTAAATAAGGAGTCAGTGTGTTTCCCTTTATGCCTATAGATTCAAAGTTGTAATACAATGACCCAAAAATGATGCAGTGGTTATCATCCTCGCTGCAATTAACACCTTCCTTTTGCCATATTGATGTAAGCCACAAATTTGTTAAATACCATGAGACAAATGTATTTCTAATATGATCACAATCTCATATTTTTTTTAACCAATACTTAGCAATTGTATCATGTAATCAATTATCAAGTATTTTTAGCACTTAGTTGATGCCCAACATATCAGTGTTCTGCTTAATCTTAATGATGAACAACTGCAGGTTATTTTTGTTTGTGTCTTGTGATTTTCAGTTTCTCCAAGTAGGTTAACAGAGTGGAAGGTATGGGAATGTGCCCAGGTTCTTTCCTACATGATCCAGGATGTCAGTCTCAACAGCTTCTGCACCCTGTGGTCATGCAAGTGTTGATGATTAAGTGACCTATCATCAAAAGGACAAATTCTGTAACCACAAGAATGAACAGAGTCTCAGATAGTCCTACAGAATCTTGTATGGACAAATCAAATAGCTAAAATTGATAGGAGAGGTGGTGGAGAAAAAAGTAGTTGAAGAATACCCTAAATTCTAAATTATTCAATATACCTACGGGATGAGACGGAGTGAAGAGAGCAAACACATAAGCCTTATATAATATTCAGAAATAAAAATAACAGTGGCAAAAACATTTGGGGACTTGCAAAATTTACCACTACTACAATATAGGTAAATTCCACATAAGCAACTGTAATGCATAGTTATCTTAACTCTCACTGTGTTTCAACATACACAGTAACAGCAAGTTTCCAAATCCAAGTACAGCTGACCCTTGAACAACATGGGTTTGAACTGTGGGAGTCTGTTTATACTTGGATTTTCTTCCACCTCTGCCTGAGACAGCATGAACACCTCTCCTCTTCCTCCTCCTCAGCCTACTCAACACGAAGACAAGGAATGAAGACATTTATGATGACTCACTTCCACCTGAATAAATATATTTTCTAACAATTTTTTAAATAACATTTTCTTTTCTATAGCTTACTTTGCCATAATAATACAGTATATCATACATATAACATACAAAATACGTGTTAACTGACTGCTTATGTTTAGTCAGTAAGGCTTCCGGTCAGCAGTAGGCTATTGGTAGTTAAGTTTGGGGGGGAATCGAAAGTTATACGCAGGTTTTCAACTGCATGAGGGGTTGGTGCCCCAATCCCTGCATTGTTCAAGGGTCACCTGTAATTTCATCCTTATAATCTCCAGAAGAACCTCACTGGAAAATTAGAAAATGAGAACTCCCATTCAATGATTCACAGGATCAGAGTATTTCTTACCCTTAATTATATATTCTAGAAGTTAAGCACACTCTTTTCCTGTGATATCTCTTTTTATAATCACCAGAACAATTATTTTCTACTTTTCACTTTATTGTAGAACTCAGAGCCCTATGGCTCTCAGTCATGAATTTCCTCATTGTTAAAAGTCACTCATGATACATGAATATTTTATTTGACAATGAAGTTGTTACTAAAAAAATAAAAGGCCACTGGTTTAAACTGGGGCTTTTAATCTTGACACTACTGAAATTCGGGCTGGATAAGCCTGTGTTTGGGGGGTTGGGGAGGGCAGCCTTGTGCATTTTTGGACGCAGAGTGGTGTCCCTGGCCTGTATACACTAGATGTCTGTATCTCACCCCAACAGATGTGACAACCCTTATCTCCAGACACTGGCAAATGTACCCTGGGAAGCAAAACAGCCTTAGTTTAGAGCCAATGGTTAAAGCATATTATTCAATTAAAATAATAATCCTAAGACTCACACAGCACTATATAGTAGTTACAATTCCAGACACTTTACATATATCAACACATTTAATTTAATCCTCAATAATAACTCCACAAAGTTGGGCCTATATTTACCTTAACAGATGACAAAACTGAGGTATAGGGAGGTTAAGTAACTTGCCCAAGTTCACTGGACACATCAAAGAGCGGGAAATCAGAATTAGGGAGTCTGGCTCTAGAGTTTTTGCTCCTAACTTTTACACTATACCTGCTAAGATGCAGGGTGAATAAACAAAAATTAGAATTATTTTTCATTCAAGATTTTCAGTAGTCTGGCAAGACATGGTGGCTCACACCTATAATCCCAGCACTTTGGGAGGCCGAGGTGGGTGGATCACTTGAGGTCAGAAGTTTGAGACCAGCCTGGCTAACATGTGAAGCCCCGTCTCTAATAAAAATACAAAAATTAGCCAGGTGTGGTGGCATGCACCTGTAATCCCAGCTACTCAGGAGGCTGAGGCAGGAGAATCGCTTGAACCCAGGAGGCAGAGGTTACAGTGAGTTGAGATTGCACCACTGCACCCCAACGTGACAGAACAATACTCCGTCGCCGGGGGCAGGGGGATGTGGATTTTCAGTAGTCTTACAACACTGGGTACTTTAAATACCCCTATTGAGCCCAGAATACGAACAATAATGGAATTGAAATAAGATAGTTTGTCAAAGGCTTCAACAAAAGTCCTAAGAAAAAAATGGAATATTCTTCCTATTGATCAATATTCCCTACATGTGGATACAGCATGTTTGCTTGCCTTCTCTATTTGCATATACTAGAAGTTACTATACAAAGGAACTACTGTATGACTATCAACCTAGCTTCTTTTGATTTGCATTACTCCTACCAGCAACCTGAGGCACAAAATATCTCTTGGGTAACAGTTTATGTTTGTTGAACATAAATCACAGCAACAGACCTGTTGTTAGGTCCAGGGTCAGGTTCCAGCCCATGCTGAGGTCCGAGGGGAGTGGGTGGATGAATGGCAGATAGCTGAAAGAACACTCAGGGGCCGTAGATAGGTGAAATACAGCTTTATTCAGCATCTCTCTTACACTTTCTGCTCTGTCTCGGCTGCTTGAGCCGGCTGCTCCCACGTATACCTGTGTGGGTGGCTCTCCCTGCCTTCAGGGTCAGCAGCTTAACTCTTTCTCTCTCTGGACATAAGCAGGCCGAGCTGTGTCCTGGCTCCTCACTGTCCGTCTGCAAAGACGGAAAAGACGGACAGCTCTAGCTCTCTCTTTCTCTGGGCACGAGCACCTGTATAGCGTCAGCAGGACAGTTATACCTTTTACAGACAATAGTGGTCCAGAACCAAGTACAAACTTACACAAACCGGTTATAACAAATGGAGTATGCACCTGTGCCCTAAACTCACTGAGTCATGCAGGCTCGGATGCCTGCCTTGGCCTACTCTTGACCAAAGTGCATCCATGTACATTATACCTCTATTAGTCTGTTTTCACACTGTTATAAACAACTTCTGGAGACTAGGTAATTTACAAAGGAAAGAGGGCTCATGGACTCACAGTTCAGCATGGCTGGGGAGGCCACAGGAAACTTACAATCATGGTGGAAGGTGAAGCAAGGCAGGGAAGGAAGAGCCCCTTATAAAACCATCAGATCTTGTGAGAACTCACTATCAAGAGCACAGCATGGGGGAAACTGCCTCCGTGATTCAATTACCTCCACCTGGCCTCTCCCTTGACACGTGGGGATTGTGGGGATTATGGGGATTACAATTCAAATGAGATATGGGTGAGGACACAAAGCCTAACCATATCAAGACCACATGATTTACCACTGACTGTTGAGTAGCTCTACGTATGCAAGTGACTGTGCTTGACTTCACACACTGTACACATACATAGTACCAAAAGTGGTAAGCAGAGTGAATGACCACCCTACCCCAAATATTTCCATGCTGTAATCCCCAGACCTGTGCACATGTTATTTCACATGGCAAAGGGAGTTGGCAGGTATGATGAAAGTTACTTAAGAACAATTAAGTTGCCCTTAAAGAGCAACCTGGATTATCCAGGTGGGCCCAATCTAATAAGTGGGCCCTTAAATGCAAAGAACATTCTTCAGCTGGGGGCAGAAGAGATGCAGCAGAATGGAAAGTCAGAGATTCAGCTGAACAGGACTCCATGTGATGTTGCTGGTTTGAAAAAGGAGTGTTCAGTTCTTGCTTTGTCAACATGTATGAACACTGGAACAACACAGAGAAGATTAGCACGGCCCCTCCGCAAGGATCATGTGCAAATTTATGAAGCATTCCGTTTTTTTTTTTTGTTTTTTTTTTTTTTTTGAGACAGGGTCTCGCTCTGTCGCCCAGGCTGGAGTGCAGTGGCTCAATCTTGGCTCACTGCAATCTCCACCTCGTGGGTTCAGGCGATTCTCCTGCCTCATCCTCCCAAGGAGCTGGGATTACAGGCATGCACCACCATGTCTGGCTAATTTTTGTATTTTTAATAGAGATGGGGTTTCACCATGTTGGCCAGGCTACATTCCATATTTTTAAGATGGTAGTAAAACATGGTGACTATAGCTAAGAACACTGTACTGTATACTTGAAAACTGCTAAGAAAGTAAATTTTAAGTGCTCCCACCAAAAGAAATGGTAAGTATGTGAGGTAACAGATATGGTGATTAGCTGAATTTGGCCATTCCACAATGGTTACATATTTTGAAATGTGTACACCATAAATATATACAATTTTTGTCTAAATGAATGAATGAATGAAAAGAAAATGAAGGGAGCAAACTGACGAAGAATGCAGGTGGCCTTCAGAAACTGAGAGTCGACTGACAGCAAGGAAATGGGGACCTTAGTTCTACAGTTGGCAAGGAACTGAATTTTGCCAACAACCTGAATGAGCTTGTAAAACAGATTCTCCCCCAGAGCCAGAGAAGAGCCTGGGCCAGCTGACAGCTCATTTTTGGCCTTATGAGACTCAGTGCAGAGAAACCAAACAAGGCCACTCTGACTCTGACCTAGAACTGTAAGATATTAATTTGTATTGTTTTAAGTCACTCTGTGATAATTTGTTAGAGCAATGAAAGAAAACACACCACACAACATGCCCAAGAAGAACAGTAAGTCACCCACTGCCACACCATGAATTACCAAGTGGCAGACAGGGATTTAGAAACCCGGTCTTCAAACCCCAAAACTATTTCCTTAAGTAATCAATATCTGCAAAGGTTTCCTAGCATGCAAACAGTTGTGCATCCGCTCACTTGCTGGCTCCTCACATCCAGGAAAGGTAGGCATTATCATCACTCTCACAGGTAAGAGATAAAGCTCAAATGCACTGTATATCTTCACAGGGTTGGACTGTTAATAAGTGGCAAAGCCACAAGCTCTCTCATCTCAGTGCCTTTGTGTGTGCTGCCTTTAACACTAAGAAAGTAGTAAGTAGGTTAAAACAAAGTGAGTCATAAAAACAGAGAAAAATAATTTTCTGCTGTTCAGGGGATAAGAACAGGCAAGAATTTATGGAATGAATAAGATTTAAATTGGGTCTTGATAGACAGGTAGGATTTCAAAAGATAAGACCTGATTATTTTGTAAATTTGGAATCAAATTCTTGATTTGATGTGTGCAGGTGTGTGTTTTAACTGGTCACCATTTACGTGTTTAGACTTCATCACATAATGAAGCAGCAATATGAGAGGCTGTGAAACGGTTACCATCTCAGGGAAAGTAAGTTTGGTTCCTGAACTGATATTTTGCAGGAATGTTTGTATGACAGTTAATGGAACAATATAAAATGCTAAAGGTGGGGAACTGTCATTTCAATAAGGTAAAACCTTCCATAATGAATATATAGCAGAACTCTGGACAACTTGCCTCTGACAAGTAGGCCCACAACAGAGAAATTTTCAATAAGATAAATACAGCAAAGCAGATGTCTGGATGCAGCAGAGATGCCAGAAAACCTCTGTGCAGCCAGGCAATCCTCTTCTTTCTGTCACTTAGGAGGCTCTGTGCCATGCCTACATTTGCACTAAAAATCAATACTCCACCCCCCTGGCCATAGATGATTAGACACTTAACTAAAGCTGGGTCAGATTCTCCATTCTGGGAATTTGGAATTGAGCCTCTGAGATGCTTATTACAAAGTCTATTAGTGTTTAAACTTATTGGCTATGTAAACTTGAGTACTGATTCATAAGACAGCCTGTCTGCAGAGGAAAGAATAAAGCATGTATGACTGAAGACAAAAGACTAAGTAGCCCAGAGTAAGAAATGAGGAATAGCAGTCTTGGTTCCCTGTACCTTCACATTTGTAATTCCAGGTTCTGTGAGGTCTTCACCTAAATCCATGAGAGATTCCTTTTTATAATAAATATCCCCCCCCCACCCACTGACTCCAAATTAAGTGGATTTACATTCTTACTAACAAATGATCTCTTGTATCAGATTCTCAAAAAAGCACTTGGGAACATGTGTCTTCCTTGATAGGTCAATCTACTTGTTTGCCTTGTCCAAATATGGCAGAGTGGTTGAATCCCGCTAAGGAAAAATCAAACGAGTGAGCAGAGGGGGCCAGCTGCCGGCTCCAACTGTGTGCTCAGCAGTGCCCAGCAAGTATTCTGTTTCTTTACTCAGCCTTCTCATTGCCCCTTGTCATCCTGCAGCTACCACCCCACCTCTCTGGCCTCGTTCACAGTTACCTTCTTGAAAGAATAGTCTGTGCCCTTCCTTAGCTCCACTGCAATACAGCTGCTACCCTGAATACTGCACTGAATCAGCCCCAGTAAGGGTCATCTTCTACCTGCTTCTTACCAAATCCACAGAACACTTCTTAGTCCTTATCTTGACTCTCAGCAGCATTTGACACTGCTGAGACTCACTCCTTCAAATACTGAATATCTAAAAATGCTCCAGAGTGCCACACTCTGCCAGTTTTCTTCCTGCATCTCTCTGATTGCTCCTTCTCTGTCACCACTTACTCTGCACATCCTGTAAATGTTGATGTTCCTTGGGCTTCTAAGCCCTTGACTCTTTGTACAGGACACATTATCCCTAATAGATCTTATTTATTTCCATAGTTTGATGGCCTCAAGATTGGCATCTCTAGCCTAGACTTCTCTTTGCAGTGCTTGTTGTATACATCCAACTGCTCACAAGAGACCTCCAATTGGACATCTTTCTCCTCTAATGCCACATATCCTAAACCACATCCATTACCCCTCTCCACTCCTCTCTCTCTCCTGACGATTCCAACCATCAGAAAACCCGTGACCCAATCAGGAACCCAAGAACCTCTTTATCTCCATTTCCTCTCTCACTCTCCATTTTTAAGTGCCCACAAAGTTCTATAAATTCCGGTTTTAAGTATCTCAAGGATCTGTTCACTTTCTCTATCTTCACTACCCCTTTATGCATTTAGGCCATCCTCATCTCTCACCTGGATTACTGCCGAGCCTTCTAACACATGTCCTGGACTCCAGTCTTATCCAAAAATGCAGATTTGATATTATTTCTGCAACTTGAAACCCTCCCATGGTTCCTGATGATCTCAGGATAAAGTCTAAACACCTGGTCAGACGCCTTCTCTGCTTCATTTCTGTGGCCCACTTCCTCTTCTCAGCACTACTACTCTGGCTCAGTCCTCTGGCTGCCCTGGGGACCTTCATACATTCCATTCCTATCCTGCGGCCCTCTTCATCTTGCCTGCAACCGGCTAATTCCCACTCATCCTCAGGTCTAATACTTTACTTCATTTAGAAAGTGTTCCTGAACCCCCTAATCTGCCAGAGTTATGTTCTACTCCAGGTTCCCATAGTAACTCTAGGCCCCTCCCAGGGTACTTGTCACAGGGCCTCCTTACTCTCTACCCCTTTGGGCTCCATGTGGGCAGTGGTGATAATGGTCTTGTTTACTGTCATCTCTCCAGTGCCTTGCACAGGGTGGTACTTCTAAATATTTGTAGGAGGGTTGTTGGAAGTGATTCTTAATCTGATTTATTAAAGGAAAATATTAAAATTAAAAAAAAATTATTTGGGTTTGAATGATAACTGTATCGCCCCATTTGCAGAAAGAGTTATACTGTCCGGATCTCTTAAGATCAATTAAACAGAGCCTTTGTTGTCACTTCTATATACAACTTGACTGTCAAGTCAGTAACAATATATTATTTTGACTCATAGAATTCTTTTTGGTGATATACCTCACTGTGAATTTAAAATTCATACTGCATTTTTGTTAATGTGGTCACACTTTATAGAATCTCTTGCTTAAAAATTAAATAATTGTAACATTATGTATCCTAAACTTTAGGAGTCATAGTTGCCCCAAGATGAGGGAGAATAAAGGAAGCAAATTTAGATTTGTTTCTTCCAGTGACAATTGTTTTTCTCTTGATTTAAACAACTTTCCAGAACCCCCAATAACTTTCATTAATGCTTAAGGTATTATTTTAGATAATTATATACACGCACATAACCATGTACATATTATGCATATATATATATATATATATATATATATAATCAAGGGGATATAAACATACATGAACACATACTAGTAAATATAGTTGTTAAGTTGAGCACAATATTACTCTTGAGAGGCTTTTCCAAACAAACTGAGCATTGGTGTTGCTTTCAGAATTAAAGCATGTTGTCTGCCACAAGCTGGGGTGGAAATTGTGCCAGTCCTCACCTCACTTCCCTTTACTTCCTTCTCAGGCAGAGGAGTGACTGCAACAGGAGTCCTGATTCTTTATTCAAGGTGGGTAAGATCTGAGCCTGCCAAGGCCCCAGGGGATATGGGGAACCCAGCAGAGATGAGTGCACAAGAAGAGGGTGGGGGCAGGGACCAGACAGACCTGGATTTCAACCTCGCAGGAGCTGCTCGACCCTGGGCAATTTGCTTGCCCCTTCCTGGCTTCAATTTCCTATGTATAAAATGAGGAGAATAATGTCAAATACCCATATTCTGAGAAAAACCAAATACTTGTTGTTCTGAGAATTTAATGAGAATATGTACATAAAGTGGTGAGCATAGTATCTAATAGGAAGTGAACACTCAACAAATGGTATCCTGTAGTTACTGGCATACTTTTCACCATTCCAGAATTAAAACTGCAGATAAAGGAGACAAAATCTATGCCAAGATGATATTTTAAAAATCTCATTATTGATTTCCTTAATTATATATAATAACACTAACTGATGGTATAAAATCAATTAAGGAGCCACTCTCAGAACAGGAAGAATAACAAACACATTCTATTAGGAGAAAAAGGGAATACATGATGGAGTATAACTGAGAAGCTGCACTTTTTATTAAAAGTATAGTTTTAACTGTTGCCTCTGTTTTAAACCTAGAGAAAAAGAGAAAATTATCAGACATTGCTATTATTGCTGTTGTTATTCATAAACCAAAAATACTTGGAAATTAATAGCTGAGGTTTAAGAGCCAACTGGCCGGGCACGGTGGCTCACGCCTGTAATCCCAGCGCTTTGGGAGGCCAAGGTGGGAGGATCACCTGAGGTCAGGAGTTGGAGACCAGCCTGGCCAACATGGTGAAACCTGGTCTCTACCAAAAATACAAAAATTAGCTGGGCGTGGTGGCGGGCACCTGTAATCCCAGCTACTCCAGAGGCTGAGGCTGCAGTGAGCTGAGATCATGCCACTGCACTCCAGCCTGGGCGACAAGAGCAAAACTCCATCTCAAGAAAAAAAAAAAAAAGCCAATTGAGGAATATAATTTTTATTTTAAATATGAAGGCAAAATTCTTTTTAAAAGAGAAATATCTAACTTGGGGACTTGGTATATACCAGTGGAAGACTCCGGGCTGCATAACACACAACAGACACTTATGGCTACTAATGTGTTGTGTGCCCCCGGGGTTTGTGAAGACAGGGCACTCCAGAGTAAAGTAAAGGAGCAGAGATCTCACCCTGAGGTGGAGGAAGAACCCTCCCTCCCTGCCAGTTTGGTTTATTACCTTCAAATCAGCCCCTGAAAATGCTGTCTGCAAAAATCCCTCAGTGTTTTGGAAAACACTAGCAACACGGGTGATGCATGAGATTTCAAATCAATCAAAGGCATTACTTCCTAAGACAGCTTTCGAGCAATTCTATTGATAATTAAAGGTCCACAAATATGCTAACTAATCATATAACTAGACAGCTTCCTCCCTCAGGAATTCTAAAAGGTAGGAGTGAGTGCCCACAGGTCAGAAAAAGGTGATCCTTCTGAACACCAGTGGTAATGTATGGAATTCACCTCTCAAGGTTCCAGGAAGCGAGAGGGCTGCTCATTCCCTGCTGCCAATCATAGTCAATTACTGAGTATTAAGGTGACTAGTCTTCTGACGTGTGTAACATATATAATACCACTTCTGCAACTCTCCTGATGTCTGCCTTTGCACCATTAGTACCGCCTCTCTCCAGCAGAACACACTGAAGGATGGAAGATGATTAAGAGCATGGGTAAAGTACCACAGAAAAAGACAGCTAATACTAAATTAAGCTAATTATTAAGCTAGAACTAACACCTGATTACCTGCAGCATATCTGGCTATAAAATCCTCAACCTCTATTACCAGATCAGTCAAAAGTGGAGAATTTCTGTCAAAACCTGTATTTATCAAGAATACATAAATTCAGACTAGTTTTCTAATAAATAATCTACTCCTGGTTAACTCAGACCAATACCTGGTATTATACTTTGCCCATCTTCTTCCTAGTTTTCAAAGAAGTCCCTTCTAAATGTCTAAATTCTAGTGCCTTTACCTTATAAAAACCTAGGGTGTAATTCTTCAGATCACAGGTGGGTGGAGAACTACAACCACAGAAGCAAATACACTGACTTCCCAGACTCTCAGGTATATTCTAATAGGACCGTAGTTAAAGCTTTAAGCAAGAAGCAGATGGAAAGCATCACCATCCCCAACTCTCCCAAAGACACCTGTTTTAAACTTCCTATTTCAGCTCATCCTACTATGCTATATCTTGGAATATAACTCTTTTTTCAATTTATAAAATTACAATGGTTTATTTTCGATCAATTTTAGAAACATTTGACAAGGTATGGGAAGTAAACAGAAATAACCTTTGATTTTAATTTTCCTATTTTCTTTACCATCAACAGCAAGCAGATTTTAAATTCTAAGATTGAAAAATATAGACCTAGGGGGATTTTAAAAAGCTTGGGAAAAGAGACCCAAATATCCTCGTGCCCAACAAAGAATATCTTTCCTTTTATTAGTTGGTTTTTATTAAACAATTCCTGCCTTGAAGTCTAACATGAAATACTTTAAAAGTTAAAAATTATATCATAGATTAAAAGCTTTCTATTGTTTTAGGTTGAATCATAAGAACTTAAGTGTACCTCGTATGTTAAGACTAAAACAGCCAAAATGTTCTTCTGAAAATCTTTAAGAGTATAATGTTCCAATAAAAGGAAGTAAACTTTTAGAACATTAGTTGGTGTTCTGTTTCCAAATCTAATCCTCCAGGCATAAACTACATTTAAGGAGCAGATTAAAACCACCCAAGAACAAATTATTAATTCAGTTTTCCATTTCACTCTTGAATTCTTGTCTTAAATGCACTAGGAATCTCTGCTGCCAATGTAGTTAAAGCTGCAGCAGCTCTAATAATCAACGGATATTATCACAAAGGGTGGATACATCCTAAAATGAAAGCACCATATGCCTAATTATTGAGCTAAATTTACACATGTAGTTATCTCTGAATGAAACATTTTCAGCTTTTCAGCTCACAAAAATTATTTCTTTCTATGCCCTGAAGGTATTTCTCCAGATTTCTTTATCCCTGGCTTTCTTTCCTCCCCACATATCTGAGTGTTGTGTGACAGCAGGCCCAGAAGTCAGAAGTAACTGGACACTGATGAATGAATGAGGAACCACTCCATTCAACACCCTCTCTATGGTTTTCCTGAGGATGAGCATCCCTTCTGTGTAATAACAATTCTAACAAGGCAAAATAATGCTTACTTTCCTGCCATAGGAAGTGAGAAATTTGGCAACAACAACTAAAAGGGGAGGCAACAATAGAAAATAGAAGCTATTGGTCAATACAGCAATACTGCAGCCAAAACATACTTTTCTTTCCTGGAAATGACTTTCTGAATCCAATTTACCTACCAACCCCTTTCCTTATCACTCCTACCAATTCCTAGCTGCTAGTAAGTACATACTATGTATTGAATAATGAATGATACATGCCAGGCATTGCGCTGAGAGATTCACATACATTTTCTATTTTAATTCTTACAACAACTCTGAAAAAGAGGAATTATTAACTCCATTTCAAAGGCGTGGAAAGGGAGGACAGAAGTGTTTCTACTCTGCCATACTGCCTCACATTTATAAAACATTTTGTTGATATACTTAATCTGGGTTACATTTAGGATGAATTGCCTTTTATTGTCAAATTCTGGGCCACGGACCTATGAGATAAAAAAGGTGTCCCCACTTCTAGGGTGTCTGAAATCTACTTGAAAGATAACATATATGCACACAAAATCAGTGACACACAGGCCAAAGATAGAAATAATCAATAACATGGGAATTTGGAGAAGGGAGAAATCAGTGAAGGTTGAGAGTGTAGAGAGGGCTTCATGAGGACATGGATTTTGAGCAAGTGAGAAGACTCTCCTTTTGAGAACCATAAAGTAAACAAGGTGAAATCCTAAACGACATGTGTTCTGGAGATAGTAACTATGTAAGTTTTGTGGAAGCACAGTCCTTCCTGGGAAGTAACAGAGATACAACTCAACAAATAAACTGATGCAGATTTACAGAAGACTACGGATGCCAAGCTAAACATTTGTGACTTCACTGTGACTTCATTCTAGAGCAAAATGTTTTTCTAGCTGAAGTCACTGGACCAGAAGCATCAGTATCACCTAGCAACATGCTAAAAATGCAAATTCTGGGGCCCACCCAGGCCTACTGAATCAGAAACTCCAGGCTTTCAAAATTTTTTTATTATTATTTTTTTTGAGACAGAGTCTCACTCTGTCACCCAGGCTGGAGTGCAGTGGCACAATCTCGGTTCACTGCAACCTCCGCCTCCTGGGTTCAAGTGATTCTTCTGCCTCAGCCTCCCGAGTAGCTGGGACTACAGGCTCACGCCACCACACCTGGCTAGTTTTTGTATTTTTCGTAGAGACAGGGTTTTACCACGTTGGCCAGGCTGGTCTTGAATTCCTGGCCTCAAGTGATCCTCCCTTCGGCCTCCCAAAGTGCTGGGATTACAGGTGTGAGCCACTGCGCCCGGCACCAGCAATCTGTTTTAACATGCCCTCCAGGTGATTCTGATGCATGTTGAAGTCTGAATCATTACTTTATAGGAAATGGAGGACCATTAAAACCTGAGTTGGGCAATACGAGAGAAGTGATGTTTTAGGAATATTAATAGTCATCTGTAGAATAAACTGCAAAAGGGACCACTGACAAATGCATAAAATTCATTGAGCCTCTACCATGCAATTATTTATATGACACAGCACTTTTCAGGAGAAACAATATGAAATTGGGAAATAGAAAACCAAGCTTCTTTCTCTTTCTCAAAATATCACACCTTCTTAGGGAGGAACATGTTTATGTAATTCTGATTTCTCTAGTGGAAAATAATAGCTAACCTATGACTTTTCATTTTAGTGTGGTACTGTAAGCATTACTCATTAAGACACCTTTATCTCTCAAAAAATTTTGCCAAAATGGAAACAAAACAAAACCAACTCTAGGTATATCCTGTATAAAATTGAAATACAAGAAAAATGGCAACCCTTATTAAATACTGTCCAGTATTCTAGGTAATAAAGAAAATAAATGAAGACTCTACCTACTTTAAAAATAACATATCTAAAAAAAAAATACTGGCTGTAGATATAAACACTTTTCAATAAAATAACAGAATCTTTATATTCGAGTGTTGACCTTTAAAGGAATCTCACAATCATCTACATTTATTTCAGCAGTGTTGTATTTGGTCAAAAGACTTTTTTTTGTTTTTGGCACCACTTTCACCAGTTTACAGTCATATAAGAAAATGAATGCAGTTTTCATTTTATAAATCATTCTGGAAAACAACTTGAAAACTGGAAAAGGCATTTCCTATATTCATTAGTCTCTTTATTCACTAGGTCTGATTCTAAATGACTTCTGACTGTTGTAAAAAAAAAAAATCAAAAAGACAAAGACTTGTAGCCCATGAGTATATACATTAGAAAGGACTTCAAAGATGAGCGGACACCACTTCTGGAATACCAGATTACTTAGCGCGAAATCACACTTAACCTGAGTAACTCCTGTAGGCATGTTTATTTCAAAGAGCATATTCATTCAACAAATACATACTGGGCCCTATTATGGGCAGGGCCCAGAGCTAACTGATCTGTTGGACACATGGATGAATAGGGGAAGCTCTTTCTCCTGCCCTCAATATGATAGTTCTGGAAGGGACGGACGACTGCAAAGAGCCAATGTCATAGAAATTCTGTATTCTTGGGAGTTAGGGAAAACAGAAGTACTTCCAACCCTACACTGTGGCTTTATCTTATTACTGATGGAATACTTAATAAATCATCATTTTTATTCACCCTAACTGCTAAAGCAGCTTTCAACAGTAGTTAATAAATCACCTTCATTTTCTATTCTCCTCAACCACCCCACCTTTAAAGCTACTGAGTTCTTCATTACACATTCTATGTTAAGTAACCACAGGAGGATTAAATAATGAAGACTAACCAAAATGCTTAATATGAGTGAATGTATACAATGCATTAGATATATGCCAATTATAAAATACGTTTTTTACTACATAAAGTTCATTTTATACTTCCTAATAAGAATGCCTTATAAAATTGCTGACTTGGGCTAATAACTCCTTAAATCACAATATGGACTTCTCAGGCATTTCTAATTATGAGCTGAAAACCTGTAGTTGGCTAGATAAAACATTCAACACTGCTAGTTGACTAAAAAAAAAAAAAAAGTCTCCAAAAATAGCACTGTAAATATTCTAAAATTACTATCATGTCTAACCACAATTTATAAAAATAATATAGTACATTTATGTCAATCGTTATTCATCACGTTAACACAGTGTTATAGCCAAATTTAAATAGTTCTGGCGCTTGGCAGACTTTTATGAACCAAGGTCAGAATATAAATACATTTTGAAATATGCAGCTCTTCACTATCTTAAAAAACATGACTAAAAACATTTGAAGGATTTAGGGTGGAAAAAAAAAAGCCCAAACTTCACACACAAAATATCATGCTTTTCTTTAAAAATAAAATATCTTTGACAAAATGCATATTTATCCTATTTACAACACTGAAGGCCTCTCACATACAAAAGATTAGCCTGCCTCTTCACACATAAGAACAAATATTTCTAGGAAATCTCATGATTTCCTTTTGGTTAATTTTTCTTCTTTAAGAATTCAGCTGTGTAAGACTTGCCATTTTCTGGCATCATTAAAATCACTTCTGAAATTCTATTTGGACTACTTTTGATCTTCAACTATTAGAAAAGCATCCTGATTCATTCCAAAAGGAGAAAGATCCTTCCGCAGATCTCCAGAGAGGTCAATACCTTCCTCAAGTATCTGAGGCAAAATCCCAACTGTCACTTAAAAATGAAGATGCGCTGGTAAAGCTGGCTAGGTCTCAGCTGAAGGATGTGGGCTGTCCCAAGTGCCTGGTAAGAGCTCCTATCAATAAAGGATATTTTATTCTAAGTGTGCAATCTAGGGGAAAAATTTTTTTTCTTGCAACTTTGCTTTATAAAATCCTAACTCTCGCCTTCAGGACTTTGCCTCCCACAGGAGTCCACGTTCATTGAGCCGGCTTGCCAGATCCATCTCCCCTGGTGGATTTCACTCCTTAGGCCTCCAAGCTCTGCCATCTTCTCTATCTTCCTCCTTTCAAAATTTCCTTGTTCTATCTATACAACTCACAAGGAAGAAATGCAAATGATCAACACAGGAGAAAGTGTTGATCAAAGAAAAGCAAACTGAAAATGCCATATACTGCTTCATCACTTATGAAATTCACAAAGAATCAACAGACTCCATTCATTATATGACACATGGGAGTATAAATGGTTTCTGGAAAGTTATCCCTCAAAATGTACTATCTGTTGGCCAATTTATTTCCCCTCTTAAGAATTTAAGAGAAAATCCCACTTAC
The DNA here is from genome assembly GCF_000001405.40 of Homo sapiens. Classification (NCBI taxonomy): domain Eukaryota; kingdom Metazoa; phylum Chordata; class Mammalia; order Primates; family Hominidae; genus Homo; species Homo sapiens. Next base: position 119,339,287 of record NC_000006.12, read on the forward strand.
CAGGGTGTGTGCAATAAAAAGTGAGACACAAATTTACTGGACAAAGCTGTCTGTCTCAGCATTTTTAATAAAAACAAAAAAGTGGAAATAATCTAAATGTTCAGGTCCAAGGGACTGGTTAAATAAAGTATCATGTTTTGACATGGATATACTGTGCCAACATAAAATGACACTTGCAAAGAAAATGAAAAACAAAAAGTATATATAGTGTGGTTATAACCCGGCGTCGGGGGGTGGGAACGAACTTACATATTGGGGTTAGGGAGGAGCATCATTGACACTACTTAGTGACTGATAAAACTATGAAGGATTTGTTTTTTTTTTTCTACTCTAGTGTGCTTTCAAATTTTTCTTTCCCAAGCAGACATGAGTTTATAAAGCGAAATAAGACAATGGAAGATACTTGCTTCAACAAACCTATTCTATCCTTTGATAAGACAAATCTCAAAGTATAATATTAATAATTCTGCTGAGCAACTTTATCCATCTATTTCTAAAGCAAGCCTTTAAGAATCAATAAATGGACACGCATGGTGGCTCATGCCTATAATCCCAGCACTTTGGGAGGCCAAGGTGGGTGGATCACTTGAGATCAGGAATTTGAGACTAGCCTGGCCAATGTGGGGAAACCTTGCCTCTACCAAAAATACAAAAATTAGCCAAGCATGGTGGCAGGTGTCTGTAATCCCAGCTACTCAGGAGGCTGAGGCAGGAGAATCGCCTGAACCTAGGAGGCGGAGGTTGCAGCAAGACAAGATTGCACCACTGCACTCCAGCCTTGGCAACAGAGCAAGACTCCATCTCAAAAACAAAAACAAAACAAAAACAGTAAAAAGGAAACACTGGTGGTGAATTTCTGGCAGCTGGGAATGAGATTTTGAGACTGGGTAGATACCCCTGAGCTTCCCTAATCATTCCACAGGTCTGTTCTCTTGTCTTATGCCCCGACAGAGAGAGATACAGTGAGGAAACACACTCCCCTTTTAGTACATAGCTCCAGCATGTATTCCCGTGAAAGAGGAACTAGGGACAGACAATCATGACCTAAACATCAGCTCAGGAAGCTGGACATGCCACCCCCAGTGTAGGCTAGGATCCCTGGCCTCCTGTCCTATTTCTGAGATCATCCTGTCACTTAGAAGAATTGAGTGTTCTGAAGGGACCTTGAGAAGACCATTTAATGAGGAAGGATTTGGCAGAAATGGAGACACTAGCAATAGCTTGTAGTCTATGGATGGCTTGAGTTCACGTCTTGGCCATAGTCATTCACAGGCCTTCGGACACCAATTACTGCCACCCCCTTTCTCATAAACTCCTAGCACAGACAAACAGGCACCAGCAACAAAGGTTGTTTCAGAGGGTAGCAATGCTGTGTTATTAAACCACCCTTTCAGAACTTGGTGTCCTTCATCAGGTTTTTATCCCCTCATCTCCATGCCCTCTCTCATACTAAGTTGCTAATACTAAACACTCCCACACAAGACAGGACGATCTAATTAGTGACCCACATAAAAACATGAACAATGCAAATGAAAAGTTAATATAATATGTTCTGAGTGTCACTTGAATGAACGATGTAGAGCAAGAGTGATGAGAAAGCAGCAGAGCAAATCAGGAACTGGGCTTTTGATAAACTTAAGAGCCAGGGAGATGAGCAGACTGAGAAACACGAGCGAGAAGGAGTCATTCTAGTCACAAAAGTCAAGTAAACAGGAAGGATACGTGTACTTTTCAATTTTATTATCTCTGTTCTGGATTATCTGCAGGACTGCTCAGCTCTAAAGTACCTAAAGCAACTACCAGAGTATTCATGACAGAAATGAGGGCTGTGACTTTTAAATGCTCTTAAGCCTTAATCTCATTTGGTTTTTTTTCAAGTACCTAATGATCACAGAAGTCTTTATCAAAACTCAGTGGGGGCGGGGCACTGCTGCCACATTCTCCGGAGCAAAGGAATTAGCCAGTATTGCTTTCTTAGGCAATCCCCTACCCAGCAAAGACGTCCCACCTCCCTCTAGGATGGTCTCAGTGGGGCTTCTGGCAGTTGGCCTGCCATTTAGGGCTGAGGAGGAGGGAGGGCCTGGTCAGCCAGTCACCAAAGCACACGTTCTCATTAGAGTCAAGATTATCCCAGGTGGAGTGGGGCCTGGTTCTCAGTACTTCTCAACACCTAAGAAGCAATTCTCAGCTATTGTTTGTACACTGGGGGAATCTCAGGAAGTCACAGCTCACAGGCCTTATTTCTCATGTGTAAAATGAGTAGTGGGTCTGGAATCCTAATAAATCTAAATTCAATGTGAAGGTCTCAAAAAGACCAAACTCTCTGAGCTACAAAATAAAACTGATTTATGCTAACTTTGACTACTAAGTGATGGACTGAGCTCTGATTATAGAATTTATCATAATTATATAATTTTTGCCAAGCCTAAAATAATAATTCTCACTTCTTAAAAACATTCCTCCAAGATGAAACAGATTGAAATTCACTTTACTCGATCTCTCTCTCTATTTAGAAGAATAACTTCAATACTTAAGATAGATAACTCAGCCAAGGCATGGTGGCTCACACCTGTAATCCCAACACTTTGGGGTGCCGAGGTGGGAGGACTGCTTCAGCTCAGGACTTTGAAACCAGCCCGGGAAATATAGTGAGACCCGATCTGCATTGTGTAAATAAAAAAATTATTTATTAGAAAAAAGAGAAATTAAGATAACTCGACTGTGACTACTCTGAAAGATGGTATCTGCGGGAATAGGCATATTTGACTATGAGAAAGAGACAAATTAATTCTTTAACATATATTCTGAAGAAGCTGAAGATGTATATGCAGTAAGTATATCATTCTAAAGATACTTAAGTTTTTTTGGAATTTGGTAAAAATCAAAGAAAATCAGAGTTGACCGTAGCAAAATAAAATTATAGGTATGGAAGATCTTTTTGATGAACTGGAAATGTATCCCTTTAAGCACTAAAACTCAATTTTAACTATTTTTGATACCCTTTTGAAACTTCATTATCCACTTTCCTGAGTTATTAAACAGCATATGGATCAATGCAATCTTGGCTTGATGGCTTTAGGTGGTGACCAGTAACAGCAATAATCACAAGCAGCATTTGTTGTGTGCCCACTTCATGTCTGATACCATTCTAAGTGCTTTACTATCACATTTAAGCCTCAGGATCCAACAAAGTGGGTACTATTAACCTCATTTTACAAATGAGGAAACTAAAGTTCTGAGAGATTAAGTAATTTGCAGACGGTCACAAAGCAAGAGAATGGTAGAGGCCAGATTCAGACCCACGTTATCTGAGTCCAGATCCACCCTTCTAACCACTACATTGCTTCAAATGGATGGATCAGAGACAGGTAAGTGCATCCCAAAAGAGAATCGCCAGAACCTACTTGGGTGGAGAGAATTGCCCATAGATTGGTGTGATTTTTACATGTCTACTTTTAAAACAATCATCCTTTAGGTTAGCTGTCATTCTTCTATTATCCATGGTGCAATATCAGAAGAGCACACACATTTATAATTTTAAAGCAGCCCTTCTAGTCATCACATGTCCCTTCTCTGGGTGATCCCCTTTCACCCTTTGTATATACAGTAACTCACTCTCTTCTTCTCTCCCTTCCTTCTTCTTCCCCACTTTTCCTCATAAAGAATGTTTAACTGAATGATTACAAATGCCTGTGCTTCTTGGAGAGATCTTTATAAAGAAAACAAGATGTCCTATCAAGCTTTCCCCGGGTGTCTTTACAAAGAAGAAGATTTCTAAACCATGCCACTGGTAAGATTTTTAAAAATTACTATAATTGACTTAAAAACTACTTTGATCCATCGTTGGCTGAAAAAAAAAAAAAGAAAAACCACCAACTTAGTATAAGGTCAAATTTATAATAATGCAGAATTGTATGTTTTCTGTACTCTCTATTAGGGTCTGCAAATAGTAAGCACGGATAATTTATACAATTCTTTGGGGTTTTATTTAGGAGACAAACCATGTGGGAGACAATGCGCAACACTCACAGAAGACTGGGGCTTCCCTCTGCAACTCAACTCTGCCACTAGCTGGTGATGTGATTTCCAGAATGATCTTTGTGTCTTGGTTGCCTCTACTGTAAAATGAATGAGCTACCTCTCAGATCTCATTCAGATGCAATACCTTACGACTCGGAGCATACACTTAGTTTTAAAATCTGAGATTTAAAGTTATCATGGCATAATTTGCAGAGTTTGTGTAAAGGGCCTTTTAACAGATTGAGAGGTTGGGGGTGGGGATAAGATATAGTTCAATCACTGAACACCAAGCAAGGAACTAGGCTAAGAATACTGAGGGAAAAGTCAAGACTTATTTCCTCAAAGAGGGAATCTCTTCCCTAAACTACCAAACAGGTATCTTGTTTATTATTTTCGTCTACTTGGCGGGGAGGTTGTTTTGCCACTCGTTTCACAGTATCTCTGGAGCCCACAGTGGCTGTTCCTATTTTGACTAATCAAACCCTTCTTTGACCAACATACACAAGATTATAAAGAAAGAAATTTAAAAGACCACAGGTGCTTGACTGGGTTAGGAGGTATAACCAGGTTCCAGTGCAATTCTGATCTACCCTGTGTATTCAGCCCTCATCCCTCACACGGATCTGCAGGCATTCCTCCCCTCTGACCTTCGGACACATGCTTAAAATTCTCTTCAATGAAAAATTTGTACCACCACAGCTTATGAAATAATCTGATTCAAATATGTAAGTTCTTCAATGAATTCCAACCAATTCAGATCTCATACAAATGCATTTTGTGTAATACTAAGATAAATTTTTCAAGATGGTTTAGTTCATTAGCTCACCTAAGAAGTACAGATAGATGCATTTGTTTGAAAATATTTTTTAAAACCTCTTTTCACACTTTTAACTAGTTTCTAAGTCCCATATACATAAGAAGCTCCTTTATATGAATCCCAGTTGCCTTGATAAGAGGAAGACAGAATATTCTAGGAGAAACTATCAACAGCTTACAGAAAATGAAGCTGAACATAATTAACTACCCATTACTGTATATATGTATTTTTTTGCTTTTGTATATTAACAGTCAGCACCTACTCCAGTACTTAAACTGTTGAAAACTAACCTACTTGTTAAGGAGAGAAAAACCTTCACAAACACTCCATGTCCTCCCTGCTCTGGGGAAGGGCCTCTGGGTGGAGCAATCCCACACTAGCCTATGTTCAGTAGGGAATGTGTCACGGCACAGTGGCACAGGCAAGCAACCTAAGGATGTTGAAGCTTCTTGGGTCAGGTCTCCAAATCATGGCTTTTATTATTTTGTAAATATTATTTTCCACCCCAGAACTACCCATAAAAATAAACTGGAAAGTTAAGTGTCAAAATAAAAGTGTTTTGTTTTAACCTGCCAAGGCAGATTATTCTCACATCTGATCTTTACCAAAAGGGTATAAACTGTCAATAGTTAATATAAATTATAGGCTATATGCCTAAGGCTAGCATAAAGTATAATAAATGTGAATTTTAACTACTAGCCATCAATATGAAAATGTTCTTTAAATTCATGATTACACAAATAGGTCTGGAATAAAATACTAAAGTCTTGTTTTAGAACTGAGAGAAGAAAACTGTGACCCCACAGGTGCAGGGTCCTAAAGCCTTACATGACAAATCTAAGGCTGCCAGTCTGCACATACCCCTAACCCCCACTTAGGTTGGTGAGGATTCCAGCCTGAGAAGAAAGGAGTCCCCTCTGACAACCTGACTGTCTTTAGCCCCAGCCCCTATTACTCAGGTCTCCCCTTAATTTCAGAAAAACGAAAAAAAAAGTCATCCTCCAAATTGGATTAAGGTTCTAATCCTAAAGGACAGCACAGGCTAATTGAGAAAATGGGAGAGGTTGAGGGGGGGGCGGAGCGGGGGAGAAGGGAAGCTAAAAATGATTTCTGATTAAAAAAAAAAGTAAATGGACTATTTTTCTAAAACTTCCATGCTGCTATTTTAACTTTTGTGCTTCATTATTCTAACACTGCTTTTTAAAGCTAAGGACAACCTGAGTACAATTTTAAGATCAAACTCATGAAAATAAATATACACTATGTATGTATCATAAATCTCAGAGAAATCCCAGGGTTAATTTACAAAATTTTAACAGAGGTGAAGGGAGGAAGATCTTAATTCTATTTTGAAGTTTTACATCAAAGATTCATCATCCATCAAATCAGTAGTGGAAAGCATTTAACATTTTTTGTGAAGCATTCTGTACAATGACCTATTTGAAATTAACAGAGTATCTCCCCTAAGACACGAAGTTGTTAAAAATCTACTGCAGTACTAGTAACATAAATGTGCCATAGATATAAAAAATAGTATTGACTGACTTTGAACCAAGTACAAAATAACAGGTTGACTCAAATTACAATCCAGTCTTCCAACATGTTAGACTTGAGTGCACTTTCTAAATTTTAACTATAAGTGTTGGTGCATTCAGGTGTGATAGAGAACCTAAGTATAAAGAGAATTAGAAAATACAGGAACAGGTCAGGCATGGTGGCTCATACCTGTAATCCCAGCACTTTGAGAGGCCAGGCAGGTCGATCACTTGAGGTCAAGTTCGTGACCAGCCTGGCCAACATGGTGAAACCCCGTCTCTACTAAAAATACAAAAATTAGCTGGGTGTGGTGGCACGTGCCTGTAATCCCAGCTACTTGGGAGGCTGAGGCAGGAGAATTGCTTGAACCCAGGAGGCAGAGGTTGGAGTGAGCTGAGATCACCCCACTGCACTCCAGCCTGGGCAACAGAGCCAGACTCTGTCTCCAAAAAGAAAGAAAAGAAAACACAATGGTAAAGAAAAAAACTAAGGCAAAGATCTACTGGTTGATAACAAAATGTCCACAGTGGTGCCTGAAACTGAATCCAAATACGTAAAGTTAAAGTCCAGTGCCCTATTTACAATGGGCAACCACTCTTGCCTCTCTAAAGCCAAATATTTACAGCACAGTTTTTAGAACAGCATCATAATTTCTTTTTTTTTTCTTTTGGTTTACAAAGGAATATATCTGCCTGAACTAATCTGATGGAAAATCATAATCCATTTCTTCCCATTAGCCTTTGACTAAACACTAAAGCTAATTATGCTGGCTCTTTTGGGTTCTCACAGCAACAAGGAATTTTAAAGAACACATTTAGTTCCACTGCTTTATGCAAGACTGAGCGGTTTCAAAACATCTAGGTGCTAAGATGTTAGACAGAGACTACGTAAATCTCGTTTACACGGTTAATTAAGACCTTGTGATTTAGGCATACAGACAACATGGATCTACTGGATGGATATGCACACTGTTAATATGTTGTCCTGAGTCTGAGACTGCTACTGCCCCACTGGTTCTGCTCTGAATGCACTTGTAATCACTCTTGGTCAGTACCAACAGCTTAACATCTATGTATCTTTCGTATTAAAATCTTTTCCTCGGACAACTGTGATTTTTGTACTAGCTAACTGGCAGCTCGTATGACTTTGGAGGCATGAAATGTATGAATTACACCGTTCAAATTTAACAGAAACACAGGCAGATACAGATCATTTGGGTTAATTTCCTATGGTTTTGGTTGGATATTATTAAGGAGTCTGGGAGGATTTGGTAAGAGGTAGAGCTTTGTTCCACCTTCCTGATTTGGTAGCACAGGCAGGATTTCATGGAGAAAGGAAACTGCTAGACAGTTGTTCTGGAAAGTAGAATCCATTCCCCCAAGTATGGGAGGGTTCTGTCCCTGAGGAGGGGTCTCAGAAAAGCAGATATGCTGATGGACTGTGGAAGGAAGCTATCTGCATAGGAAGGATGAAGACATTCTTCCTAAACCGAAAGGGATCCAAGTCCACTTTAACTTGCTCAATTACAGCTTAACCAAATTCAGCTGATCTTATAATACAAAGTCACAAATCCCATGACAATCCTGCTGCCTTCATTCTGCAGCCACTTAAGCTAAACACCTCTCAACCACCTCAAAAATCTGTTTACTCTCTGAAAATGGGATCAGGGACTTCCTCTCCTGATTACCTACCCAATATGAAAATACAATATTTATTTTCACAGATCGTATTATTTTTTAAATGGCAAAAATATTACTTCCATTCATATTTTAGAAAATTGAACCAAGATTTGGAATGACATGCTTTTAATGTGGTTCCTACAGCTTTTCTATGTAAAACGCAGGCTGGCACCGTTTCACACAGGGAAGTAGCTCAGAGAGGAGGCATGTCCACAGACCGCGTGGTGACAGGTGACTGGGGGAAGTTCGGACCTCGGGCTTCAAGTCCTGACTCATCACTAACGGGTTCTAGAGCTCTGGGCCCTTCGATCTTCATCTTGAAAATGACAGCCTGAAAGGACTTTTTACGGCCCCCTTCAGCTTTAAGCTGGTCCTGACCTAATCACATGTTTCAAGTTCTAACTGAAAATTACGAGAAGGAAATTAGGAAAGATGTATCAAAGTCCATGTTTATCCTGGATTAACTTTGTCACCATTGTGCTGCTGTGGAGGCAAACCTGTTGCATCACATGGAATACCCTATTTCTGGCTGTGCATTAGAAATACAAGAGGCAGCCGACTGGCTTTTTATATTTTCATTTTTTAAAAAAGTAAACAATAGTATCCCTCGATGATGGGAAGTTCTCAGGTTTCACCTTTATAGTCTGAAAGTACACACAGAATGCCACCTGGCAGACAAGGGCCACACAGCTGAACCCGGGGTATGCTGGCTAGCTTTACCACGCGTGAAGACTCACTTTAAAGCCACGTCCCCAATCCTTACCAGGGGGCTGATCAGTGCCGTCGCTGTTACTGGTGGGGCGATTAACCGTGTAGCGGCCAGAGAATGAGGTTTGCGTATTACCTGCCCATGTATTTATACCCACCTCGTGTGGCTTGTGGTCACCAGAGCAAGAGCATGCAAATTAAAAGCAACGAGATTTGACCTTAGATCTTACTGGACACATCTACTACTATATTGGAAACAGGAAAAGAAAGAGCTTTTGACACAGCACCTGGTGGAAGGGGCAAACCTCCATCTCCCCATACATTGCATTGTTGCAGTCTTCAGAGTTTCAAAGGCTTGCCGTTTCTCCCTGAAAAACACGGCCGGTCGGGAGGGATTTCTGGCGCGGCCCACTCACCTCTTTGATCTTTGCCCTTTTCTCGCGGATGGCGGCGTCGGCGGGCTCCCGGCTCTCCACCCCGATTGGGGGCACGAAGTCCACCGGGGGCAGGCCTCTGAACGGCGCCTTGTCACGCAGCTGGTCCTGGGCCACCTTCTTCTTCTCCAGTAGGATGTCTCTTTGGATCTCCTCGGGCAGCTTCTGCAGGGTCTCCTTGGCTTCCCTGAGAGCCCGCTCGTGGTTTTCGCGGATCCTGGCCAAGTTGTCCTCCAGGGCGGCCTCCGGGTCCCCGGGTGCCCCCTCCTCGCGGCGCCGGGCTCGCCCCTCGGCCGCGTCCTCGGCGCGCGCCCCGGGCCCGGGCTTGTGGTCGGCGGCCGGCTGCAAGGCGGGGCTGGAGTGGAACAGGACCCCGCTGAGCAGCTTGGAGGAGTCTGGCAGGAAGAAGATCGCCCCGAAGCAGAGCGTGATGAAGGCGCTGAATACCAGCAGCAGCACGAACTTCTCCGTCAGGCGGAGGGCGGCGGGGCCCGACCCCTTCCTGCCACCGCCGCCGCCGAGCCCCCCGCCCAGGACGCCGCCCGCGGGGCTGCTGAAGAGCGGCAACAGGCCCCCCACGGGCATCGCTCCCGCTGTCCAGTGGTCCGGCGCCGCGCCGCTCAGCAGCCAAACTTCGCCGCCGCTGGGAGTCCGCGGCTGCGGGGCTGGGTCCTGCGTAGCCAGGCCGCCCGACCCCCTCGGCTGGGCTGCGGATCCTCCCTGGGGGAACAACTCCGCGCCGGGTCTTCTCCCCGGGGCGGCTCCTCGGGCACACAGGCACGCGCGACAGACCGCTGGCTGCAGCCCCTGCGGGGAGAGAAACAGTAAAACGTAGTAATTACGGCGATGATAAAGTTTCCAGCGGGTCTCCGCCCTCCGACTCCTGGCGAGCCTCCAGGACCGCTCCCCTTAAGCAGAGTCCTGTCCAGTCCGGGCACCGCCCTCGCAGCCCACTCTCTGGACTTGGGGTGAAGTTATCAGGTCCCGTGGGTAGGGGAGGGGTGTCCCGCGCAGGAAGGGGTCAGGGCAGCGCGCGAGCACCTCGGGGAGGGGCAGCGCACCTCTGGGCAGGAGGGGCGCAGCGTGGGCGGGAGACTCGTCAACTTCGCCCGCTCCCCATCTCCGCGCTGAGACTGCTGCCTCTTTCCTAGGCTGGGCTGAGCGCGCTGTCCCACGGTCCCGCAGCCCCGGCGCGGCTCAGGTGGGCGAGCGCGCCGACCTGCGGGCGAATGGCAGCGAGTAGAGCAGCACGGTACACTCCGCCGCGGCCCCGCGAGCACTAATCTCACTGCCGGTCTTGGGGCGGTGGAAAGCGAGGGAGGCGACGCGGCCGGAGAGTGACGGCGCGGCCGGGCCAATCACGCGCCGCCCAGGGTCCCGCGGGGGCGGGGCCGAGGCGAGGAGGGGGATGCGCGGGGCGGGGAGTTTACGGGAAGCGCAGCCTCGGCGGGGCCCGGCCGGCGGCGGGGAGGTCGCGGGGCCGGGAGGCGCGAGGTAGGCGGGAGCCGCGGTGAGGAGGACGGTCGAACCCGTGGCTGAGGCCCAGCGCCGAGAAGCGGCAGGCAGAGTTCGGGGTCGGGGAGTTTATCCTGCGCTGGCCTCGGCAGGGGTCCCCGGGGTGGTTGATCCTCGACTGGCCCGGGAGGCGCCTGGGTCCGCGCGGGACCTCTCTGCCTCCTCCTCCGACCCGTGCGGGGCGGTCGGGGGCGCTCCCGAGGGGGTCCCGGGAAAGGCGGGGTCTGGCAGGGGGTCCTGGGCGCTGGGTCGTTCAGAAGCACGGCTTTACTCCAGTTACCCTCTTTTTATCCAAGGCCGGGGTTCCCCGGGTGCCTGGTAGCAGTGAAACCCCAAGTCCCTCGGTTAGGGGAGCCGTGACCCTGGGAGCTTTTGAGCTCTCTGGTATAACATCCTTTTACATCCTAAGAGACACAGTTCTGTGCTTGCTTAGGACTTTTTTCGTATGCGCCCTTTCTTCCCCCAAAAAACAAAAAACCGAAAAAACTTGTATGTCTCTCCCGCCCACCCGTACTTTCACTATTCATTTACCTCATAGAAGTTGGTCAAATTTTCCATTCGAAGACGAGTTTTATGCTGCGGTAGCTTCAAGCAATAAGTCGAACACTGTGTTGAAATTAAGTCTTGGATCCGACTACTTCCAGCGAAGTGAGGAGTTGGTCCAATAGAAATTATTTTCCAAAATGTGTTGTAATTCTCCTGTTGCTCCACAAATAAGGGGTTATCAGAGAGGAAAACGTTGACTGACTTCGCATTTCTGAAAGCTGGTTTGTAGTCGCCTTATTTCATCCTTACCCTTCTCTGGAAATGTGACATTAGTTCTGTTTGTGCTTAAGACAAAGGAAACAGCTGGCACCTTTCGGGAAGGTGGCTCCAGTACAGTTGTTTCCAGGTGTTAAGCTGTATGAGAAAGTAGAAAAGTAATCAGAAATCCTTACTAGTTTTCATTTAATCATTTAATTATTAATTTTAACCATCATTATTTGTCGTCTACTTGTTTTGTGTAAAATGAGTAATACACTCAAAGTTCTTGTTAATAGGAAATTATTGTTTGATAAAGCTGGCTTTATGGCTTGGTTATTTTGATACCTGCTATGAAATTCTATGTCCAGAAGAGTGCAGCATATCCAAGCAGGGTAATAAGTTCAGAAGGACTGAAAAAGAAAACAAAGATGATTTTTCTTTAATGATGGAAAGGCAATTTTTATTTCAAACGATTATGCATTTGTAGGTTGTGCATAGGCTGAAAGGTTTGAATCACTGTGAAATAATGTTTCTAACAACATCCTTAAAACTGAGTTACCTCTTGAATGGATAGATAAATAGGAACTGGGTTAACTACCCCAAACGCTAATCTCTTTATGATCATCCTTTTTTGGAATGATTTATTATTTTAAAAATTATGTTGTAAGAATGGAATTATAGCCCCGGAAATATTTAGAAGCTTTATTTCAAATTAATGTTATTAAGTATTCCAGCAAAACAATAAATTCCACTTTTAAGTATATGTTAAAATGGTGATAAATAAAAGTTATAACTTAATTCTATTTCTGACACTTTAATTTTGATACCAAATCAGTTTGGGCATTTAACTTCTGTAGTGGAAATATTAAAAATTTAGTACGTGGGTTTAAGGATTTTTTCCCCTAAAAACTTTAAATTTATCTATGTTGTTTCTACATCTTTTAAAGTAACTATTCTTTTTAAGTTCATCATGAAGCTTATTTTAAGATTTTTTTCTTATTTTCCGTATTTCTTAAATGACAGGGTTATACTTGCAGCCTGGCTTTGATAATATGTTAAACAAGAAGTTAACATGGGTGGTTGATTATAGGTACATATTAAAGGGTGTCTGTGTACATTAGGTGGGATAAGAACTATATAGGAACACCAATATTTGGGCCAGAGCAAATTTGAAAAATTCACAAAGAAGGTATCTGAAGAGGCATAGCAATCGAATTATGCATCCTCTTTAAAATAATCACATGAAGCCCTGTGTGCTCATGGTAAGGGAGGAGTAGAAAATAGTCAACAAGTAAAATTGTGCATTTTGTAGAAGCAAAATCGGACACTTTCCTCTGATTTCAGTACTACAAAGCACTTGACATTCTACCATTGAAAAAAGTACTTTGTACCCTGAGATAAAAATAAAGGTGATTGGTTCTTGTCTTTTAAGTAATGAAACCTTGACTTTGTCCCCTAAGTCAAGACTCCCTAGCCACATCTACCTGAAGGTAATGTCACCATCTTTATGAATGCAATGATAGTGCTGAAATTGCTGTTTCTCATTATGGATGGTCTAATGTAAACCTAAGAACCTTAGTAATTTTGTGGGATTTTTAAAAAAATACTTGCTATGTTTTTTTATTTGGCCAGCCAGTCCTTTTGAAGTATAACTCTCTTGTAATTTTTGCAGGTTTGCTTGCAAACTTAATTCTTACATTTTCCTTTTTCAATACTTAATGTTTTTGTGTATTTCTTTGATAATTTGTAAATTTTTGTGTTTCAAGATTATATCTTTGAATCAAGTAATTTTTTAAAAACCTGATCATCAGTGATACCACAAAACACTACAAAGAAATCCCCAAATAAATGTTGTTGCTTAGATTTTTCTACTTTCAAAAGAAATTACCAAAAGGTAGATTTAATTTTTACATTAACATGCCTAAAATGAAATATAGTAATAATTATGAGCAGACTTACAGAGGAAAAATTGGCAATATTTTTATAAAACTGATAAATTTATATTTTTATAAAATTATAAGTTCTCAAAAATTGAAGTGCAAAAACATTTCTTAGGAAGTTTCTAGGCAGTACTAGTTAGAAGTTTGTGGAAGAATCCTTTTGAGGATTTTTGTTCTCTTACTTTAAATAAAACTTAATCTAGTGAAAGAAATGAATTTAATCTACATGTACAGTAAATAATGACTGAAATTCTCCAACAAGTTAGATTTCTGATAAAATCTTTTAATGGGAGATTTTCTAGGTCACAATAGGTCTTTGCTCTTATTTTTTAAAAAATCCAAATGTAATACGTAAAAAATGATTCATTGTGAATATTAATCTTGAAGTTTCAATACTTCAATGGGCACTCTCAATTTTACATGAGATATATTAAGGTGGAAATTAACCAGAGTTTTAAAGGAAACTATCGGTGTTATTTGTATGCAAATTGGAGTCTACTGTTATATTTCTGATTCCATGTTTTTGCTCTTCCTCAATTTACTTTGGAACTGCCTGAGTGGCAGATTATTTTTATAGAATTCCAATCACATTTTTTTGAGGGGGCGTGGGTGCCAGGGGCAGTGAGGGCAGGAGCCCTCTGTTCCTGCAGGCTCCTGTTGAAAGATATGGTTTTGTTTTGAACACATTTCATAAATATTAACTGTCCCCAACTTAAAAACATTGTGTCCTGCAAGTATTTGTGTGCATTGGCTCTTTGGAACTTTCAGAGCATTTTTCTTCATAGAAACAGGGTTGTAAATGGTGCTTTGGGCTGCTAGCCTGCACTGCAAAGACCTCACCCTAGGGAAGAATAACATGTTGGAAAAAGTACTGTTGCAATGCTGGTAATCAAAGTAACATTAAATTAGAAAAGTGTTTTATTTATTATGAATGTTAGAGCCTGAGGACAAACAGATTTATTTGAAAGAGGAGATATAATGATAGTTTCAGAAATATTCTAAAATCAACTTGCAAGGTCAGAAAGGTGTATGGAAGTTCTTAGGTATAGTTTTCCTTCAGTGTGTGTAGCTTTCTTTTGGTTTGAAAAATATCACGACTACTGCCCTTAAGGTATTTTTACTTTGGTTTTGTTTTGATTTCATTAACAAAGGGACTGAAAGAAATAACAGGGGGAGGTTTTCCTGAGGTCACTGGGCAAGGGTTTGAATAAGAGAGGAATTTATTGTAGAGCACGTGCATGCGCATGTGCTTTACTATGTGACCGTGGCCAAGAAGTCACCTATTCTGTGCCTCTCATTCTTCATCTGCAACTTTGTTGTTCCTCTTAGGTTAAATGATGTAACTAATGTGTCTGGCACAGTAGGCATTTAAGAAATTTAAGTCCATTTTTCCCCTCTCTTAAAAGGGTAATTAATGTTGGGAATGAGGAAATAACAGTGTCTGTGGGATTCTTATAAAGAAGACCCAAGAAAGGATGGCAGGAAGAGATATTTTAGATTATGTGGCTCTTCATATGGTTGTCACTTTTCAACTCCCAGCCCTTATTTGAATAATACCACTGGAGAAGAAAGTATGGTTGGGAGGAACAGCGTTGGGTTTGGTAGCTGGAGAGTCTTAAAATGTTTCTTCACCCTTTATAGGATCAAAAAGTTGACCAACTAATCTACTGCTACTACTACTACTTGTTAATTGGCAATTTATAATTGTATAAATTTGTAGGGTAAAAAGTGGTGTTATGATTTCTGAATATAATGCAGAATACTTAAATCCAGGTAGTTAACATATCCATCACCTCAAATACTTAATATCTTTTGTGGTAAGAACATTTGAAAATTACTTTCTCATCCAGTTGTAAATGTACAGTATTCTATCATAAACTATATTCACCATGCTGTGTGATGATAGAACTAGAAACAGAAATTCCTCTCATCTGAGATTTTGTATCCTTTGACCATTATCTCCCCATCCCCAGCCTCCGCAGGGTAGAATGATGATTCTGTTCTCTGCTTCTGAGTTCAGTTGTTTTAGATTCTATATATAAGGGAGAACATGTGGTATCTTCCATGCCTGACTTATTTCACTTAGCATTGTTCTCCAGTTCCATCCACATCATCACAAATGACAGAATTTCCTTCTTTTTTAAGACTGAATAGTATTCTTCATAGTTCTTAAAGCCTTGAGAAAATGTGAGTGATGGCAAAGTCTCAAAGTAAGGAGACTTATGGTTCAGTGCGTGAAGAATTAGGAAACCAAGGTCTTAGAGCAGAAAGGTGGCACTGAAGAATGCTAACAATGACCACTGGGGTCCTTGTATATAAAATGTTTGAATTGGATGACTTGAGGAGAATATACTATTTCAACTAAGTGAAACAAAGGAAAAGTTTATTTCCATGGCCAGAGAAAGATATAAAATATTTCCTTTTTCAGTTTCTAGTACATTAAATATATTTTTAAAATAAATCAGTTTTTCTTTTAGAAAATCTTTTTTTCTCTCCATTCTCTGTCCCATAAAAACCACATGCTTTTCCAGAACAACAAAAAATTCAGAAAGGGAAAAAAATAGTGAGACGTCATTCTGCCCAGTTATAATTATTTTTCATGAAATAAAGTGAAATGAAACCACCACATGTGCTTGTTCCTATTTTGGAGAAACTATCTACAACTATGACACGACAGCACTTGGCTTCCCAATTTCATTGCAAAATAAATGTACTGTTTGCACAACATGTTCTGTCTTTCATATGGTCCTTGAGGACAGAACCTTGTCTTAGCCTTGGGTCCCTGTAAATGGATAGAAACTTGCCTGCAGTTCTTTGTCCACTAAACTTATTTTTTAAGTTCATTTGGAGCATTCTCCTGGAATGTATAGACTCATTTATGAGATAAGGTGAAAGCAGATCTGTGTTGCAGATAGTACCTTGACAAATTATATTTCTGTATGTTTGATTTGTAGTCATTTCATTTGGCGTAATTAATACTGGTCTGGATTTGGGGAAGGAGAGAGAGACACACACTGAAATTACCATCGGAAAAAAGAAGGGAAGAATTTCAAATCAGTGACCCATGTATTTATTAGACTTAATTGGCTGGAACTGGCAGGATCTCATATACGGTTTCTAAATTACTGGGCGTAAAATGTGATGAGTTTGAGATACTTAGCCTAACTCCTAGATTATAAACAGTTTTTGAACATTCATTGAGATCATTAGGTTCTCCAGTTTTCTCCAAATGCTAAATTTGTGTGATATATTCTACCATGAAAATACTGTCATATCTTTAACAGTAACCAACAAGAAATGAAAATATCAAGTGTTAACAGAGTGCCACCTATTTTATATTTTTATTATTAAAATTCATGTATATCTTCACCAAGAAATTGACTTCAGTATTGTTAAAAGCAAGTCAGCATTATAAATAGTTTACTTAAGTAATTCTAGGACTACTTTTTTTTTATTTCGTAGGTATTCGTGGGGTAGAAAAAACTACTGTAGGAAGAAAGGAAATTTAAATTTGTGTAACTTCAGTTACTAGAGAGCTATATATAATGTGCCATTAAGTACGTTTTATTAAGTGTATGTAGCTTCATCGTTTCTCTCTCTTTAAAAAAAGTGTTTTTCTCTCTGGTAGAAATGTAAAATGGTGCAGCTGCTTTGGAAAACAGTGTGGCAGTTCCTCAAAAGGATAAATATAGAGTTACCATATGATCCAACAATTCCACTCCTAGATACACTCAAGAGAAATGAAAATATATGTGCACACACAAATCTGTACATGAATGTTCATAACAGCATTATCTATAATAGCCAAATGCTGGAAACAACATAAATGTCCATCAACTAAGTGGATGAACAAATGTTGTATATCCATACAAGAATTATTATTCAGCAATAAAAAGGAATGAAATGTTGACACAATACTACAACATGCATGAACCTTGAAAGCATTACACTAAGTTAAAGATGTCAGTTACAAAACACCACATATGGTATAATTATATTTATATAAAATGTCTGAAATAGGTAAATCTATAGGGACAGAAAGTAGATTAGTGGTTGCCTTGGGCTGGAGGGATAGGAGGATGGAGGGTCACCATAACGGTATGAGATTTCTTTTGGAGGTGATAAAAATGTTCTAAAATTTACTATGGGGATGGCTGCATGACTTTGTGGATATACTAAAAAAGTATTGAATTGTACTTAAACAGTTGATTTTTATGGTGTGAATTATATTTCAATAAAGCTATTACCAAAATAATGTTTTCCTTTCAGAACTGTTTTATAAGAATCTTAAGAACCATGGAATATCTTACTAAAAATATATAAAAATAACTAGATGAAGTTGACATTATACTAAATAGCATTATTAAATTTTAAAGTCCAAAAAGTACTAAGAGGATAAGGTCAAGAACCATTTTCAGAAACACAGAAGAAAATGCTATTGTTTTTCAGCTTGAGAAATATGTATTTTTGTTTAGTAGTCAAACCAAGGGAATTTTTTAAAGTTATGAATCACTTCTATGCTGTATACTCATTCCTATTAAGTAAAACATAGTCAAGTAATATCATTCATATTTTTGATATGTGGAAAATTACTATTAAATGTACCTCACAACACTGTACTGACCAAGATGTTTCCAGGAGAACTTAACTTGTTTGTAGTTGGTGACTTTTGTTGTTGTTGTTGTTGAGACAGAGTTTTGCTTTTGTGGTTCAGGCTGGAGTGCAATGGCATGATCTCGGCCCACTGCAACCTCTGCCTGTTGGGTTCAAGTGATTCTCCTGCCTCAGCCTCCTGAGTAGCTAGGATTACAGGTGTCTGCCACCACGCCCAGCTAATTTTTTGTATTTTTCGTAGAGACGGGGTTTCACCATGTTGGTCAGGCTGGTCTTAAACTCCTGACCTCAGGTGATCCACTTGCCTCGGCCTTCCAAAGTGCTGGGATTACAGGCGTGAGCCACTGCACCTGGCTGGCAGCTTTGAAACTTATACAAAATGATGCAGAGGCAAGAAAGCTGGATTGGGAATCAGAAGATCTATTTTTAAAACTGGCTATGAGTTTTATGAATTTAAACAGCCTCAATTCCTTTGTAAAATAATGGGGACTCCTGACTGAAAAATTTGTTGTGAAGATCAAAATAGATATGTGTGTACTGCAGAACGCTGTACAACTGTAAGGTGCTGGAATAACAATTATTAATAATTAAGATAAATCATTGGGAACAGTGGCTCATGCCTGTAATCCCAGCATTTTGGGAGCCTAGGCAAGACGATTACTTGAGGCCAAAAGTTCAAGGTCAGCCTAGGCGACATAGTGAGACCTTGTCTCTACAAAAAATAAAAATGTTATCTGGCATGGTGGCATGTGCTTGTAGTCCCGGCTTAGGGAGCTGGTGTAGAAGGATTGCTTGAGCCCAGGAGTTTGAGATTACAGGTAGCTATGATTATGCCACTGTACTGCCTGGAGAAGAGCAAGATGGTCTAAAAAAAAAGATGTAAATAACACTAATATTGTTTGTTAACATTTTGTATTATTGTTGTTGGAGAACCTAGCATTAAAATTCCAGGCTGGGCGCAGTGGCTCACCCTGTAATCCTAGCACTTTGGGAGGCCAAGGTGGGTGGATCGCCTGAGGTCAGGAGTTCGAGACCAGCCTGGCCAACATGGCGAAACCCCGTCTCTACTAAAAATACAAAAATTGTCGGGCTTGGTGGCTGGTGCCTATAATCCCAGCTACTCGGGAGGCTGACGCAGGAGAATTGCTTGAACTTGGGAGACAGAGGTTGCAGTGAGCCAAGATCGCGCCACTTCACTCCCACCTGGCAAAAGAGCAAAACTCTGTCTCAAAAACAAACAAACAAACAAACAAAACAGTAAAATTATCATTGAGAAGACCAAAGGGATAAAATTTCTTTCTCTGTCTCTCGCCCTCACTCTTGTTCTCACTCTCCCTCCGAGATCCTGAACTCAAAAAGTTAAAATATTTTGAAGAACTTACTATTATTCCATTTTCTAGAGAAATCATGAATATTTAATAAGACATTATCAAATTTATAGCAAAACCTATAACTAACTCTTTTCTGTTCAGTTAATCTCATCAAAATAGAAACCATTATCTTTCATGCCTTCAATAGCTAGTATCAGTATATCCTGAGATCTTTTCTATTGTGCTTTCATATAGTATTCCCCATTTAACTTATATTTCTTTTAAATGGATTTTTATCCTTTTTATTGTTATATATTCTTATAACAAATATAATACATAGGTATAAATAAAATTTAGAATATACAGACCAGCAAAAAAAAAAATGAAAAAAAAAACCTTAAAGTTCTTACAATAATAAGTTATACATGTCTTATAAAACAGCATAATTGTGCTGTCTTTCAAGATGTTCAAATAAACATTGTTTCTGGATTTCCTCCTCCTCCCTCCATCCTTTAAATAATTATTTGTAGTGAGTAGTATCTGTCTTGCCTGACATGGAAAGCAGATGGAGATGCGTAATGCTTTTGCTAAATCTCTAAATGTTCTCATTTTTGAAAAACAGTAACCAATGGTAAATGAAAGAAGTATTATCACTGATTCCTCTTTCTAATCAGTGGGGTTTTCTATTTACTCTGACCACCTATTTCGTTACTCTTACTGGATGCCAAATCATTACAATGTGATTTGGGGAAATAAAAGACATTATAAAAAGAGAAACCAGTTATTCATACCTCATAGAAATAATCACATTTAATATATTTTATATCTGCCATATATATATTTTGTATCTGCCATATATATGTGGTGTTATATATATGGTTATATATATATGTAGTTATATATAACCAAAAATATTTAAACACGAAGATGTAAAACTGCTAAACCATTCAGGTGCAATTTCTTTTTCAAACTATAGAAATGTAGAGAGAATAATCTGAACTAGTCCAAGCAGACTTCTCTTAGCATCAGCTCTTCTATGTGCCTATGCTGTTTTTCTTAGTAGATTAAAATTATGCAAACCTTGTTTGGTTGATTAAAAGCTGTAATTACTCTCCACTTTTTGTTGTGGTTTGCTTTCTCCTTAGCTAGAAGTTTTTAGTTAGATTTAAAATGTTTGGTTGTTTTTTGTTGTTGTTTTGTCTTGCCTGTCACATATGAAATCTACTGAGAAGAACCTGGCACATTAATTATTTCCACTTCTCAAAATAGATTTATTGTTAATTTCCCCTTTCAGTTTTACTATTCTTTCAAAGAGATAAAGATTTAATTCTGGGCACTGCCCTACAGAAGCCATACAGGACATTTTAGTTGACCAATCTTTAAGTAAAAACAGAGTCCTTTTTCATTTCATAAATACCTTGCTGTTTATGTATTGCTTATAGCAAATAAGAGGTTCGGAAATCTGAAATGCAAAGATAAAATTCTTTGCAGCAGTTTTCAGAAGTAGTTATTGATAAACTGAATGCTATAACAATGAGTTTTAATTAGGATGCAAAGTAAACAGAACACATAATTGTTTATATTCTAATTTTCTTCATTTAGTACACGAGGAAGGGAAGCATAAGCTGTTTTTGAAATAAGGTGTGTGTGTGTGTGTGTGTGTGTGTATCTCTAAGATGTTTGGCCAAAATTTCATTTCTAGCTCCTAAAGTTACCTCAGTATTCCTCTTTAAAAGATCTTTTTCTTAACTGTCCTCTCTGCCCACCAACCTACTTAGATTCTGTGGTTCATAATTCCAAGAAGTGCTTTGCCAGTATCTCAAGCCGTTTTCTACTTCTTTTTTTTTTTTTTTTTTGTCCAACCCTCTAACTTTAGCAAACATCAACTTTTTCAGTACCTGCACCCTAGCAGCCCAGGTCTTAGCAGAAAAAGTACGGTATGGCAGATTGATTCCATCAGGTTTCAAATCTGACTTCAAATGATCCTCAACACTGTCTGGCAAGCCCCTTGTTTCTATTTGGTTGACTTACTTTCCCACTTAACAAGACACTTCCAG
The DNA here is from genome assembly GCF_000001405.40 of Homo sapiens. Lineage (NCBI taxonomy): Eukaryota > Metazoa > Chordata > Mammalia > Primates > Hominidae > Homo > Homo sapiens. The sequence continues at coordinate 119,360,661 of NC_000006.12, forward strand.
ACTTTCTCCATTCTCTTCTACTCTCTCCAACCCAGTGGTTGCCACAAGAGAGTGGGGTTGTGGTGGGAGGAGCAGTTATGCCTCCTACCCCTCGGTGACATTTGGCAATACCTGAAGACAGTTTTGACTGTCACTGTTTGGGGTGGGCAGGAGTGCCACTGAAATGTAGTGGGTAAAAGCCAAGGATGCTGCTCAACATCCTGCAACTCACAGGACATTCCCACACAGTATAGAATTGTCTGGTCCACGATGTCAGTATGCCGAGATGAGAAACCCTACTCTAGCACCTTCATCTCGGCAGATGCCTTCTTTTCTTTACAGAGAAATAGCAGCTAGCTTTTGGGAACTCCCTCATCTTTTCTATTTCAAACACAAAACACGTTTTTCGGCACTGAGCCTCATATGTTGTTATGATAGAGCGATGATACCCTTCTCCTGGCTGAGGCTAACTCTACCACCCATGCGTTGGACTTCAAAACCTCTCATTTTCTCTGTAACATCATACTATTTTTATCCATTTTTTGTTCATGTATATTCAATTTTGCCTTTTATATTCGCCCTTTTGACTTTAAAACAATACAATTTCTTCAACTAGACAAAACAAAACCAAAAGACTTTCTTTTCTTTCAGGTACTGCCCTGTCCTTCTCCCTCTTCACAGCCACATTTCTCCAAGTGGTTGTTAATGATACCAGCTGTCTACAATTCGTCACCACTCACTCACTGCCCAACCTACTCCAGTCTGGCTTCTGGTCCTACCACTCCATTAAAATAGCAATAATGAAAGTCACCAATGCCCCTCATGTTGTGAATTCCTGAGGTATTTTTAAATCTTCCTTTGACTTCACGTTGCAGTAGCATTCAACAACGCTTATCTCTCCCTGCTTTTTGAAACAGTCTTCCCTTGATTTCTGCAAGACACAGTCTCTTGGTTTCAACATCTCTGGTCAATTATTTTGTTTCAGATGGATTCTTCTTCCTGGCCTTTAAATGTAGGCATTTCCTTAAGGTTCAGTCCTGGAACTTCTCAATTTTCACTGGCTTCCTAACTCATGCCGTTCAAACCCGTTGCTTTAGTGAGTATGTATATACAAGATATTTTCAAATTAGTATTCCTGTTTCAGACTTGGAGTTTGAGGTCTGTATGTCCAGGTACCTACTTCTTTTTCTGTATGTCTCAAAATATCTCAATTTCAACATATCTCTAATAGACATCTGCCTCTTTTCTTAGATGCTCCTCCTTCCAACACCCCTGTTTCTCTTAGAACATGTTTATGGTCCTCTGTGGTTGTAGGACCTCCAAAGTGACCTCAGTTTTTGTCTATTTTTCAAGCCTGGTCATTCAGAAAAGTAGAGATTGTTATAAGGGAGCTTATTTGGAAGGGGTCTTTCCCTGTGCCCTCATCCAAATTCTTTTGGAATCACTCTTTCACAATCAACTGTTATTTTCATGTGAGAACTAGATAGATTAATATTCAAATGTGGCAGCCCAAAAGTGGATTAATATTGGGAGTGGTGAATGTCTGGTTTTAGTTTTGGTTTGCAAGGTCGGAGGTGCTGTTAGCCCAGTAACTAAAAGTTCCTAGGTTTTAGTTCGTACCGTGAGACAAAAATTTATGTATTTGAATTTGATAATCTCTTTCTTTAATATTACTAATGCATCAGAAACACTGACTTCTACTGATAGTCACTGAATTGTTTGAATTCTTCACTGGTGGTGGCAACATTGTCTCCTAGAGCTTTATATCCTGTTGGGCAGTTGAGCTCAGGTGACCAAGGAAGATAATTTAATTACCATTTAGTCATTTTACGCCATATACTTCTACATTATCTTCCCAAAATATTAAGGACACTTTCATGGCTTTATGTAACACCCTACTTCCTGATTCCAAATTCTTTCAGTTAAGATGCTTTTGATTGCAAATATAACAGAAAACAATACTGGTTTCCTTCAGCAAAAAAAAAAAAAAGAAAGGAATTTATTAGAAGGATATTAGAAGGATACATAGGCTCACAGAATCAACATGTGAGTACTGTTTCCTTAAATGAGGTGGTTATGCTGCTAGAAGGAAATAGAATGATTTGCAATTTATATCTAGAGTTAGAAACCCAGGCAGCCTCAGGACAACAATTATAAAGTAAAACCCAGGAGGAGAAGGCTTAGACATCAAAAGATTGTAGGACTCCCCCAGTTTATATCAGTAGCAATCACATATACTCATGTAAGAATAGAATTTTAGGGTATATGACCAGAGATGGAGAAAAGTTTTAGATTAGTCTGAACTTATCAAAATGAGTTCACTTACTAGGGATTCCTGATGCCATGTAATAGAAGCTGGGCTGGTTAACACTAACTTGAACTTAATCTGAACTTCAGGTGTCACAAATGCCTTAGAATAACATGAAGAAGATTATTAAAATAAGTGGGAGATTGAAATCTTGGATTTGATTTATCATAAGTGTCCTGCCACCCATCCAAAAATGTATCCCTAAAGCAGGCCCAGAAAACATTCCATTCATTAGGGCTTTTGAGATATACATTGTATTCAAAGCTCTGACATATTTCAAAAGGGTTGTACTGGTTGTTCTTTGCAGGTTGTTCGAGAAGCTGAAATAGAAATCAATTTCTTGATTTCAGTAGGAATAGTGAGTCCCTAAGAGGGGAGAAGCCAGGTGAGTCACTTATCACTGGAGGAATAAACGGTGGGCCTGGTCACCATAATGGCAGCAGGGTATGGAATGGGATGACTACAGAAATCTCTAACAGGGAGTAATGGATCATAGAATTCTTGGGGCTGAAATAGAACATTCCATTAAGGCCACGTTTGATTTTACTATCCAAAAACCAAGTCTGGTAAACAGAGTTCTTTTCTGTATACTCTATAGTAGAATAAAATATATATCTTTTATTAGTGGAGGTTAATTCTAAAATTTATTGTTTAGACTACAGAATACATATCACAATGAAACTAGAGGGAGAAAGGATATAACCTGGAGACTGTAGATTTGTGACTAAATAGAGTAACTGATGCGATTTGTGATTACCTTCATTTGGAAAAGGAATATAATATCCTTTGTAATATCCATTTGTAATAAGCATTTTGTAATATCCCTTATCCAAAATGCTTGGGACCAGAAGTGCTTCAGATTTTGGATTTTTTTGGATTTTGGATATTTGCATGTACATAATGAGATATCTTGGGTATGACAACCAAGTCTAAACATGAAATTCATTTATGTTTCATATACACCTTATATACATAGGCTTAAGGTAATTTTATATAATACTTTAAGTAATTTTGTATATGTGTTTTGACTATGACCAGTCTCATGAGGTCAAATTTTCCACTTTTGGGTGTAAAATTTTCTGCTTGTACCATCATGTTGGTACTCAAAAAGTTTTGAATTTTGGAGCATTTCGGATTTTAGATTTTTGGATGAAGAATGCTCAACCTGTACAAATAATACCTATATTACATTAGGAGGAACAATCTTTTGGGCAGTGTAATTTTGAGAAGAAGGATATGAGTGAATGTTGTGGTATACGCTTGCCATTTTATTTCTGACTGTCTAATATTTAACCATGTTGTTGTTGTATGCTGTGCTCTCTATTTGGAAGCATTCCCCAGTGAATATAGTCTAGGAAATAAAAATGCTTCATTTCCTGCTACTGACATGAAGGTGTCAGATGCTCTCTCTCCCTATAATCATAGAAGCCAAGGCTTGGGTGTGTCACCTCATCAATTAGACACTGCTGCCAGGGATTGTAAATTTAAGTAAGAAGGACATAAATGAAGACAGGATTAGGATTCATCTTTGGTAGTACAGTGGCATGATGCTTGTAGTGTCGGGTCTCCTGGCCAGATGATTCTTGTCCAAAGACACTCTCTGGTTTTCAGGCATTTTGCTCTAGCATCCTTTGATTTGGCGAGTTCTTGATTTTCTCCTCCAACTTCATGTTTTTAGATAATCAGAGTTCATTTATATTGCTTGCATCCTACTGGACACAGAATTTAAAACCACCCGAATATTTTTTCCTCCCTAATCCTGGTCCTCTTCTAATATTCCCTGTCTCAGTGAACAAATTGAACAGGCCAAAAACCCAGGGTGTATTCTTGATAATCCCCTTTTCTCCAACTCATGTCTAATCCATCATTAAATTTTATTGATTTCTCTGCTTGAATCTATCCACTGCTGTCTAGCTCTACCACCATCAACACCAACGCCTGAGTCCAAGCCATCCTCATGTCTCACCTGAACTACAACAATGTGTTCAACCTAAGCTCTTTTCTTCCCCCAACCCATTCTTCCCCAAATCCTTTAAATGTAAAATCTGCTCATGTTATACACTACCCTGCCAGCCAGCCACTTCCACTTTCTCCCTCAGGGAAATCGCCTTGCTTCCTACCTCCAGGCTCTTTCCTCTTTCTGGAATTCTCTTCTTCCCCTACTCCCTCCACATAGTTAACTCCTATTCATCCTTCTTCACACCTTCTACCTCACAGTCTTCCCTTATGATTGCTGTCTTATTCTGTTGGACTGCTAGAACAAAATGCCACACATCGGGTGGCGTAAACAATGGAAATTTGTTTCTCTCCATTTTGGAGGCTGGGAAGTCCAGGATCAAGGTGCTGGAAGATTAGGTTCTTGGTGAGGATTCTCTTCCTGTCTTGCAGATGGCCAACTCCCTATTGTGTCCTCATATGACCTTTCCTTGGTGTGTGCTTGGGAAGGGAGAGAGGGAGAGAGGGAGAAAGGGGGAGAGAGGTAGAGAGAGAGATAGACAGACAGAGAGAAAGAGAGAGAGAATCTTATAAAGCTACCAATCCTGCCATCTTGGAGCCCCATCCTTATGACCTCATTTAACCTAATTACCTCTTAAATTCCTTATCTCCAAATACAGTCACATGGAGGTTGTATTAGTCCATTTTCACGTTGCTAATAAAGACATACCTGAGACTGGGTAATTTACAAAAGAAAGAGGTTTAATGGACTCAGTTCCACGTGGCTGGGGAGGCCTCAAAATCATGGTGGAAGGTGAAAGGTATGTCTCACATGATGGCAGACAAGAGAAGAGGGCTTGTGCAGGGAAACTCCCCTTTATAAAACCATCAGATCTCGTGAGACTTACTATCATGAGAATAGCATGGGAAAGACCCACCCACATGATTCAGTTACCTCCCACTGGGTCCCTCCCACAACATGTGGGAATTGTGGGAGTTACAATTCAAGATGAGATTTGTGTGGGGACACAGCCAAATCATATGAGAGGTTAAGACTTTAAGTATGAATTTGAGGATGGGGAGACAAGATTAAATCCATGGCAACTGACTTCCTCAAACTCCCTGGCAAGGTTAGAATCCCTATTGTATGCTCTCATTGTCCCATGTAACTCTTCCTTAGAGTACTTGTCCTGGTTGCATTTTACATTTTATTTAGATGATGTGTGATTAATATTTGTCTACTTCTAGGAGGGTAGTTCCACAAAGACAAGGATCTTGTTTGGCTTTTCTTACCAGTGTTTCTTTGTAAGAACTGATGTAAACCAATCTGGACAAGCACAATGAGTATTTCTGTTTTATAGATAACAGAAGCTGCTAATAGTTGGATATGGGTGAAGGTTGGGTGCTCCCCCACAATCTCTTCTCCAGGTTATGATGAAAGCAAGTCTTAGACTAAATCCTGCCACTCAAATAATCATTTATTAAACAAATACAGATTAATAAAAAGGCAAAGCCAGTGTATATCATCTATTCTGGTAAACTGTAAAATCCCAGTATTCAGTTCTTTTATTTACCTAAATTACATCGGAGAAGAAAGTTTCACTGAAAGCAGATGCAACATCAATTTAGAGTCAGGATTCAGTTATCTTTATAGTTAGCACCAGATGCCAGAATTGTCTGAACCAATGATTAAATTCAAGAGATCAAGCCTTCAGTGTCATCTCAAATGGTGAAAGATGAAGGATGAAGATGAACTGTTCACTAGACTCTTATCCCCTGTTCATGGAAACATGGGAGTGGGGAAGGGGGCTCTAAAATACCCTACTTTAACCACCTATTTTGAATACCACTAATTTCACTAATGGGTATCCATTTCTAATATCCCCTATACTAACTAACAAGCCACTAATGTTACCAAAGAAAATGATTTTCTCATATTCTTCATACTAATTCATGGAAACCTCTGTGTATAAGAATGCTATGTGTAAGGATGACTGAAACCCTTGTACTAGCTTGTTCTAAAATGTGGCCTTTCTGAGTACTGTATATGTTAGTTGATGACCCTGAAATTCAGGGACAGACAGTTTTTGTTTAGGACAACAAAGAAAAAAACACACATTTAGGGTACAACTTCAACATGTATTATCACATTGTTTATGCTAAAGTATTTTAAAGCAAATTACAGATAAACATTTACAAGTGCCCAGCACTCAGCCATTTGGTGAATGCTTAATAACCATGTGATACATACACACGTGTTCTTTGCAGCTCTATTCACAATAGCAGAGACACGGAATCAACCTAAATGCCTATGAATGGTAGACTGGATAAAGAAAATGTGGTACCATATATACCATGGTATACTATGCGCCACAGAAAAGAATGAGATCATGTCCTTTGCAGGAACATGGATGGAGCTGGAGGCTATTATCCTTAGCAAACTAACACAGGATCAGAAAACCAAATACCACATGCTCTCACTTATAAGTGGGAGCTAAAGGATAAGAACACATGGACACATAGAGGGGAACAACACACACTGGAGCCTATCAGGGTGGAGGGTGAGAGGAGGGAGAGAATCAGTAAAAACAATGAATGGGTACTAGGCTTAATACCTGGGTGATGAAATAATCTGTACAAAAAACCTCCATGACAAAAGTTTACCTATATAGTAAATCATCGAATGTACCTCTGGAACTCAAAAGTTAAGTGAAAATAAAATGTAGAAAAAATAACAGATATTGATGAGGCTGTGGAGAAAAAGGAACACTTATACACTGTTGGTGGGATTGTAAATTAGTTCAGCCACTGTGGAAAGCAGTTTGGAGATTTCTGAAAGAACTAAAAATAGAACTACCACTTGAACCAGCAATCCCATTACTGGATATATATGCAAAGGAATGTAAAGCATTCTGTCAAAAAACAGAGACACTCATTTGTTCATTGCAGCACTACTCACAATAGCAAAGGCATGAAATCAACTTAGGTCCATCAATGGTGAATTGAATAAAGAAAATATGGTGCATATACACCATGTAATACTACGTAGCCCTGAAAAAGAGCAAAATCATGTCCTTTGCAGCAACATGGATGCAGCTGGAGGCCATTATCCTAAGCCTATCAATGTAGAAACAGAAAACCAAATACCGTGTGTTTTCACTTATAAGTGGAAGCTAACCATGAGGTATACATGGATATAAAGATAGGAACAATAGACACAGGACTACTAGAAGCAGGAGGGATGGAGGCTGGCAAGAGTTGAAAAGTTACCTGTCAGGTACTATTGATAGAGACAGGAGACAGCCAAGGGTTTCTGGTGAAACTCCACCTTCAAGCCTAAAACAGCCTGAAGGCTGAAAGACCAGACTGCTGGTCCCAGATGAAACCCACGACCTAGAGGGAGAACTGCCCCTGTTTGCCCACACATTTCTGACTGATTCTTTCTGAATAATGCCCACATGCACACTGGGGGAATGGGGTGGAGCCACTGGAAGTTTGTGCGTTGTGCAAGGATGAGCGTGGGCTCTTCAACTTGGTTATTCAAGCTGAAGGTGGCCTGGTATTCAATCTGTGAGGTGGGAGCCCGTTGGCAGGAATCCCTCTAGCTTTGCTGAGCGCTGTTTTTTTCGTTTTTGTTTTTGTTTTTTTTCCTTTTCACCCACTAAATTCTGCTCTGCTCACCCTTCAGTGTGTCCATATGCCTATCTTTCTTGGTCGTGACACAAGAACCCAGATTTAGCTGAACTAAGGAGCAAAAATTCTGCATCACTATGTTTACTATCTGGGTGATAGGATCATTCATACCGCAAACCTCAGCATGACACAATATATCCATGTAACAACTCTGCACATGTACCTGCTGAATCTAAAATAGAAGTTGAAATTTTAAGGTAAAAACTATGTGATGGGTGATATAAATGAATCCATGAATGAATGATGAATGAATGAACATTAGCCTGGTTTTTATTGTTTGGGAAAAGATTATAATGCTACTTTTACTTTTTGTTATATTAATCATTGAGTTAGTATATGCTACAGATGCAGTCAGTTGAAAATAAAACTGTTTTCATTTTGAATAACAAATTGGCTCATATGTCCTAAGGGCAATATTTTGGCCTCTTTGTAGTATCAAATGTTCTGATCAAATGCTGCTAAAGGACCCACTTGAGATAAAGAAGTTTTCATGGAAAAAAACAAACTCTACATGGCTACAGAATTGCTAATATCTAACAGTGTAACGCCCAACAGGTTCTCCTTGTTGCTGTCTAGACAGACCGGATTTATCAAGACAGGGAAGTTGCCATAGAGAAAGAGTTTAATTCACACAGAGCTGGCTGTACGGGAGACTGGAGTTTTATTATTACTCAAATCAGTCTGCCTGAAAATGCTGTAGCGGCCAGTGAGTCGGCGGGAGTGCTGATTGGTTGGGTCAGAGATAAAATCATAGGGAGTCCAAGCTGTCCTCTTGCATTGAGTCAGTTCCTGGGTGGGGGCCACAAGACCAGAGGAGCCAATTTATTGATTCGGGTGGTGCCAGCTGATCCATCAGGTGCAGGGTCTGCAAAAATATCTCAAGATGTTATCCCCAGGAGCGATTTGAAGAGGGTCAAAATCTAGCTGCCTGACTCCTAAACCATGATTTCTAATCTTGTGGCTAATTTGTTAGTCCTACAAAGGCAATCTAGTCCTCAGGCAAGAAGGGGGTTTGTTTCAGGAAAGGGCTATTATTGTCCTTGTTTCAAAGTTAAACTATAAACTAAGTTCCTTCCAAAGTTAGTGCAGCCTATGCCCAGGAATGAACAGGCCCAGCTTGGAGGTTAGAAGCAAGATGGAGTTGATTAGATCAGATCTCTTTCACTGTAATGATTTTCTCAGTTATAATTTTTGCAATGGTAGTTTCAGTTGGAAAGAAATATTAATAAACTTCACATGGGTACAGAGTTGCTAATATCTAAGTCTCTCTTAGGATAAATGACAATTGGGAATGGGACTTCAAATGGTGTTCAACATACCGTCTAACTCATAGAAATGCTCAGCAGAGACTTACTGAACTATTACACGGAATGGGGGATGTTTTACAGCAGTGTTCCCAATACTAGGGCTCATTGAAGGCAACATGAAAGGGTCCTGAAGGTGAAACTCTATGGCCATAGCAGTGTTTCCCAAATTTGCTTGAAGATAAGATACACCAGGAATGGGTGATTAAAAACAGATTCCAGAGCCCTGAGCCAAATCTGTTATACCAGAATATCCAGAGACATGGCCTAGAAATCTGGTATTCAATAAGCGCTGTAGGCCAGTTGTTCTCAAGCTTTACGAATACACCAGAAGCACCTGCAGAGCTTGTTAAAACAGACTTGAGAATGCTGCTCCCCTCTCCTCTCTAGCTTCTGATTCAGTAAGTCTGGGGCGGGGCTTGAGAATTTGCATTTCTAACATTGAGAATCACTGCTTTAGGCTATGAAAGTGCTTCTCAAACTGCATCTGCATCATCTGGAAGCATAGTCAGATTACTAGCTTCCAAATCTCAATCTGAATTTAACAACACATTTTAACATGATTCTGTGCCAATTAATGTTTGAGAAGCATGGTTCTAAGTGCTTTGTATTATCAGAAAATTTAGAAAAACTACCATGAATAATATGATGCACTTGCATTGCAGAAAACTTGTGAATACAAAATAAAAAGGCAACCAACAGATTGGGAGAAAATATTTGAAAACCATACATCTGATAAGTGGGTAATATTCAAAATATATAAGAAACTCCTACAACTCGATGACACAAAACAAAGCAAAACAAACCCCCCCCAATATCCTGATTGAACAATGGGCTAAGGACTTGAATCAACATTTCTCCAAAGAAGACATAAAATGGCTAGCAGATAAATGAAAAAAATGTTCAATGTCACTAATCATTAGTGAAATGCAGATCAAAACCACAATGAGATATCACCTCATTCCTGTCAGGATGGCTATTACTAAAAGGACAAGAGACATGTGTTAGCCAGGGAGTAGAGAAAAGGAAATTTTGTACACTGTTGGTAAGCATATATATTGATATAGCCTTTATGGAAAACAATATGGTGGTTCCTCAAAAAAGTAAAATTAGAACTACTACATGATGCAGTGATCCCTTTTCTGGGTATGTACTCAAAAGAAATGAAATCAGTACCTTGAAATATCTGCACTCTCATGTTCATTGCTGCATTATTCACCATAGCTAAGATACAGAAACAACCTAAGTGTCTGTCGATGGAAGGATGGATGGATGGAGAAATTGTGATGTATATATATATATATAATAGAATATTATTCAGCCTTAAAAATGGGGATCTGCCCATTTGAGACCACATGGATAAACCTGGAGGACATTCTGCTTCATGAAATAAGCTAGACAGAAAAACATTGCATGATCACACTTACATGGGATATACTAAAAAGTGAAATACAAAGAAACAGAGGTAGAACAGTGGTTACCAGGGCTGGAGAGGTGGGGTAAATGGGGAGATGTAGGCCAATGGATACATAGTTATAGTTCTGTAGTATGAATATGTCTAGAGTTCTAGTTTACAGCATGATGACTGTAGTTAGTAATACTGTGTTGAATATTGAAATTTTGGTAAGAGATTAGACTTCAGGTGCTTTCAAGGAGGCACACAAAAAAGGTAACTGTGAGATAGGTATACTAATTTGCTTGACTGTAGTAATTATTTCACTGTTATATGTATATATATATAAAAACATCATGTTGTATACGTTTAATCTATACAATTTTTATTGAAAAAATACACTTTGTCCATGAACAGTGGTATTTAGACAATATTCACTTCTAATACTTTTATAAGCCACTTCTAAAATATATTATTTTTTTGATCTTGACAGCAACGCTGTTAGACAAGCAGAGCATAAATATTCCTATTTCTGTTTGATAGTTGAGACACTAAAAATTAGTGTAGATCAATCAATCATTTATTCAAGGTCATACAGTTAATATATGACAGGATTTTAGTTTGAATCAAATACTCTGCCTCAAGTCCAGTACTCTTTTCCTTAAGTCATACTTCCAGATTCTGCTATCTATTTAAAAAATTACTAATCTGGAAATTGCATTACCTGAGAGAGAATTGATCTTTTCAACCAAACCTTTTAACATGATTTGTCAGCCTGCCTCTTCCAATTCTCTAAAAAATAGCTTTCATCCTTACTACTATCATTATGCTCTTCCAAGATGTTCTTTTCATTTTACTTTTTTGACACTTGGAATATAGCTCAAGTCAGGAAATAAAGAGAGCTCTGCACAGCCAAGATGGGAAGAACAAGATGAAAATACTAAAGCTTATGCAGTTCATTCATAGATAAATAATCTCTTACATAGAAAAGTTCCTGGAGCCCTCTCTCAAAGTTGGGATACTCTCAAACAAGTCCTAGAAGGATGGAAATTTCTGTTCGCCCTTCCTTTTCAATCTAAAGCATATAAAAAGCAGCATTTGGAAGGAGAAGAGTTGTTGTGACAGGCAGATATAATGACAGAAGTAAAAAAAAAAGTGGACCTTTTACAATGGAAAGGAGACAGTATCCATAAAGCAAAACAAAATAACTCACAAAGCTCAGCAATACTCAGTCTTATCCACCACAGTAGATCATGCAGCCACCATTGCTGTACACTAGAGTGGACTTTTATTTTAAAATAACAATAATCTTATATCATCTAAGAACAGATTAAATTATAGAGTACGTTGTTTAAGAATGTAGTGAAATAAGCAATGCAATTTAGAAAGATTTTTATAAGAAGATTCAAGTGAGCAAATCTTTGACAGTTCAGAATGATGTATTCTCTTAAGGATTCCTGAAGATAAGATTTTATTATAATTTTCTTTCTTTTGTCTCCTTTCTTATTGTAGTGTTTTAGAGCATGGGGACGACATATTACACTTGTATTTTACTTAACAGGATTCAACTATATGTATCCAGGACAAAAAAAAAATGAAGTGAAATAATGAAGAAAATAATTTTTTTTTTTTTAACCAGCCACTCTACTCAAGGGGCATATATTTTGGCATGAGGTTGGGATAGAGGATAGGTCATTGCTGTAACTTCAATCTCAGTTACTCTCAGGGCTCACATGATGTGAACATTTTGCTCTGTGATTGTAGCATTTGAAGCCACGTATTTTTTGGTGCCACATTGCCAAGTAAATGTTTTATCTGTTGAACAAGTTAGAAAACATTAAACTCTTTAAGCTGGAGTAAACCTCATTGTATTGTCCTTATTGAGAAATATTGTGTTTGTTTCCAGTGTGTAGTGTCAAATAAAAAACAAATTTGGACACAGTAAAGAGAGATTTTATTTGCAGGGATTATTACAAGGTGGAGAAAGGGCAAGCATCTCAAGAGTTAGGCAAAAAAAAAAAAAAAAAAAGGTTTGGCTTTTCTTTTATAGAGAGGAGTAACCTAGGCTAGAATGAACTGGGTTGGGGGAAGAAGGATGAAATGGTGGCATGATCTGACAGAGAATGTTTGACTCTGAGACCAGTCTGCTCTCTTGGGGGTGCTGTTTAAGGAAAGTTGTGTGCTGGCTCAACTTGAGGGTAAGCCAAAGTTCAGGGATTTTGGGAAAGGAAAAAAACTTAACCAAAATTTGGTTAATAAGCATCCTGTTTCCATCCGTCAGTGGGGATGAGCGGTTTAACTTTCGATTTATGAGGTTAAGAATGGGAATTTCAATCTATCTTGAATTAATTTTTGTATAAGGTGTAAGGAAGGGATCCAGTTTCAGCTTTCTACGTATGGCTAGCCAGTTTTCGCAGCACCATTTATTAAATAGGGAATCCTTTCCCCATTTCTTGTTTTTGTCAGGTTTGTCAAAGATCATATGGTTGTAGATGTGTGGTATTATTTCCAGAGGCTCTATTCTGTTCCATTGGTCTATATCTCTGTTTTGGTACCAGTACCAGGCTGTTTTGCTTACTGTAGCCTTATAGTATAGTTTCAAGTCAGGTAGCGTGATGCCTGCAGCCTTTTTCTTTTGGTTTAGGATTGTCTTGGCAATGCAGGCTCTTTTTTGGTTCCATATGAACTTTAAAGAAGTTTCTACCAATTCTGTGAAGAAAGTCATTGGTAGCTTGATGGGGATGGCATTGAATCTATAAATTACCTTGGGCAATATGGCCATTTTCACAATATTGATTCTTCCTATCCATGAACATGGAATGTTCTTCCATTTGTTTGTGTCTTCTTTTATTTTGTTGAGCAATGGTTTGTAGTTCTCCTTGAAGAGGTCCTTCACATCCCTTGTAAGTTGGATTCCTAGGTATTTTATTCTCTTTGAAGCAATTGTGAATGGGAGTTCACTCATGATTTGGCTCTCCGTTTGCCTGTTCTTGGTGTATAGGAATGCTTGTGATTTTTGTACATTGATTTTGTATCCTGAGACTTTGCTGAAGTTGCTTATCAGCTTAAGGAGATTTTGGGCTGAGACGATGGGGTTTTCTAAACATACAGTCATGTCTTCTGCAAACAGGGACAATTTGACTTCCTCTTTTCCTAATCGAATACCCTTTATTTCTTTCTCTTGTCTGATTGCCCTGGCCAGAACTTCTAACATTGTGTTGAATAGGAGTGGTGAGAGAGGGCATCCCTGTCTTGTGCCAGTTTTCAAAGGGAATGCTTCCAGTTTTTGCCCATTCAGTATGATATTGGCTGTGGGTTTGTCATAAATAGCTCTTATTATTTTGAGATAGGTCCCATCAATACCTAGTTTATTGAGAGTTTTTAGCATGAAGCGCTGTTGAATTTTATCAAAGGCCTTTTCTGCATCTATTGAGATAGTCATATGGTTTTTGTGTTTGGTTCTGTTTATATGATGGATTACGTTTATTGATTTGCATATGTTGAACCAGCCTTGCATCCCAGGGATGAGGCCAACTTGATCATGGTGGATAAGTTTTTGATGTGCTGCTGGATTCGGTTTGCCAGTATTTTATTGAGGATTTTTGCATGGATGTTCATCAGGGATATTGGTCTAAAATTCCCTTTTTTTGTTGTGTCTCTGCCAGGCTTTGGTATCAGGATGATGTTGGCCTCATAAAATGAGTTAGGGAGGATTCCCTCTTTTTCTATGGATTGGAATAGTTTCAGAAGGAATCATACCAGCTCCTCTTTGTACCTCTGGTAGAATTCGGCTGTGAATCCATCTGGTCCTGGAATTTTTTTGGTTGGTAGGCTATTAATTATTGCCTCAATTTCAGAACCTGTTATTGGTCTACTCAGGGATTCAACTTCTTCCTGGTTTAGTCTTGGGAGGGTGTATGTGTCCAGGAATTTATCCATTTCTTCTAGATTTTCTAGTTTATTTGCATAGAGGTGTTCATAGTATTCTCTGATGGTAGTTTGTATTTCTGTGGGATTGGTAGTGATATCCCCTTCATCATTTTTTATTGCGTCTATTTCATTCTTCTCTCTTTTCTTCTTTATTAGTCTTGCTAGCAGTCTATCAATTTTGTTGATCTTTTCAAAAAACCAGCTCCTGGATTCATTGCTTTTTTTGAAGGATTTTTTGTGTCTCTATCTCCTTCAGTTCTGCTGTGATCCTAGTTATTTCTTGCCTTCTGCTAGCTTTTGAGTGTGTTTGCTCTTGCTTCTCTAATTCTTTTAATTGTGATGTTAGGGTGTCAATTTTAGATCTTTCCTGCTTTCTCTTGTGGGCATTTAGTGCTATAAATTTCCCTCTACACACTGCTTTGAATGTGTCCCAGAGATTCTGGTATGTTGTGTCTTTGTTCTTGTTGGTTTCAAAGAACATCTTTATTTCTGCCTTCATTTCATTATGTACCCAGTAGTCATTCAGGAGCAGGTTGTTCAGTTTCCATGTAGTTGAGCGGTTTTGAGTGAGTTTCTTAATCCTGAGTTCTACTTTGATTGCACTGTGGTCTGAGAGACAGTTTGTTATAATTTCTGTTCTTTTACATTTGCTGAGGAGTGCTTTACTTCCAACTATGTGGTTAATTTTGGAATAAGTGCAGTGTGGTGCTGAGAAGGATGTATATTCTGTTGATTTGGGGTGGAGAGTTCTGTATATGTCTATTAGGTCCGCTTGGTGCAGAGCTGAGTTCAATTCCTGAATATCCTTATTAACTTTCTGTCTCGTTGGTCTGTCTAATATTGACAGTGGGGTGTTAAACTCTCCCATTATTATTGTATGGAAGTCTAAGTCTCTTTTTAGGTCTCTAAGGACTTTCTTTATGAATCTGGGTGCTCCTGTATTGGGTGAATATATATTTAGGATAGTTAGCTCTTCTTGTTGAATTGATGCCTTTACCATTATGTAATGGCTTTCTTTGTCTCTTTTGATCTTTGTTGGTTTAAAGTCTGTTTTATCAGAGACTAGGATTGCAACCCCTGCTTTTTTTTGTTTTCCATTTGCTTGGTAGATCTTCCTCCATCCCTTTATTTTGAGCCTATGTGTGTCTCTGCACGTGAGGTGGGTCTCCTGAATACAGCACACTGATGGGTCTTGACTCTTTATCCAAAAGATTAAATGGTAGACCTACAACCATAAAAACCCTAGAAGAAAACCTAGGCAATACCATTCAGGCCCTAGGCATGGGCGAGGACTTCATGACTAAAACACCAAAAGTAATGGCAACAGAAGCCAAAATTGACAAATGGGATCTAATTAAACTGAAGAGCTTCTGCACAGGAAAAGAAACTACCATCAGAGTGAACAGGCAACCTACAGAATGGGAGAAAATTTTTACAATCTACCCGTCTGACAAAGGGCTGATTTCCAGAATCTTTAAAGAACTTACATAAATTTACAAGAAAAAATCAAACAACCCCATCAAAAAGTGGGCAAAGGATATGAACAGACACGTCTCAAAAGAAGACATTTCTGCAGCCAACAGACACATGAAAAAATGCTCATCATCACTGGCCATCAGAGAAATGCAAATCAAAACCACAATGAGATACCATCTCACACAAGTTAGAATGGCGATCATTAAAATGTCAGGAAACAACAGGTGATGGAGAGGATGTGGAGAAATAGGAATGCTTTTACACTGTTGGTGAGACTGTAAACTAGTTCAACCATTGTGGAAGTCAGTGTGGCGATTCCTCAGGGATCTAGAACTAGAAATACCATTTGACCCAGCCATCCCATTACTGGGTATATATCCAAAGGATTATAAAACAACATGCTGCTATAAAGACACATGCACATGTATGTTTATTGCAGCACTATTCACAATAGCAAAGACTTGGAACCAACCCAAATGTCCAACAATGATAGACTGGATTAAGAAAATGTGGCACATATACATCATGGAATAGTATGCAGCCATAAAAAATGATGAGTTCATGTCCATTGTAGGGACATGGATGAAGCTGGATACCATCATTCTCAGCAAACTGTCACAAGGACAAAAAACCAAACACCGCATGTTGTCACTCCTAGGTGGGAATTGAACAATGAGAACAGATGGACACAGGAAGGGGAACATCACACACTGGGGCCTGTTGTGGGGTGGGGGGAGGGGGGAGGGATAGCATTAGGACATATACCTAATGTTAAACGACGAGTTACTGGGTGCAGCACACCAGCATGGCACATGTATACATATGTAACAAACCTGCATGTTGTGCACATGTACCCTAAAACTTAAAGTATAATAAAATAAAAGCACAACAACAACAACAAAAGAATCTACTGCTTAAGATGACTCTATTAAAATTATTATATCCACAAATATAAATTTGAAATTTCAGTTCTTGGTATTTTGAAATCTCTAAAGAAATGAGATCCATATAGCTAGATGAAATATAAAGTCATGCTATTACCTCAAAGAACCCTTTCTCAATTCAGATCACTTCTGATTTAGAAGCCTGTTAGTTGCTTGAATTCTCCTTCTTAATATTTGTCACATTTGTAAGCCATGCACTTAATATTTTTCTTTAGTGATAGATGGCAAGCTCAATGTGGACAGGGAGCCTACTTGTGTTGTTCACTATTATATTTCAGCACCTGTCCTATAATGCTCAGTCCATATTTCTTGGATGAATGAAAGATGTTTATATCATTCTCTCATTGTAGAATAAAAAGTTACGTCACCCTATGTCCTCTATTGTGTGTGTGTGTATATATATATGTATATATGTGTGTATACATGTATATATGTGTATATATGTGTGTATATATGTATATATGTGTATATATATGTGTGTGTGTGTATATATATATATATAGAGAGAGAGAGAGAGTGTGTGTCTGGCTCTGTCACCCATGTTGGAGTGCAGTGGCTGCATCTCAGCTCACCTCTGCCTCCCAAGCTCAAGCTACGCTCCTGCCTCAGGCTCCGAAGTAGCTAGGACTACAGGAACACCACCACACTTGGCTAATTTTTGTATTTACTGTAGAGACAAGGTTTCCCCATGTTGCCCAGGCTAGTCTCAAACTCCTGGACTCAAGCTATCAATCTGCCTGTGCCTCCCAAAGTGCTGGTGTATATTTTTTTGACTATTTATTGTAATTTAGGTTTGTGAAAACTGGAAGAAATGTCTGGAGATCATTTTATAATATTTTGCATAAGACTATGTAAGTGAAATATTGTCACTTATTAATCAATGTACCTAATATTAAATGCTTATTATATGTTATATGCTATGCATAAATTATCTTTTTAAATCTACAAAATAATCTTATGAGTAAACTATGGATTATATAAGAATGGATCTAGACAATTTAGATACAAATACATGTTAGAACAGTCAGAATATCTTACTCCTATTGTAATCATAAACAGACCTGGTGCATAGAAAAAAATGATTTCTTATGTCGGTGTGGTATCTTTATTTTCTGGAGGTATTTTGTACATCTGAAATACATAAATTGTCAAAACATAGTGGTAAAAAGAATTTGGAAAATAATTATTGCTTATGGAGTCCCATTCCAAATTTACTACCATAACAGTTTATAATGGCTTCTCCTCTGGCTGCAAATATAGATATTTTTGTGGGTGAAAAATATAAAAGAGGAAGTTATTAGCATTAGACAGAATTTATGTAGCATAAATTCACTTCTGTAGGTCACATAAAATGACTGAGAATGATGTAAGTTAAAAAATTATTACATATAGATTAGGGACTAATAATAAAATTTGAAAGACTATCCATTTGTCCTAGCAGGGTATCCAGAGTACAGAAGAAAATGAATGAAGATATAAGGGACAGAGGACCATGGTATTGGTTCCTTTGGCTGGGTCCAAAAATCCAGACTTCTGGTCATCATTTAATTCCTCACAACTACAGCAAGTTTAGTGTTTAAAATAACTGAGGACTCAGAGATGGAACAGCTTCCCCGATTTTACCTACTTTTACATTATTTGGATTCTAAAATCTGGCTGGACCTGTTAGGTTGTGATGGCCAGAGTAGAAATTTGGCATTTCATCTTCCTCTCCCTTCTCTCCTTCCTAATGCCTTTGTGTATTCTATAAATGTAGGGGTTTGGGAAAGGATGAAGGAATAATTAAGAAGAACAGAGCCTTTCTTGCCCTTTGTTCTTTGCCCTCTATTGCCCCAAGGCAGAACCTTAAATATAGTTCTGAAATTCAAAGCTAGCTTATTTAGATTAATAGGGAACTGTCATTTCAGAATAGGCAAAGTTGTGATTACTCCCAAATTATTTCCAAAATCCAGTCTGTTCTGGATCCTCTTTTTTAGGATTTTGTTTGGTGTAGGATAATAATGGTTATCAGAATTAACTCAGGTAGTTAAAGGAAGGCAATTTTCTTTTTGAGCTAGTTTTGTATGCCAGCCACTGTTTTAGGACCTGGAGACAATGTATGAACAAACAAAGTTCTTGTTTCCTGGAGCTTAGGTCCAATGATAGAGCCGAGAGATAATCATAAACAAAAATATAATATGATTTCAAGTAGCATTAAGTACTTTGAAAGGAAGCAAAGCAAGATAAAGTGTAGGAAATGATGGGTATGTGTGTCCTTTCTGTTGAGGTAATGTATGGATAAGTGATTTCCACAAAATGAGAGAACAGGGCAAGCAATAATTTGAGGGAAGAGCTGTCCAGGTAACAGAGCAAGTGCAAAAGCTTTGAGGGAAGCATGTGCTTGGCAGAAAGCCAGTGTGATTGGAGCAGAGTCAGAGTATGTGTGAAGGGAACAATTAGGTATTCTGAGAACAGATCATAGAGAACCTAGGAGGTCATAGGTTAGGATATTACATTTTACATTAAGTATGATTGGAATTTATTGAGAGTTTTAAAAATATATGTATTTTGTTTTTAATTTTTGTGGGTATATGGTATATCTATTCATGGGCTATGTGAGATATTTTAATAACAGGTGTATTAGTCCATTTTCACACTACTATAAAGATACTATGTGAAACTGGGTAATCTATAAAGGAAAGAGGTTTATTTGACCCCAGTTCTGCATGGCTAGGAGGCCTCAGGAAACTTACAATTATAGTGGAAGGGGAAGCAGGCACCTTCTTCACAAGTCAGCAGGAGAGAGTGAGTGCATGAAGGAGAAACTGTAAAACACTTAAGAAACCATTAGATCTCATGAGAACTCACTCACTGTCATGAGAACAGCATGGGGGAAACTGCCCCCATAATCTGATCACCTCCCTCTCTCATCATGTGGGGATTACAGTTTGAGATGGGATTTGGACAGGGACACAGAGCCAAACCATATCAACAGGCATGCAATGCATAATAATCACATCAGGGTAAATGGAGTATCCTTCTCCTCAAGCATTTATCCTTTGTATTACAAACAATCCAATTATACTCTATTAGTTATTTAAAATTATTATTGACTATAGTCACCCTGTTGTGCCATCAAATACTAGGTCTTCTTTATTCTTTCTATTTTTTCGTATGATTAATTATCCCCACTTGCCACTCCCACCACCCCTACCCTGCCCAGCCTCTAGTAATCATCCCACTCTCTATCTCCGAGTTCAATTGCTTTTAGTTTCACTCCCACAAATAAGTGCAATCATGCGAAGTTTGTCTTTCTGTGCATGGCTCATTTCACTTAGCATAATGACCTCCAGTTCCATGCATGCTGTTCCAAATGACAGGATCTCATTCTTTTTTAGGTCTGAGTAGTACTCCATTGTATATGTACCACATTTTCTTTATCCATTCAGCTATTGACAGACACTCAGGATGCTTCCCAATCTTGGCTATTGTGAACAGTGCTGCAATAAGTATGGGAGTGCAGATATTTCTTTGATATAGTGATTTCCTTTCTTTTGGGTATATACCCAGCAATGGGTTTCTGGATCATGTTGTAGCCTCTTTTTAGTTTTTTGAGGAACATCCAAACTGTTCTCCATAGCGGTTGTACTAATTTACATTCCCAAAAACAGTGTACTAGGGTTCCTATTTCTTCACATCCTCACCAGCATTTTTTATTGCCTGTCTTTTGGATAAAAGTTATTTTAACTTGGGTGAGATTATGATCTTGGCTCACTGCAACCTGTGCCTCCTGGGTCCAAGCAATTCTCCTGCCTCAGCCTCCCAGGTAGCTATTACATACCCACACCACCATGCCTGGCTAATTTTTGGTTTTTTGTTTTTGTTTTTGTTTTTTTGAGACAGAATCTCACTCTGTTGCCCAGGTTGGAGTGCAGTGGCATGATTTCAGCTCACTGCAAGCTCTGTCTACTGGGTTCAAGTGACTCTTTTACTTCAGCCTCCCTGGTAGCTGGGACTACAGGCATGCACCACCATGCCTGGCTAATTTTTGTATTTTAGTAGAGACGAGGTTTCACCATGTTGGCCAGGCTGGTCTCGAGCTCCTGACCTCAAGTGATCTGCCTGCCTTGGCTTCCCAAAGCGCTGGGATAACAAGCGTGAGCCACCGTGCCTGGCCTGTAGTTTTGATTTGTATTTCTCTGATGATCGATGATGTTGAGCACCTTTTCATATGTTTGTTTGCCATTTTTTGTCTTCTTTTGAGAAATATCTACTCAGATCTTTTGCCTATCTTTTAATTGGATTATTAGATTTTTTTCTATAGAATCGTCTGAGTTCCTTATATATTCTGGTTATGAATCCCTTGTCAGATAGGTAGTTTGCAAATATTTTCTCCCATTCTTTGGGTTCTCTCTTCACTTTGCTAATTGTTTCCTTTGTTGTGAAGAAGGCCTTTAACTTGATGTGATCCCATTTGCCCATTTTTGCCTTGGTTGTTTGTGCTCATGGGGTATTACTCAAGAAATCTTTGCCCAGTCCAATATCCTGGAGAGTTTCTCTGTAGGAGATGGGCCAGGGTGGTGGGAAAAATTATAGGGAAAGATGAAAACCTTAGAAGGTCAGGAGGTTTTGCAAAAGCTTCGAATGAGGATATAGCTGAAGGCAGCCAGATTCTCTTATCTGGAGCCTGAGAGCAAAAGGTAGATAACAAGGGAATGTAAATGAACTTATCTAGATAAATTTGTTTACTCTTTTCTCCAGAAACCAACCGTTGATCATTCACATGCAAGACTGATCCTGCAGTCAACAATGCTTATTACCCCAAAATTTTGTATGCTCCAAGCCTTTGTCATTAAATCTGTACTAAATAAATATGAGCATCGCTGGCTTACGGGAACTGCTAATTCTCTTCAGCCCCTAATGCCAGCAGTCCTGTATCCCGCTCTTTCACTGGATACCTGTGTCTGAGTACTCCTTTCATCCGTTGCTCAGCCAGAGTCTGCAAGACAGACTCAGCATTTTCCCAATGGTTTCTTTTAATAGTTTCACAGTTTGAGGTCTTAGATTTAAGTCTTTAACCCATTTTGATTTTATTTTTATATGTGGTGAGAGATAAGGGTCAAGTTTTATTCTTTAGCATATAGATATCCAGTTTTCCCAGCACCATTTATTGAAGAGACTGTCGTTTTCCCAATGTATGTTCTTGGCACCTTTGTCAAAAATGAGTTCTCTGTATGTGTATAGATTTGTTTCTGGGTTATCTCTTCTGTTCCATTGGTAATGTGTCTGTTTTTACACTAGTACCATGCTGTTTTTGGTTACTATAGCTCTGTAGTATAAATTGAAGTCAAGTAATTTGATTCCTACAGTTTTGTTCTTTTTGCTCAAAATAGCTTTAGCTACTCTGGGTCTTTTGTTGTTCCATACAAATTTTAGGATTGTTTTTTCTATTTCTGTCATTAAGAATGTCATTGGTATTTTGATAGGGACTACATTGAATCTGTGAATTGCTTTGGGTAGTATCAACATTTGAACAATATTGATTCTTCCAATCCATAAACATGAAATATGTTTCCATTTTTTTTGGTGTCCTTTTCAATTCATCAGTGTTTTATAATTTTCATTGTAGAGATCTTTCACTTGTCTGGATAAGTTAATTTTTAGGTATTGTATTTTATTTGTAGCTATTGTAAATGGGATTACTTTCTTGATTTCTTTTTCAGATTGTTTACTGTTGATATATAGAAATGCTACTGATTTTCATATGTTGATTTTTTATCCTGGAACTTTACTGAATTTATCAGTTCTAATAGTTTTTTGGTGTAATCTTTAGATTTTTCCAGATATGATTATATCATCTGCAAACAAGGATAATTTGACTTCTTCTTTTCCATTTTGGATGCCTTTTATTTCTTTCTCTTGTCTGATTGCTCTAGCTAGGACATCCAGTATGATCTTGAATAACAGTGGTGAAAATGGGCATCTTTGTGTTCCAGATCTTAAAGGAAGGGCTTCCAGTTTTTCCCCATTGAGTATGATATTAGCTGTGGGTCTTTCCTATACGGCTTTTAGTATGTTGAGGTATGTTCCTTCTATTTCCAGTTTTTTGAGGGTTTTTATCATAAAGGCATGTTGAATTTTGTCAAGTGCTTTTTCCACATCAATTGAAATGACCATAGGGTTTTGTTCTTCATTCTGTTGACATGATGTATCACATTGATTGATTTACAAATGTTGAACCATTCTTTCATCCCTGGGATAAATCCCACTTGATCATAATATAAATGATCATTTTAATGTGTTGTGGAATTCAGTTTGCTAGTATTGTGTTGAGAATTTTTGCATCAGTTTTCACCAGGGATATTAACCTGTAGCTTTTTTTTTTTTGGATGTGTCTTTGTCTGATTTTGGTATTAAGGTAATACCGGCCTTGAAGAATAAGTTTGGATGTATTTTCTTCTCCTCTATTTTTTGGAACAGTTTAAATAGTATTGGTGTTAGTTCTTTAAATGTTTGGTAGAATTCGGCAGTGAAGCCATCAGGTCCTGGGCTTTTCTTTGCTTGGAGGCTTTTTATTATTGCTTTTATCTCATTTGTTTTTGGTCTGTTCAGGTTTTTTATTTCTTCATGGTTCAATCTTAGTAGGTTGTATGTGTCTATGAATTTGTTTCTTCTAGATTTTCCAATTTATTGGCATATAGTTGCTCATAGTAGTCACTGATGATCCTTTGAATTTCTGCAGTGTTGGGTGTAATGTCTCTTTCATTATCTCTGATTTTATTAATTTGGGTCTTCTCTCCTTTTTTCTTAGTCTGGCTAAAGTTTTGTCAATTTTGTTTATCTTTCCACACAACTACCTGTTTACTTCATTGATCTTTTGTATTGTTGTCTTAATTTCAGTTTCATTTATTTCTGCTTTGATTTTTATTGTTTCTTTTCTTCCACTATTTTATGGAGATGGGGGAGGGATGGTGCAAGCACTCCCTTAAGTGCTCCAGCTGGTGTCTCACTATGTTGCTTGCCTCCCAGGTCCACTGGCTGTGAGCCCATATAGTACAAGCACTTGGCCAGGAATTGCAGTCATTGTAGTTTAGACTGCCTTTCAAGTATATTTAGGATCCCAGAACACTTTAGTCTTAGTGGCAATGATTGCCAAAACCAAGTTCTGTCTGCTGGAATGGGCAGTTCCCCTCTTGTTAGGGCTGGTCTAAATCTTCCTTCTGTATGGATTTGCTTTCCATTGTGACAAGGCAGCACTGAGTTCAATGCAAAGTCCCGCAGTCGCTGCACTCTTCCTCCACCAAGTGCGCAGATTTTTCTCAGTGCTACACAACTGCTGCTGGGGGATGGGAAAGGGGTGCTTTTAGTAATTCAAGACTGTCTTTCCTACCCTCTTTGGTGCCTCTTTCAGCCATATAAATTTCTAACCAGGTACTGTAATTGCTCACCTGATTTTTGGTTCTTATGAAGGTAATTTTTTGATATAGTTATTAAATTTGTTGTTCCAAATTTAATAGGAGGGACAGTTGGTGGAGGCTTCTATTCAGCCATCTTGCTCTGCCCCTTCTCTTGGAGAGTTTTAGTGGAAGAAAAACATGATAGTATTTATATTTGCAAAAGAAATTCTCTGGCAGAAGAAAATTATACTGCATAGAAATTTGGTCTACACAGAGGTATGAAGGACACTGGAAATGGTGACTATATGGCTAAATATAAAATACTTTACTGTCTTTACATCTAAATAGACTAAAAAGAAAATTGACTGTTTAAAGTAAAAATAACAATAAATTGTAAGATTTATAACATATGTAGAAGTAAAATATATGTCAACAATAGCACAATAGCCATTTGTTCATTGTCTCCAGGACCCAGAGTGGCTAGCCTATAGAACTAGCCCAAAAAGAAAACTGCATTCTAGTAAGTACCTAAGTTAGTTTTGGGAGAGGAGGGAGAGGAGAAATGAAGTATGTTTTTTATGTTATTACACTACAGTTGTAGTGGTAAATTATTATTTGAAGGTAGACTGTGATAATTTAAAGGTATACACTATAGGCTGAGGATGGTGGCTCATACCTGTAATCCCAGCACTTTGGGAGGCCGAGGTAGGAGGATTGCTTGAACCCAGGAGTTTGAGACCAGCCTGGGCAACATGGTAAAGCCTCATCTCTACCAAAAAAATACAAAAAAAAAACACAAAAATTTACTGAGCATACTGGCATGCACCTATAGTCCCAGCTGTTCAAGAGACTGGGGTAGGAGGATTGCTTGAACCTGGAATGTGAAGGTTGCAGTGAGCTGAGATCATACCACTACAGTCTAACCTGGGTGACAGAGACTCAGTTTTAAAAATATATATATATCTCACTATAAACCATAAACAACAAGCAAAATGCCAAAACAAAAAGTCATAGCTAATAAACCAATAAAAGAGAGAATATAAAATTATAAAAAATTAATTCAAAAAAAGAGAACATGGAAAAAGGGAATAAACAATAGATCAGAGAAATAGAACACAAATAGAAATGTGATAGATTTAAACTCAATCACGCATGAACAATTATTAAATATAAATGGTCTAAATACTCCAATTAAAAGGCAGAGATTGAGTAGAAGAAAAAGCAAGACCCAATTATGTATGGTTTACAAAATTCAAGTTACACAAAGTAGGTTTTCTGACCACAATAGAATTAAATTATAAATAAGTAACAGGAGGACAGAAAACCAAACACATGTTCTCACTCATAAGTGGGAGTTGACCAATGAAAACACATGGACACAGGGAGGGGAACATCACACCCTGAGGCCTGCTGGGGGATGGGGAGCAAGGGGAGGGATAGCATTAGGACAAATACCTAATGCATGCGGGGCTTAAAACCTAGATGATGGGTTGATGGGTGCAGCAAACCACCATGGCACATGTATACCTATGTAACAAACCTGCATGTACTGCACATGTATCTGAGAACTTTAAGTATAATAATACAAAAATAACAGGAGGATAGCTAAGAAATCTCTAAATATTTGTAAACTAAATAACACTTTTCTAAAGAATCTGTGAATTAAATAATAAATTTTTAAAAAGTCAATGGAATACAAATAAAATGTGAAACAAATTATTTGATACAGTTAATATAGCAATTACAGAAACATTTCTAGCACGAAACATTTATATTCATTTGACAAGAAAAAGGTCTCAAATTAATGACCTCAGCTAAGAGCAAATGAAACACAAAATAAGCAGAAGAAAGGAAATAAAGATCAGATAAAAATAAATGAATTAGAAAATAGAAAATGAATACTGGAAATCAATGGAATCACCAGATGGTTTTTGGGATTAATAAAACTAATAATCCTGGCCAGGCGTGGTGGCTAACACCTGCAATCCTAGCACTTTGGGAGGCTGAGATGTGCAAATCACTTGAACTCAGGAGTTTGAGACCAGCCTGAGCAACATGGTGAAACCCCATCTCTACCAAAAATACTAAAAATTAGCCAGGTATGGTGTTGTGTGCCTGTGGTCCCAAGTATTCAGGAGGTTGAGGTGGGAGGATCACTTGAGGGGGAGGTGGAGGTTGCAGTCAGTTGAGATTGTGCCACTGCACTCCATCCTTGGCAACACAGTGAGACCCTGTCTGAAAATAATTAATAATCCTGTAGCCAAATCAATCAAGATTAAAAGAGAGAAAATATAAACACCAAGAATATGAATTAAAATTATGATAGATTCTACAGGTATTACTTTGTGCCAATGTAGTTAGCCATTTAAATGAAATGTTCAAATTCCTTGAAAGTCAATCTACCACAGTTTACTCAAGAAAAAATAGATAACCTCAATACTTCTAAATCTATTTAACAAGTGAATTTGTAGTTTAGATCTTTCCACAATAAAAATTCCATGTAAGATATTTTCATTGATGAATTCTACCATATATTTAAGAAAGGAATAATACACATTTTACACAAACTCTTCCAGGAAATAGAGGGAAAGGAAAAGTTTCTTACTCATTCTATGAGGATAGTATTATTCTAATACAGAAAGCAGGCAAAGATAATACAACAGTAGAAAATTACAGACCAGTATACATCACGAACATAGATAAAGATATTCATAGCAAAATTTTAGTCAATTCAATCAAATAATATATAGAAATGAGAACACATGACAGTCAAGTGGTGTTTATTCCAAGAATGCAAGGTTTAACCAACCTTAACATTTAAAAAATAATGAAGACAAGTCAGTGTATTACTAGACTGTATTAGCTCAGGCTGTCTAACAAAATACTGTAGACTGGGTGGCTTAAACAACAGAAATTTATTTCTCACAGTTCTGGTGGCTGGGAAGTCCAAGCTCAAGGTTCTGGCATAGTTTCATTTCTGGTGAGGACTCTTTTTTTCACTTGCATACAGTCACCTTTTTGTCTTCACATGGTGGAGAAAGAAGTAATTCTGGTGTCTCTTCATTTACTTATTGGGGCACCAGCCCTATTGGATTAGTATTCCAATCTTATGACCTCATCTAACCTTTATAATCTCCTCACAGGCCCTATCTCCAAATATAGTGACAATGGGGTTAGGGTTTCAATATATAAATTTTGAGGGGAAGGGGGACCCAAACATTCAGTGTATAACACAGACTAAAAAGAAAAAACAACACAATTATCTCAAAAGATGCAGAAAATACATTTGACAAAATTCAGTGCCCACTCATGATAAAAATTCTCTGCAAATGAGTAATAGAAGAGGATATCCTCACATTGGTAAAGAGCATTCATGAAAAACTGAGCTAATATCATATATCATGGTGAAAGACCGCCTATATTACCCCTGTAAGGCATGGATTTTTGCTCTTACCACTTACTTCTATTCAACATCCTACTAGAGGTTCTAGCCAAGCAATAAAGCAAGAAGAACAAATAAAAGTTATCTACATTAGAAAGGAAGAAAAATAAATACCTTTAGTCGTATATGACATGATCATTATATAGAAAATTCTATGAAATCTGGAAAAAAGGCACTAGAACTAAGAAGTGAGTTTAGCAAGATTGTAGGATACAAGATTGATATGAAAATCAATCTTTCTAAATATCTGCCTTTCTAAATAACTGAAATGGCAATCAAAAATTCATGTTAAACAATACCATTTATAATAGCATCAAAAATACTGAATATGTACCAATAAAGCTTACAAGATGAAGGGATTACACAAGGGTATGAGGAAACTTGGGAATGATAATTGTGTTCATTATCTTTATTGTGGTGCTGTTTTGAGGATATTCATAGGTTAAAATTATTCACTTTAATTAGTTTAATTTATTGTATGTCAATTGTGTTTTTCAATAAGGTGACTAAAATTGCATTATAATAAAACTGTGATAAATGTACTTTTATTTTTTCCCAGCAAAAATAACTTGTCCTATCTAAAAGTTAAATAGTAGGCAGAGTTTTATTTAAGAAACTTTACAATGAAAGCAGAAATATGATCTATTGTTTCCTATTACATGTATCCATGGACCCTTTTATTGTATGTTATTCTCCTATTTTAAGAGATCATCTTATTTTCCAATTCTGGCTTGAAACAACTTAATAGATCAGTTCAATAAATTATAATATATTCACTCCATAAAATAAAACACAACTCTTCAGAAGAATCAACTAAGTTTACATTTATAGACCTGGAAAGCTATCCATAATGTAATATTAAAGTAAAAGAAAATTGCAGGATAACAAAATAGGATCCCATTTTTGTAAAAGGAAGGAACAGGCTGGGCGTGGTGTCTCACATGTGTAATCCCAGCACTTTGGGAGGCCAAAGTGGGCGGATCACAAGGTCAGGAGTTTGAGACCAGCCTGGCCAATATGGTGAAAACCTATCTCTACTAAAAATACAAAAATTAGCTGGGCGTGGTTGAGAGTTCCCGTAGTCCCAGGACTCAGGAGGCTGAGGCAGGAGAATCACTTGAACCCAGGAGGCGGAGGTTGCAGTGAGCCGAGATTGCACATTGCACGCCAGCCTGGGTGACAGAGTAAGACTCTGCTTAAGAAAAAAAAAAGCAAGGAACAATAAACCATTTATAGATGATAAATTAATGTATATATTTGTGTGATAATGGAGAGGGGTGGCAAAAGATTTACATCAGCTATCAACGTACCTTGCTGATAATGGGAATGGAGAAGCATAATTTTTTCCCCCTATCATTTTTCTGGTTACAATGGATGACTATTACTTTTATAAAAACAATCAATGAATTAAAAAATAAAGTAATTTGATAAGTTTTCTAGTAACATACCCATGGACTATAAAGCCATTATTCTGATTTGGTCTTTAGGTATATCTGCATAAATCATTACTTAAATATAACACTTTAAATATAACTACTATATTTTAATTCAGTGGATTTTAATATGAATGTTATACTATTTATCTGAGTAATGTATACTACTTGCTCTTCCCACACATACAAGCTAGAGGCAAGACCTTAGGCAGTCTTCAGTTTCCTCCTAAGTTTATTTTTGAGATTTAAATAAACTGATCTATACTAAAGTACTGAGAAAAGTGACTGGTGCTTAATTAACATTCAGTAAATTCTATTTATTATTACTAAATGATAATTTATTCTTTTTTTATATGACTTAGTAACAAGTTGCAACAGATTGTGTTTCCTAAAAGTGGTTTAAATAATATTTCTTCACTCACATGTTCTTCTGCAATCTGATCTTACTTCTACTCCATCAAGAGGTGGAGTTTGGATGTGTACAGTAACTGCTTTGACTATCAGAATATAGTGGAAGCAAGACTGTGCCAGTTCTAACTAGAACTCTTAACTTATCTTAGCTTTCATTTCCTGAGCTGTGGAATGCTTGCTTTTGGGACAATATCTCTTGGAATGCAGCTGCCATACTCTGAGAATCTGAAGCCATAGGGAAGACCACATGTAGATGCTCCAGTTGACAAACCCAGCTGAGCTCCAAGTTGACAGCCATCATTAGTCACAAACCACATGAAGGCATCATGGCTGTTTAACTCAGTTGTAACTTGTAATGACTCTAGGCCCAACTACCATCTGACTGCAACTGCCTAAGACACTCTAAGTGGGGATTATCCACTTGAGCCTAGGAAATCTTCAGAACTGTGAAAGATAATGATAAGTTGTTTTAAGCCATTCAGCACAAATTGTAGTACAATTTTCTTATCAAATATCATAATTTTACTATATATATTTTAGCATTTTAAATACAGCATGCTGTTTTAAAGTACTTACAATATGGCTGCAAAGCCTATAAAATATTTATTTAAAAATTAATTTGTTGAGCTATTTAAGGGTAACATTTTATCTACCAACTTTGGAAACCAACTATTTAACTTGGCATAGAGTAGCATTCTTTGAAATTAGCATAATGTTTTTAACAGATCAGACCTATCTTGCCTTTTACACATTCTCATTCCTTAGTTCATAAATATGTAAAATTTTTATCTTCTTAATCAAAAACATATATCCATTAGGCATTATGTTACTTTAAAATTAACAATCTGAAAGTCACCAACTACTAGGAGGGTTTCAATAGGAGTAATTTGAGACTGAGAAGGTTTAAGTCATTCTTCAATTTCTCTTTTAATATAGTTGACTTGTTAATTTATAATTCTTATCCCATCCTACACAAGGGTATCTATTTCATTTTTATAAAGTTCTTCAT
This sequence comes from Homo sapiens, assembly GCF_000001405.40. Lineage (NCBI taxonomy): Eukaryota > Metazoa > Chordata > Mammalia > Primates > Hominidae > Homo > Homo sapiens. Next base: position 119,391,294 of record NC_000006.12, read on the forward strand.
GTCGTAGATCTTGCAGCTCAAAGAGAACATATACATCTAAGGCTTAAGAAGGTAGAAAGTGCATAAAACAAAACTCTGGACTAGTACTCTGAAAAACTGGATTGCAGCTCCAGTTGTGTGGCTAGGTTTGGTCACTTCACCTTTTAGTTTTTATCTTCTTCCTCTATAGACAGATATTAGCTCTTCTTTAAGGTCCTTTCTACTCTAGTTGGTGACAAAGCAAGTCATTTTTATTATCAGTACTGTCCTCTTTTCCTGCAATGCCTCTTTTTCCCCTAACTTTTGAGAAGAAGCCAAGTTATGCTGTATCACCTTGTTTTTCATGGTTGGCTCAAAGTAAAGGTTATGTCTACCTATAACAGCTGCAAAAAAATAAACTAAATGTGTGAATATCTCCATTTTTAGACATCCTATTATTATCTGTGTCAATTTCTGTGTTCACATGTGTGTCAATAAAGAAAATATAATATTGGAAAAATTGTAGATAATATTATGAATTGTGTATGTATATAAATACAATAATTAAAAGCAATTAGAAACCATCTTCCTAAATCTGTGAATTTCTAACTTTACAATATACCTCTCAAAGTTGTAGTTACATATGATTAGCATTTGAAGATGCCTGGCATATGGGAGCTAAGCTGACTTAGGAGGCTGACGTGAGAGAATTGCTTGAACCCGGGAGGCAGAGGTTGCAGTGAGCCAAGATTGCGCCATTGCACTCCAGCCTGGGCAACAAGAGCAAAACTCTGTCTCAAAAATACATATATATATACAAAGACATTGATAGATAAATCTGTAAAAGGAATAAAAAATAAACAGGACACAGAAAAATGTTCACCTTTTCAAATAATTGAAGAAAAGCAAATGTATGGTCTCTGAAATGTTTATATTCTTTTCACTTGTTTTTTTTTTCTGCTTTATGGTTTCCCTTTTTGTATTATTTACAGTAGTAAAAACTAGAAATGAAAACCCAACATTAGAAGAATGACAATGTAAACTATAGTAGATATATTCTGTGTAACATAAATTCTTTAAAAACATTATTTACAAATGCTATGAAATAAAATGAAAAAATATTATTGAAATATTGTCATATGAGTAAATAAAAACATAGCACTAAGTAACTTGACTGACCATTTAAAAAATACTGGATTAAACATATATTTTTAAATTTTTGAAAAGGGATCCATGACCTAAAAGTAAGAAATATCCAGTCCAAAACGAAAATAAAATCAGGAACCCAGGTAAGTAAACAGAGGATTGAGGCTGGGGTATTATTATAACCTGGTGAACTTCAACTTTAATCTGCATTTTGGGGGTAGTGATTTTGGAGTGTGGCTTAGGCACGAGAAAGCAAGCCCAGAATTTGCCCACGGTGTGGGATTAAATAGAAAACATCTCTCACTAAGCTGGAACACTAAAGGGCTGTACCTTCTGCTTGGGGGTGAAATAAGAACATTTCAGACAAGACAAACTGAGACAGTTTGCCACAACCAGAGGCTAACCAAAGGAAATTTGAAAAGTTTTACTTCAGCTGAAGAAAAGTAATGAAAGATCTGAGATGCAAGAAGAAATGAAAGTGAAGAAAGTGTAAATATGAGGATAAATTTTAGCTAACATTTATCTATACAAACAATTCTTTGGAGTTAAAAAATGACAGAAATAAAATTCTTGATACAGCATGCAAGTTAGGAGGGAATTACATGAAATTAAAGTGTTCTAAGACCATTGTAATATACAGGTAGAAGAAAAATATATTGATCAATTTTTAACATTGTGAAATTAACTATGGATATTGAAATTTCTGAGGTAACCACCAAAAGAGAACACATAGAATGTTCAACGACCAAATCCATAATAGGATTCTACAATCTAAAGTGACATAAGAAAGAAAGTGAAAAACAGAAAAGACAGAGTTTAAAAAATTCAGGTAGAAAGAAATCCAAATGCTTCAGTCAAAAAATCCAAGATTATTGGCTGGATAATCAGCAAAATAAAATAAAATTGAGAATGTAGACACACCAAAAGCATAATGCTACACAAACTTAAGAGTAAAAGAACAGAAACATGTTTTAGACAAAACCCAGACAAAAGCAATGTGGCATAAGTTTATTATTTTTATCATACAAAATAGTTTTAGGCAAGAAGCATAAAAATAAAGAGGATTAACAATTTTCAGAGATTTTAATATACTTCTCTCAGTAACTGACTGACAAATACAGTAGAAAAAAGTAAGATATAGACTATTTGAACATGATTAACGATAAAATAATCAGGGTGTCTCACAACTAAAGTGTAAACATTTTTTCCCCAAACACATAAATGTGTATAAATAGAACATTTTAAAAAGTTACTTCATACTGAACCCTAAAGTAAGGGTCCATTTTCTAAAGATTGGCATTTTGCAAACCATATTATTGACCACAATAAAATTAAGCTAGAAAATTTTAATAAAATAATTATCTAACAAATAAACAAATTCTGTAGATAGAAAATGAAGAAATGAAGCAGGATGTTTCCCTGACGCCTTCCCAGGTGGGAGTTGGAGTGCATGAGCTCTAGCTGGCTGCTTCAGAGCTGGCAGGGGCAAACTCCACTCACTCGCTGGTCCACACCTCATGGGACGGGTAGTGCAGGTGAGTGGGTGCAGGAGCCAGGGCAAGTTATTTTCGGCACTGGAAAGAGTGAACTCCATACCGGCCCTGCAGCAGCATCCTGGGGGGGGTGTCTGTGACCCCTGAAATACCAGGAAGAGTGTTACAGTGCCCTTTTTGCTTTGCTGTCCATGGATGGCTTAAGTGTTAACACCTCAGTGGAGGGTCAGTGTGACAGCCTTTTGTACCTACACTCTTGGCACCTGAGTTGTTGCCTGGCATCCAGGAGGAATTAGGTTGCATGAATGAATTGAAGATGGTAAATGTGGGGGATTTTATTGCCGATGAAAGTGGCTCTCAGCAGGAAAGGGAGCTGAAAGGGGACAGAATGGGAAGGCAATCTTCCTCTAAAGTCCGGCTGTCCTTGGCTGGACTCCTCTCTGAAGGTACATTGTCAAGCTGTCCCTCTGAAATCAAGCTGCTTCTCTCCAACATCCAGCTGTAGCCTCTAACGTCCAGCTGCTTCTCCTCGCTCTGCCAGCTGAGCCTGGAGTTTTTATGGGTGCAGGATGGGGGTGGGGCGGGCCATGAGTGGTTTTGGAAAAGACACATTCGAGCTGGAAAACAGTGATGTGAAATTCTCACTTTGGTTTGTGGTATCAGGCTTTTTGGCTTGAGGGTGGGGCGCTTGCCAGGGATCCGCCCTCTTCTGCCCAGAATTTCCCTGCACTCTGTCCCTATCATTTCCCCACCTCTGAAGAGGCACATCTAACTGCTATTAGAATAGAGATGATGACCAGTCTTAGCTACATCCTGCTGACAGGGGGCATTGTTTTGGGGAGAACAGCAGTCAGATTCCTCCCACAGGTCTACCTAAGGGTCCCCGGCAAAAGGGAGCCATTGTCCAAGGCTCTGGTTGCCTGACCATTTAGAATTTGATGGCCTCTAGGTGAGAAGAAACAAGTTTTACAAGGTTAGGTATGCATGGATCAAACGTGTATTATACAAAAAGGGGTTAAAAGGAAAGAATCTAGTGCCAAAGATTACAGAACTAAGAGATGAAATATAGTAATTATTCTGAAAACAACATTGTACCACATGGTATAGAACAGAATGAAGGTAAGAACAGCAAGCATAGGCAAGACTATAAAGAGGATATTCATGGAAGGTGAATTATTATCTTTTGTGATTTTTTAGCTTGAGGTCCCCAATATCTTCCCATTGGTACTTTTGGCTGCTCTTCTGGGTTGACAGAGGTAATTCTGTTGGTTTCCCAGGCCTTTACTCAGGCATAGTGAATTCAAGAATCTATTCCAGTGGCCTTCATTGCCGTAGGAGTATAAAGAAGTACAGTGTAAGTTCCCTCCCAGTCTGGCTTATAGAGGGAGAAAGGGAAGGGACTACTTTTACCAGTACTAGGTCTCCTGGGTTGAATAGAGATGGTCGTAGTTCATGGGGTTGGGCATCTGACAGTTGTTTCAGTTCCTGTTGGAAATAGGCCAAAGAAGTTATATGTTTAATCAAATCAGAGGTTTCTTGGTCTAGTAAGAAATCATTGGTGTGAAAATGCTATCCATACATCACTTCAAAGGGACTCAAACCTAGCCTTGAAGGCATATTTCTACTATGTAGTAGGGTTATGGGGAGACAGGTAGTCTAGGGGAGATGAGTCTCCTGAGACAGTTTCCTGAGATGCCTTTTGATAATATCACTTGTCTTTTCTACCTTTCCCGAGGACTGTGGTCTCCAAGCATGATGAAGATGGTACTGTATGCCTAGTGCTTTTTGAGACTTCCTGGATGACAATGACCTTGAATGAGGGGCCATTATTGCTCTGGAGTTACTTAGGGCGTCCAAAGTGAGGAATTACCTCATTAATTAGTACTTTTGTCACCTCAGAGGCTTTCTCTGTCTGACATGGAAATTGTCCTATCCATACTAGGAGATACTGGATGCCCCTTTCCTTTGGCATAGGGGTGAAATCCATTTGCTAGTCTTTCCCCAGGTAGCCTCCTGTCCTTTGGATTCCTGAGGGAAGAAGCCATTGGTTGAGGGTATTATTTTTAAGGCAAGTCTCGCAAGCATTAACAACCTGTTTAACCATTTGTATCAGGTTTGTACCTGAGAACAATCTCTGGGACAATTGATAGGTTTTCTCCTTACCTAGGTGGAAGGCCTGGTGAAGTCTTTTAAGAACTTTCCTTTAGTTGGCAGCCAGTAGATGAAGCTTGTCATCCTCTGATTGTAGCCATCCTGAGGACTGAAAGATGTATCCCTAAGAAGTGGCCCATTCTGTTTCCACAGGAGAATATTGAGGTTCTATTTCTCTTATGGGGCCCTCCCAGATTAATCAGGCTTCAAGTGGACCAGAAATCTGGAACCTTCTCACTGCTGATTTAGCTGCTTGGTCTGCCAACCTATTTCCCTTGGCCACTTCATCCATCCCTTTTGGTGGCCTTTACAATGTATTACTGCCACTTCCTGTGGGAGGAAAACTGAGAATAGTAGTCTATTAATTTCCTGGAGGTATTTAATGGAAGACCTGTTAGCTGTGGGGAAGTTCTTTCTTTCCAGTTAGTGGCAGGGTCATGGAGGACTAGGAAAGCATACTTAGAGTTAGTATAAATGTTAACTGCTTTCCCTTTGCTTAATTCAAGTGCCCTCGCGAGGACAATTAGCTTGGTTAGTTGAGCACTTGTGCCCAAGGAGAGAGAGGTGCTCTCAACAGGATCATCCAGAGTAACTATTGTATACCCTGCTTTATGGATCCCTTATTCTACAAAAGAACTTCTTTCTATGAAGAGAATCCAGTCTGGGTTCTCTAAGGGGGTTTCCTTGAGGTCTTCTCTGGCCACATAGGTTTGTACTACTATCTGTTCATAGTCATGTTTAAGCTCCCCAGCTTCCTCTGGGAGGAAGGTGGCTGGATTTAGGGAGGGGCAGGTTCTTAATTGTACTGAAGATCCCTCTAATAACAGAGCTTGATACCTGAGGAGATGGCTGTCCTTTAGCCAGATACTCCCCTTAGAAGATAGTCCTGCCACATTATGCAGAGTATAAATGGTTAAGTTATTGCCCATGGTAACTTAGTAGCCTTTGGTGCCAGCAAGGTTATCACTGCAACTGCACAGAGGCAGGCCAGTCATCCTTTGGTTACCAAATCAAGCTCCTAATTTGGTATCCTACAGGCTGGTGGGATGGACCTCAGGCCTTGGTTAGAACTCCTAGGGCCATTCCCATTCTTTCTGACACATAAAGATTTAACATCTTCCCTATGGGGAAACTAAGGGCTGGTGCTTTAAGTAAGGCTTGTTAGAGTTGAGAGTTGGTCAAAGGCCTTTCTAGCCTTCAGTTCCCAATTTACAGAGTGAGTTTCAGCTGCCTGAGTCTCCTTTATTAAGTGATATAAGGGACGAGCTACTTCACCATACCCAGGTATCTACAGTCTGCAGAATCCTGTAATGCCTATGAAACCCCTCAGTTGCTTGAGGGTTTTGGGGAGGGGAAAGGAGGAGATATGCTTAATCCTTTCTTTGCCCAGTGCCCTGGTCCCCTCTGACAAGACCAAACCTAGGTATTTCACTGAAGTCTGACAGAGCTGAACTTCAGATTTTGAAACCTTATATCCTCTGTTAACCAGAAAATTAAGAAGACCTTTACTGCTCTCCTGAGAGATTTCTTCAGTTGGAGCACAAAGAAAACTATCATCTGCATATTGTAAAACTTTAACCTGAGGATAAAGGAATGTGGAGAGGTCCCTTGACAATGCCTTCCCAAACAAGTGGAGGCGTCTCAGAATTCCTGAGGCAACACTGTCCAGGTTAACTGGGTGGTTTGGTTAGAGGGATCCTCAAATGCAAACAAATACTGGGAGTTGGGGTGTAACAGTATACAGAAGGCATCCTTTAGGTCCAGGACTGTGAACCATTTCATTCCCTCAGGTATTTGAGCTAGCAGGGTATACAAATTGGGACTCACCGAGTGAATTGGAACCACAGCCTCATTAATGAGGTAGAGGTCCTGAACTAGTCTCCATTCCCCATTGGATTTTGTATCCCCAATATCAGGATATTACAGGGGCTATTGCAAGGTTTGAGGAGGCCTTGCAACCTTAAGTTGTCAATGATGGCTTCCAATCCTTTCCTAATTTCTGGTTTGGAGGCATATTGTTTCTGGCTAGGAAAGATGGGATCCTTAAAGTGGACCTTGACCAGTATAGCAGTTGTGGCCTGACCAATTTCCCCTTGAATTGCCCAAACTTCTGGGCAATCTCCCCAGGGGGAGAAAAATAGTTTGTCCTGGGGCCATCAGGGTGGTGGTCCCGTATAGGTCAGAATATCCCGGCCCAACAGAGGAGTTGGGCTTTCAGGCATATTTAGAAAGGCATGGGTAAACAAGAGGCTTCCCCAGCTACAAATCACAATTTGGGGAAAATATTGGGTTAAAGGCCTTCCTGAGACACCCCTTATGGTCGTGCTAAGAGAGAAGAGGAGAACTGAGAGACCAGCCCTGGTGTCTAGAAGGAGGTCCACTTTTCTTCCTTCAATTTTTAGAATTACTTGGGGCTCCTGGATGGTAATGGTGGTCTGGACCACTGCAGCTGGCGAGAGGGGCCCCAGGACCCATCAGTTCTGCTGGACCATTTGGGAGATTGGCTCTGGGCCCAGTGAGCAGTGTCCCTGGAGACAGTCCATCTTCCAGTGGTCCCTGTTGCAGATTGGACAGGATTGAGGTGGCTTCCTCATGCTGCCTGGGCAATCCTTCCTAAAATGCCCTGGCTTACCACATCTGTATCAGTTAACAGGTGCACCTCAGGAATTCTGGGGTTTGTGTGCTTGCATGGTGGCCATTAAAGCCTCCATCTCTTTCCTGTGTTTCCCCTCTCTCTCTCTTGGGCCTCCCTATCTATATTATAAAACACCGAGGTGGCCACTTTCAGGAGGTTCTCTAAAGTACTCTCTGGCCCCAGGGCCTATTTCTGCAGATTCCTCCTGATATCAGGGACTGCTTGAATAATAAATTTATCCTTTAGGATTAGTTGTCCCTCAACTGAAATCAGGAGACAGAGAGATGTATTTTACCAAGGCCTCTCTTAGCCTTTCCAGGAAGGCAGTGGGGATTCTCATCAAATCCCTGGTCTATCATGGATAGTTTGGTATAATTGAGAGGATTAGTTCTAGTCCTATGCAAGCCCTCCATTATGTACACCTGAAAATGTCTCCTCTTCCATTCTCCCATCTCATCATTGGGATCCCATTTAGGGGCATCCGCTGGTACTGCTTCTCTTCCAATTGGATAACGTTCGACCCTTTCCCTCACACTATGTGATACAAAGCTCATTCCCAAATTTCTCTGCTGCTTGCAGAGCGGCCTGCTTCTCAGTGTTAGTCAGGGTTTGAATCAAAAGTAACAATGTTTTTCCAGGAGAGTTCAAATACTTGGGTTATTCTGGAAAGACTCTATGTATTTCAGGGTCATCTGAAAGCTTACCAAGATCCCTGCTAATTTGCCTTAAGTCCTGTAGAGAGAAGGAGACCTGACCCTTACTGTGGCCAAATTCACCAGGCATCTGTTGGAGGGGCAAGAGTGAGACTGGGGCTTGTCTAGGGTGAAGATTTCAGGGGGCAAGCAAGAGAGAGAAACTGGATAGGAAGGATGGAGTGGACCTGGAAAAGCAGGCTGGAGGGAGCTGGCCTCCCTGCTGGAGATGCCTCTGGGGTTTGTTTCTTTAGTTCCCTGGGATTGCCCTTGCAGCCTCTTCTGAGATAGCAAATAAGAGGACTGGATCAATCCTACACTGTTGGCAAAGGTCTGGATTACCCTGCAAGGTAAAGAAAGCCTGCACATATGGGGCCTCAGGCCATTTGCCCTCACATCTACAGAAAAGGTCTTACTGCATAGAAATGAGTGGTTCCTTCCTGAGGCCAAGCCAGTCCTTCCTGCAGATTATAATTTGTCCAAACCTTTGTGCAGAGGGCTATGAGGCCAGCCCCACAGCAGCATCTGGCAGCAGGTGACTGTGACCTCTGAAGACCCAGAATGAGTATTACAGTGCTTTTTTAAAAACATATTTAGAAATAATTTATATATAAAGAAGAAATAAAAGATGGCTAAATAGGAACAGCTCCAGTCTACAGCTCCCAGCATGAGTGATGCAGAAGATGGGTGATTTCTGCATTTCCAGCTGAGGTACTGGGTTCATCTCACTGGGGAGTGTCAGAAAGTGGGTGCAGGACAGTGGGTGCAGCACACCGAGCATGAGCCGAAGCAGGGCGAGGCATTGCCTCACCTGGGAAGCACAAGGGGTCAGGGAATTCCCTTTCCTAGTCAAAGAAAGGGGTGACAGATGGCACCTGGAAAATTGGGTCACTCCCACCCTAATACTGCGCTTTTCCAATGGTCTTAGCAAACGGCACACCAGGAGATTATATCCCGTGCATGGCTCGGAGGGTCCTACGCCCATGGAGCCTCGCTCATTGCTAGCACAGCAGTCTGAGATCAAACTGCAAGGCGGCAGCGAGGCTGGGGGAGGGGCGCCCGCCATTGCCAAGGCTTGAGTAGGTAAACAAAGCAGCCGGGGAGCTCGAACTGGGTGGAGCTCACCGCAGCTCAAGGAGGCCTGCCTGCCTCTGTAGACTCCACCTCTGGGGGCAGGGCATTGCCAAACAAAAGGCAGCAGAATCCTCTGCAGACTTAAATGTCCCTGTCTGACAGCTTTGAAGAGAGTAGTGGTTCTCCCAGCAGGCAGCTGGAGATCTGAGAACGGACAGACAGCCTCCTCAAGTGGGTCCCTGACCCCCGAATAGCCTAACTGGGAGGCACCCCCCAGTAGGGGCAGACTGACACATCACACTGCCGGGTCCTCCTCTGAGGCAAAACTTCCAGAGGAATGATCAGACAGCAACATTTGCTGTTCACTAATATCCGCTGTTCTGCAGCCTCCGCTGCTGATACCCAGGCCAACAGGGTCTGGAGTAGACCTCCAGCAAACTCCAACAGACCTGTAGCTGAGGGTCCTGACTGTTAGAAGGAAAACTAACAAACAGAAAGGACATCCACACCAAAACCCCATCTGTACGTCACCATCATCAAAGACCACAGGTAGATAAAACCACAAAGATGGGGAAAAAACAGAGGAGAAAAACTGGAAACTGAAAATCAGAGTGCCTCTCTTCCTCCAAAGAAACGCAGCTCCTCACTAGCAACAGAACAAAGTTGGATGGAGAATGACTTTGACGAGTTGAGAGAAAAAGGCTTCAGAAGATCAAACTACTCCGAGCTAAAGGAGGAAGTCTGAACCCATGGCAAAGAAGTTAAAAACCTTGGAAAAAATTTAGATGAATGGCTAACTAGAATAACCAATGCAGAGAAGTCCTTAAAGGACCTGATGGAGCTGAAAACCAAGGCACGAGAACTATGTGACAAATGCACGAGCCTCAGTAGCCGATTTGATCAATTGGAAGAAAGAGTATCAGTGATGGAAGATCAAATGAATGAAATGAAGCAAGAAGAGAAGTTTAGAGAAAAAAGAATAAAAAGAAGCAAACAAAGCCTCCAAGAAATATGGGACTATGTGAAAAGACCAAATCTACGTCTGATTGGTGTACCTGAAAGTGATGGGGAGAATGGAACCAAGTTGGAAAACACTCTGCAGAATATTATCCAGGAGAACTTCCCCAATCTAGCAAGGCAGGCCAACATTCAAATTCGGGAAATACAGAGAATGCCACAAAGATACTCCTCGAGAAGAGCAACTCCAAGACACATAATTGTCAGATACACCAAAGTTGAAATGAAGGAAAAAATGTTACAGGCAATCAGAGAGAAAGGTCAGGTTACCCACAAAGGGAAGCCCATCAGACCAACAGCGGATCTCTCGGCAGAAACTCTACAAGCCAGAAGAGAGTGGGGGCCAATATTTAACATTCTTAAAGAAAAGAATTTTCAACCCAGAATTTCATATCCAGCCAAACTAAGCTTCATAAGTGAAGGAGAAATAAAATCCTTTACAGACAAGCAAATGCTGGGAGATTTTGTCACCACCAGGCCTGCCCTAAAAGAGCTCCTGAAGGAAGCACTAAACATGGAAAGGAACAACTGGTACTAGCCACTGCAAAAACATGCCTAATTGTAAAGACCATTGAGACTAGGAAGAAACTGCATCAACTAACGAGCAAAATAACCAGCTAACATCATAATGACAGGATCAAATTCACACATAACAATATTAACCTTAAATGTAAATGGGCTAAATGCTCCAATTAAAAGACACAGACTGGCAAATTGGATAAAGAGTCAAGACCCATCAGTGTGCTGTATTCAGGAGACCCATCTCATGTGCAGAGACACACATAGGCTCAAAATAAAGGGATGGAGGAAGATCTGCCAAGCAAATGGAAAACAAAAAAAGGCAGGGGTTGCAATCCTAGTCTCTGATAAAACAGACTTTGAACCAACAAAGATCAAAAGAGACAAAGAAGGCCATTACATAATGGTAAAGGGATCAATTCAACAAGAAGAGCTAACTATCCTAAATATATATGCACCCAATACAGGAGCACCCAGATTCATAAAGAAAGTCCTTAGAGAACTACAAAGAGACTTAGACTCCCACACAATAATAATGGGAGAGTTTAACACCCCACTGTCAACATTAGACAGATCAATGAGACGGAAAGTTAACAAGGATATCCAGGAATTGGACTCAGCTCTGCAACAAGTGGACCTAATAGACATATACAGAACTCTCCACTCCAAATCAACAGAATATACATTCTTCTCAGCACCACACTGCACTTATTCCAAAATTGATCACATAGTTGGAAGTAAAGCACTCCTCAGCAAATATAAAAGAACAGAAACTATAACAAACTGTCTCTCAGACCAAAGTAGAACTCAGGATTAAGAAACTCACTCAAAACCGCTCAACTGCCTGGAAACTGAACAACCTGCTCCTGAATGACTACTGGGTACATAATGAAATGAAGGCAGAAATAAAGATGTTCTTTGAAACCAACAAGAACAAAGACACAACATACCAGAATCTCTGGGACACATTCAAAGCAGTGTGTAGAGGGAAATTTATAGCACTAAATGCCCACAAGAGAAAGCAGGAAAGTTCTAAAATTGACACCCTAACATCATAATTAAAAGAACTAGAAAAGCAAGAGCAAACACATGCAAAAGCTAGCAGAAGGCAAGAAATAACTTAAGATCAGAGCAGAACTGAAGGAAATAGAGACACAAAAAACCCTTCGAAAAAATCAATGAATCCAGGAGCTGGTTTTTTGAAAAGATCAACAAAATTGATAGACTGCTAGCAAGCCTAATAAAGAAAAATTAAGGGAGAAGAATCAAATAGACACAATAAAAAATGATAAAGGAGATATCACCACCGATCTCCAAGAAGTACAAACTACCATCAGAGAATACTATAAACACCTATACGCAAAGAAACTAGAAAATCTAGAAGAAAGGGATAAATTCCTCGACACATACACCCTCCCAAGACTAAACCAGGAAGAAGCTGAATCTCTGAATAGACCAATAACAGGCTCTGAAATTGAGGCAATAATTAATAGCTTACCAACCAAAAAAAGTCCAGGACCAGATGGATTCACAGCCGAATTCTACCAGAGGTACAAGGAGGAGCTGGTACGATTCCTTCTGAAACTATTCCAATCAACAGAAAAAGAGGGAATCCTCCCTAACTCATTTTATGAGGCCAGCATCATCCTGATACCAAAGCCTGGCAGAGACACAACCAAAAAAGAGAATTTTAGACCAATACCCCTGACGAACATCAGTGCAAAAATCCTCAATAAAATACTGGCAAACCGAATCCAGCAGCACATCAAAAACTTATCCACCATGATCAAGTGGGCTTCATCCCTGGGATGCAAGGCTGGTTCAACATATGCAAATCAATAAACATGATCCAGCATATAAACTGAACCAACTACAAAAACCATATGATTATCTCATTAGATGCAGAAAAGGCCTTTGACAAAATTCAACAAACCTTCATGCTAAAAACTCTCAATAAATTAGGTACTGATGGGACATATCTCAAAATAATAAGAGCTATCTATGACAAACCCACAGCCAATATCATATTGAATGAGCAAAAACTGGAAGCATTCCCTTTGAAAACTGGCACAAGACAGGGATGCCCTCTCTCACCACTCCTATTCAACACAGTGTTGGAAGTTCTGGCTGGGGCAATCAGGCAGGAGAAGGAAATAAAGGGTATTCAATTAGGAAAAGAGGAAGGCAAATTGTCCCTGTTTGCAGATGACATGTTTGTATATTTAGAAAACCCCATCGTCTCAGCCCAAAATCTCCTTAAGCTGATAGGCAACTTCAGCAAAGTCTCAGGATACAAAATCAATGTGCAAAAATCACAAGCATTCTTATACACCAACAACAGACAAACAGAGAGCCAAATCATGAGTGAACTCCCATTCACAATTGCTTCAAAGAGAATAAAATACCTAGGAATCCAACTTACAAGGGACATGAAGGACCTCTTCAAGGGGAACTGCAAACCACTGCTCAATGAAATAAAAGAGGATACAAACAAATGGAAGAACATTCCATGCTCATGGGTAGGAAGAATCAACATTGTGAAAATGGCCATACTGCCCAAGGTAATTTATAGATTCAATGCCATCCCCATCAAGCTACCAATGACTTTCTTCACAGAATTGGAAAAAAACTACTTTCAAGTTCATATGGAACCAAAAAAGAGCCTGCATCACCAAGTCAATCCTAAGCCAAAAGAACAAAGCTGGAGGCATCACGCTACCTGACTTCAAACTATACTACAAGGCTACAGTAACCAAAACAGCATGGTACTGGTACCAAAACAGAGATATAGATCAATGGAACAGAACAGAGCCCTCAGTAATAATGCTGCATATCTACAACCATCTTATCTTTGACAAACCTGACAAAAACAAGAAATGGGGAAAGGATTCCCTATTTAATAAATGGTGCTGGGAAAACTGGCTAGCCATATGTAGAATGCTGAAACTGGATCCCTTCCTTACACCTTACACAAAAGTTAATTCAAGATGGATTAAAGACTTACATGTTAGACTGAAAACCATAAAAACCCTAGAAGAAAACCTAGGCAATACCATTCAGGAAACAGGCATGGGCAAGGACTTCATGTCTTTGCCCAAACACCAAAAGCAATGGCAACAAAAGCCAAAATTGACAAATGGGATCTAATTAAACTAAGGAGCTTCTGCACAGCAAAAGAAACTACCATCAGAGTGAACAGGCAACCCACAAAATGGGAGAAAATTTTTGCAATCTACTCATCTACAGAATCTACAATGAACTCCAACAAATTTACAAGAAAAAAACAACCCCATCAACAAGTGGGCGAAGGGTATGAACAGACACTTCTCAAAAGAAGACATTTATGCAGCCAAAACACACATGAAAAAATGCTCATCATCACTGGCCATCAGAGAATGCAAATCAAAACCACAATGAGATACCATCTCACACCAGTTAGAATGGCAATCATTAAAAATTCAGGAAACAACAGGTGCTGGAGAGGATGTGGAGAAATAGGAACACTTTTACACTGGTGGTGGGACTGTAAACGAGTTCAACCATGGTGGAAGTCAGTGTGGCAATTCCTCAGGGATCTAGAACTAGTAATACCATTTTACCCAGCCATTCCATTACTGGGTATATACCCAAAGGATTATAAATCATGCTGCTATAAAGACACATGCACAGGTATGTTTATTGCAGTTCTATTCACAATAGCAAAGACTTGGAACCAACCCAAATGTCCAACAATGATAGACTGGATTAAGAAAATGTGAAACATATACACCATGGAATACTATGCAGCCATAAAAAATGATGAGTTCATGTCCTTTGTAGGGACATGGATGAAGCTGGATACCATCATTCTCAGCAAACTATCGCAAGGACAAAAAACCAAACACCGCATCTTCTCACTCATAGGTGGGAATTGGACAATGAGAACACATGGACACAGGAAGGGGAACATCACACACCGGGGTCTGTTGTGGGGTGGGGGGAAGGGGGAGTGATAGCATTAGGAGATATACCTAATGTAAAATGACGAGTTATTGGGTGCAGCACACCAACATGGCACATGTATACATATGTAACAAACCTGCACGTTGTGCACATGTACCCTGAAACTTAAAGTATAATGAAAAAAAGAGGAAATCATAAAGAAAATTTGTATATAAACCAGAATAACAAAAACATTACCTGCCAGAATTTATGGGAAGTAGCCAAAGCATTATTAGAGGAAAAAAACTTTAAGAACTTCATCAGTAAAGCTGAAAATGAATTATGCGTACATCTGTGAAACAATAAAATCTCTGGACCCCAAGCTCACTATGCCAAAGGGAAATTTAAGGTTGGAAACTGAGATATTCAAAACATTGTCTTCCTTTTGTTCCCAAACAGCTGTAATTTCACATACTTATTTTATCTTATGGAAAATGTAGATTTCCTGTGCATGAGACAAATGCATAATTAACTTTTTCCTCTACTCCCTTCTTTCCACATGTACAGTGTAGATTTACTGAGTGCTGGCCAGCTGCAATGTCTCACATCTGTAATCCTAGCACCTTGGGAGGCCAAGATGGGAAGATCGCTTGAGCCCAGGAGTTTGAGACCAACCTGGGCAACATAGTGAGACTTTGTCTTCAATTAGGAAAGAAAGGATTTACTGAGTGCTAATCAAAGCCTCACAATATGTAACCACTTGCTTCATTGCCTATTCTCCCTCCTTTTTTTCTTCCTTTAATGCTTGCTCTTTCATCTTAAAATATTGAAGTTTCAAAAACTCTATCTGGAAAAAGCACAAGTCACAGATTCTACTATAAGTTGTGTTTCCTTTTCCTAGGTGCATCCTCAACCTTGGCAAAATAAACCTCTCAACACTTGAGTTGTGCCTCAGTCACTTTTTGGTTTACACATCTTAAGAAGTGAGAAAATAAAGAGCTAAGTAATCTCCAAGAAAGTAGAGGGAAATAAATAATGAAAATAAGAGTAAATATTAATGAAATGGAAAACAAACATAAAATAGGACAAACAAAACAAATCTTTGTTAGATTAACAAAATCAATAAACTTCTGTCAAGCACACTCAGAAAAAAATGAAAAAAGGCAAACAATATTAGAAATGAAAAAGTGGACATACCTTCAGATACTGTAGATATTAAAATGATGAAGACACTTAAAGCAATTTATTCCCATACATTGAAAGCATAAAAGAAAGGAACAAATTCCTAGAAAAATATTATCTACCAAGTGACTCAAGAAGATATAGAAAACCTGAATATCATTTGTCCATTAAAGCTGGTATAATATTGTGAAATAAATATTTGGTTTTCATTGGTCTAATCTCCTAAAATCCTTGGAATGTCCAAGTGACGTCTTTTTGTATGGTAATGATTGATTGATGGCTGACCTTTCCTAGGCAGCTTCAGGATGGGAGCTTCTCACCGGAAAGACCAAGGCATAACTAGAGGATTGGAACGTTTCAGCTTCCATCATGTCTACATAATGAAGCCTGCATAAAAACCCAGTGGGATGTGGTTCAGAGAGCTTGCAAATAGCCAAACACAAGGGGCTTACACATCGACAGGCTGGGAGGGTGGAGCACCCCAACTGCATGGTAACAGAAGCTCCTGGGCTTGGGACCTTTCCAGACCTGCCACTATGTATTTATTTGGCTATTTATTTGTGTCTAAAATATTATTTGTAGTAAACTGGTAAATATTAAGTATTTCCCTGAGCTCTGGGCAGATAGTGTGAGAACTGAATTGAATTAAAGGATATTAGCTGATGCCCACTGCAGAACTGATAGCTTGTTTGCTGGTAGGGAGAAATACCCATACATCTAGTGTCAGAAATGTGCTGTGAGAGAAGACAGAAACTGCGTTTGTTTTTGCTTATCAGCTGAAATTGGCAAATGATGGTGTATGAGCTAAATCTGCACTGTGGTCAGTTTTTGTATAGCCTGCAAGCTAAGAAAGGTTTTTATATGTTTAAAATTTATAAAATAGAAAAACAAAACCAAAAGAGAATATGTTACAGAGTTTGCATGTGGCCCACAGAGTCTAAAATATTTAATATCTGGACCTCTATAATAGAAGGAAGAAAAAGTTTGCTGATCCTTGCATTAAAACAATTTAATCACTATTTAAAAATTCTTCAGGGAAACTCTAGGCCCATGTGATGTTAGGGGTGAGTTCTATCAAATATTCAAAGGACAAACAATTCCAGTGTTACCCAAATTTTTCTAGACTATAGAAAAAGAGCATTACCCAACTCATTTTAGAAATTAGTATAACCTTAATAACCAAACCTGACAAAGATAGAATAGTTACAGGACATTCGTACTTGTGTACACAGATGGAAAGCCTTAAAATATTTTTAGCAAATCTAATCATCAATATATAAAACGTGTAATAAATATAACAGAAAAAGTATATCTCAACCCCTTTCCATTGGCTGGGTCAAAAGAGCACATCATATGCACAAGAATAAGAATGTCTGTTTCCAAGTCTGTAAGGTTTTTATAAACAGAAATGAAGAGGGTAGCCAAATCCCTATTGCTCTGTACTCTCCTAAACTCAGCCTTACTATTACTACACCTACAGATTATCAGAAACAATATGGTTATGCTTGCTATATTTTTCTATGTTAGTTTTACAAAAAACACCATATTCTTTTGTCATCCCCATCTCTTGTTTTCTCTTACCATTCATCTGAACATTCTATTCTCTTCCTCTCCCACCTTTCTTCAACACCTGAAATCTTTCCACTGCGACTTCTGGAGCTAACATTGAGTCATTGGCTAAATTCCTTAGGTTTTCAAACTTTTGCTTAAATGCTTACTTCACTTTCTTGCTTTTGTGGAAACCTGACTTTCACCAGAGGACATTGCTCCTAATACTGTCTTCTCAATCTCAAGTGGTGGATTATTCTCCCTCCACACTTCTCCCTACTCCCAGAATTAAATCTTGAGATTCAGTGATGTTCCAGATCATTCTTTCTCTCTCCTCTGAAGCCTCCACTCAAATTTTGCATTTCAGATTATCAGTTAACACAACTCTCCTTTTTTGCAGTCATTTACTGAGCCTGGTTCATTCATCCCCATTCCTTAAAATTTTACCTCCCAGCTATGTCTTACTCTCTCCAACACTATTCTTATCTTAACTATTAGAGATTTCAACAGTCACATAGGTAATCCCTTTAAGATCTTACTCTCTCAGTTCATTGACCTCCTATCTTTTAATGAGTATGTTATTTATCCTACCTTAGCTACTTATTCTCAGCAGCATACACTAGCCCTTTTCAGTACCAATGTTAACACTTTCAAAATTCTCAGTTTCAAGTATCCCATTTTCTGAACACCATTTCATCTTTTTACAGCTTTGTTGCTGTAATACTCTTACAAGGTAATTTATGTAATGCCTAGAATAGTGCTTGGCAAGTTGGGGTAAAGGGCATACTTGTGAAATGAATGAATGATCAGTTTGGGTTTATTCCAAGAATAAAAAATAAGTACAAAAATAGAATATTTATTAATGTCATTTACCACATTAACAGATTAGAAAAGAAAAGCCATATAATTTAATATATGTAGAAAAATGTTGTGATAAAATAACACCCATTGAAAATTTAAATAAAATTAAAATCTTTTAACAATCTAGCAATAGAAAGAAACTTGGAATAATAAAAGATATCTATTAAAAAACAATATAGAAAACAGTATACATCATAAAACCTTCCCTTTGAGAATGAGAGTAAAGATGTCCCCTGTCTTCTATTCAGAGAGTCTAGACAGTAAAAAATGTCAAGGAAAAAAGCACACATATTACAAAGAAGTAAACAAATTGTCATCATTGTCAAAAAATTAAATTGTGAAGAAAATCCAAAGGAATATGGTAAAAATTTATTAAATAACTCATTTCACAAGATTTTTAGATTTAAGAATCAATATACAAGTATCAATTTCTATGCAACACAAAAAATATTTAGAATATTGAAATTTAAAATGATGCCATTTAAAATATTATCAAAACATCAAATGTAGAGGAATTAATATAATCATACATGAGCAACACCTTTATAGAGAAAATTATAAAACTTTAATTAAAGTTATTAAAGACCTAAATAAAGGAAGAGATGTAACATAGTCATGGACTGGAAGACAATATTTTAAATATGTCAATTCTTCCTCTATTAATCTATGGGCTAATGATGGTTCAATAAAGTTCCAAATCAGGTTTCTGTTTGGAGATAGGAGAGGTTGTTGCAAACGTAACGAGGTGATTCTAATTTTTATGTAGAAATACCAAGAGCCAAGAATAACCTATGTACACTTAAATAAGAAGACCATAGGGGCATTAGCTCTACTTAATATCCAGATTTTTTATTATAAACTATAGTTATAAATACACCGAGACATTGGTTCAGTGATAAGTATCTAAGTGGTACAGAATAGGGCACCCCAAAACAGATCACACAAATGAGACTTGACATATGATAGAGGTTTCATTGCAGATAGGTGGGAAAAGAATTTTTTAAAAATAAATTATGTGAAAAAATTGATTATTCATATGGAACAAATTAAACTGAGATTCTAATTTTTGTACAACACAAAAATCAATTCCAGGTAGAATAAAGGTATAAATCTGAAAGGCAACATTTTAAGATTTGAAAGAATAAATTTGAGAACATCTTTATGAGCTGAGGTCAGGAAGAATTTATAAATAGACACAGAAGGACAAAACTAATGGAAAATACCAATCAATTTCCCTTCCTTATAATTAAGGAACTTTTTTCCTTTTAAAAAATAGCAAAAAATAGGTAAAAAAAAATAGCTAGGAGAAAAGTTTGCAACATATATAACTGAAAAAGATTAGTATTTAGAATACACAAGGAACTTTAACCTGTCAGTAAGGGAAAGAATATGACAGAAAAAAAATCACGTAGTGTCTTTCTTTTTTATGTATGTATTTTATTTATTATTTTTATTGTTATTTCAATAGTTTTTGGGGAACAGGTGGTGTTCAGTTACATACATAGGTTCTGTACATAGATAAGAAATCATAGTGATTTCTGAGATTTTGGTGCACCCATCACCTGAGCAGTGCACACTGCACCCAATGTGTAGTCTTTTATCCCTCACCCCCTCCGATCCTTTAACCCAAGTCCCCAGAGTCCATTATGTCGTTCTTATGCCTGTGCATCCTGAGAGCTTAGCTCCCACTTATATGAGAGAACATACGATGTTTGGTTTTCCACTCCTGAATTACGTCACTTAGAATAACGGTCTCCAGCTACATCCAGGTTGCTGCAAATGCCATTGTTTTGTTCCTTTTTATGGCTGAGTAGTAATTCACGGTAGTATTTCAGTATATAATATGTGATATATATATATTTCATATATATTTATATATCATATTTTCTTTATCCACTTGTTGGTTGATGGGCATTTAGGTGGGTTTCATATTTTTGCAGTTTCAAATTGTGCTGCTATAAACGTGTGTGCAAGTGTCTTTTTTTCATATAATGACTTCTTTTCCTCTGGGTAGACACCCAGTAGTGGGATTCCTGGATCAAATGGTTGTTCTACTTTTAGTTCTTGAAGGAATCACCATACTGTTTTCCATAGTGGTTATATTAGTTTATAGTCTCACCAGCAGTGTAAAAATATTCCCTTTTCACCACATCCACACCAACATCAATTATTTTTGATTTTTAAATTATGGTCTTTCTTGCAGGAGTAAGGTTGTATTGCAATGTGGATTTGATTTGCATTTTCTTGATAACTGGTGATGTTGAGCATTTTTTCATGTTTGTTGGTAATTTGTATATCTTCTTTTGAGAATTATCTATTCATGTCCTTAGCCAACTTTTTGATGGGATTGTTCATTTCTTGCTGAGTTCTTTGTAGATTATGGATGTTAGTCCTTTGTCAGATGCATAGTTTGTGAAGATTTTCTTCCACTCCGTGGATTGTCTGTTTACTCTGCTGATTATTTCTTATACTCTGCTTTTCATTTTAATTAAGTCCGATCTATTTATCTTTGTTGTTGTTGTTGCACTTGCTTTTGGGTTCTTGGTCATGAACTCTTTGGTTAAGCCAATGTCTAGAAGAGTTTTTCTGATATTATCTTCTAGAATTTGTATGGTTTCAGGTCTTAGATTTAAGTCTTTGATCCATCTCGAGTTGATTTTTGTAAAAGGTGAGAGATGAGGATTCAGTTTCATTCTTCTACATGTGGCTTGCAAATTATCTAAGCACCATTTGTTGAATAGGGTCTTCCTAGGATTGTTTTTCTAGTTCTGTGAAGAACGATGATGGTATTTTGATGGAAATTGCATTAAAATTATAGATTGCTTTTTGGCAGTATGGTCATTTTCACAATATTGATTCTACCCATCCATGAGCATGGGATGTGTTTTTATTTGTTTGGGTTGTCTATGATTTCTGTCAGCAGTGTTTTGTAGATTTCCGTGTAGAGCTCTTTTAACTTTTTGGTGAGGTATATTTCCTAAGTATTTTATTTTATTTTTGCAGCTGTTGTAAAAGGGGTTGAGTTCTTGATTTGATTCTCAGCTTGGTTGCTGTTGGTGTATAGCAGTGCAACTGATTTGTGTACATTGATTTTGTATCCTGAAGCTTTACTGAGTTCGTTTATCAGATCTTGGAGGTTTCTGGGTGAATCTTAGGGTTTTCTAGGCATATGATCATGTTAGTGGCAAACAAAGACAGTTTGACTTCCTCATTACCAGTTTAGATGTCCTTTATTTCTTTCTCTTGTCTGATTACTCTGGCTAGGAATTCCAGTGCTATGTTGAATAGAAAGTGGTGAGGGTGGGCATCCTTGCCTTGTTCCAGTTCTCAGGGGAATGGTTTCAACTTTTCCCCATTCCGTATAATGTTGGCTGTGGGTTTATCATAGATGGCTTTTATTACCTTCAGGTATGTCCCTTATATGCTGACTTTGCTGAGGGTTTTAATCATAAAGCAGTGCTGGATTTTGTCAAGTGCTTTTTCTGCATCCACTGAGATGATCATGTGATTTTTGTTTTTAATTCTGTTTATGTGGTGTATCACATTTATTGACTTGTGTATGTTAAACCAATCCTGCATCCTAGGTATGAAATCCACTTGATCTTGGAGTATTATCTTTTTGATATGCCGTTGAATTTGGTTGGCTAGTATTTTGTTGAAGAGTTTTCATCTATGTTCATCAGGGATATTGGTCTGTAGTTTTGTTGTTGTTATGTCTTTTCTTGCTTTTGGTATTAGGTTAATACTGGCTTCATAGAATGATTTAGGGAGGATTCCCTCTTTCTCTGTTTTTTTGGAATAGTTTCAGTAGGATTGGTACCAATTCTTCTTTGAATGTCTGATAGAATTCAGCTGTGAATCCATCTGATCCTGGACTTTTTTTTTTTTGGCAATATTTTTACTACCATTTCAATCTTGCTACTTGTTATTGGTCTGTTCAGAGTTTTTATTTCTTCCTGGTTTAATCTAGGAAGGCTGTATATTTCCAGGAATTTATCCATAACCTCTAGGTTTTCTAGTTTGTGTGCATGAAGTTGTTCATAGTAATCTTGAATAATTTTTTGTATTTATGTGGTATTGGTTGTAATATCTCCCATTTGATTTCTATTTCAGCTCATTTGGATCTTGTCTCTTCTTTTTTGGTTAATCTCACAAATAGTCTATCAATTTTGTTTATCTTTTCAAGGAACCAGCTTTTTGTTTTACTTATCTTTTGTATTTTTTTTTTTTTTGTTTCAATTTCATTTAGTTCTGCTCTGATCTTGGTTATTTCTTTTCTTCTGCTGGGTTTGGGTTTGGTTTTTCTTGTTTCTCTAGTTCCTTAAGGTGTGACCTTAGATTGCCTATTTGTGTTCTTTCAGACTTTTTGATGTAGGCATTTAATACTATGAACTTTCCTCTTAGCACTGCTTTTGCTGTATCCCAGAGGTTTTGATTGGTTGTGTCACTATTATTGTTGAGCTCAAAGAATTTTTAAATTTCCATCTTGATTTAATTGTTGACCCAAGGGTCATTCAGGAGCAGATTATTCAATTTGTATGTATTTGTATAGTTTTGAGGGTTCCTTTTATAGTTAATTTCCAATTTAATCCATTGTGGTCTGAGAGAATACTTGGCATAATTTAGATTTTCTTAAATTTATTGAGACTTGTTTTTTATGGCCTATGACATGGTCTATCTTGAAGAATGTTCCATGTGCTGATGAAAAGAATGCATATTCTGCCATTGTTGGGTAGAATGTTTTGTAAATATCTTTTAAGTCCATTTGTTGTAGGGCATAGTTTAAGTCCACTGTTTCTTTGTTGACTTTCTGTCTTGATGACCCATGCAGTACTGTCAGTGGAGTATTGAAGTCTCCCAATATTATTGTGTTGCCATCTGTCTCATTTCTTAGGTCTAGCAGTAATTGTTTTTATAAATTTGGGAGCTCCAATGTTAAGTGTGTATATATTTAGGATTGTAATATTTTTCTGTTGGTCTAATCCTTTTCTCATTATATAAAGTTTCTCTTTGTCTTTTTTAACTGCTGTTGCTTTAAAGTCTGTTTTGTCTCATATAAGAATAGCTAGGTACTTCTGCTCGCTTTTGTTGTCAATTTGCATGGAATATCTTATTCTGTCCCTCTCCCTTAAGTTTATGTAAGTCTTTATGTGTTATGTGAGTCTTTTGAAGACAGCAAATATTTGGTTGCTGGATATTTATTCATTCTTCTATTTGTATCTTTTAAGTGAAGCATTTAGGCCATTTACATTCAACATTATTATTGGGATGTGAGGTACTGTTTTATTCATCATGCTAGTTGTTGCTTGAATACCTTGCTTTTTTTTTCATTCTGTTATTGTTTTATAGGTCCTGTGAGATATATGCTTCTACTTTGGTGTATTTTGATGTTTTGTTTCAAGATTTAGAACTTTATTTTAGCATTTTTTTGTGTGTGTGTGTGGTGCCGGCTTGGTAGTGGTGAATTCTCTCAGCATTTGTTTGTCTGAAAAATATTTTATTTCTCCTTCATTTATGAAGCTTAGATTTTCTGGATATGAAATTCTTGGCTGATAATTATTTTGTTTCAGAAGGCTAAAGATAGAATCGCAATTCCTTCTGGCTTGCAAGGTTTCTGCTGAGAAATCTGCTGTTAATCCGATAGGTTTTCCTTTATAGGTTACCTGATGCGTTTTCCTCACAGATCTTAAAATTTTTACTTTCATCTTGACTTTAGATAACCTGATGACTATGTGCTTAGGTTATGATCTTTTTGCGATGTATTTCCTGGGTGTTTGTTGAGCTTCTTGTATGTGGATGTCTAGATCTCTAGCAAGACCAGGGAAGTATCCCTCAATTATTTCCTCAAATAAGTTTTCCAAACTTTTAGATTTCTCTTCTTCCTCAGGATCAACAGTTATTCTTAAGTTTGGTCATTTAACATAATCCCACATTTCTGGAGGCTTTGTTCATTTTTAAAAATCTTTTTTCTTTGTCTTTGTCAGATTGGGTTAATTCCAAAACCTTGTCTCGAGCTCTGAAATTCTTTCTTCTAGTTATTCACTTCTATTGTTGAAACTTTCCAGTGTATTTTGTATTTCCCTGAGTGTGTCTTTCATTTCAAGAAGTTGTGATTGTCTTTTCTTTATGATATAAATTTCTCTGGAGACTTTTTCATCCATATTCTATATTGCTTTTTAAATTTCTTCAGGTTGATTTTCACCTTTCACCTTTCTCTGGTGCCTCCTTGAGGCATATAATAATTGACCTTCTATATTCTTTTTCTGGCAATTCAGAGATTTCTTCTTGGTTTGGATCCATTACTGGTGAGCTAGTGTGATCTTTTAGGGGGTGTTATAGAACCTTGTTTTGTCATATTACCAGAATTACTTTTCTGGTTCCTTCTAATTTAGGTAGACTGTTTCAGTAAAAAGATCTGGAACTCAAGGACTGCTGTTCAGATTTTTTTGTCCCACGGGGTGATCCCTTGATGTGGTGCTCTTCCCTTTTCTCTAGGGGTAGGGCTTCCTGAGAGCTAGACTGCAGTGATTGTTATTGCCCTCCTGGGTCTAGCCACCCAGTGGGGATACAGGGCTTCAGGATGGTGCTGGGAAATATATGAAAAGAGTCCTGTGATGTGATTGGTTTTCAGGTCTACCAGCCATGGATACTAGCACCTGCTCCAGTGATGGTGGCAGGAAACTGAAGTGGACTCTGTGGGAGTCCTCATTTACAGTGCACCTTTTTTTAGTGCACTGGTTTTCTCAAATGCTGGTTATGCTAGCAGAGAAGTTGTCATGTGGATAGACTCATGACCTCTGGTTGGCCAGGGTGCTGCAGGCAGTGGAATTAGCTGTTGTTTTCTCCTTTTTTTTGGAGCAGGGTGTTTTGTTATGAGTTGCTGTAATGGCTTGAGTTGGTTGGCCTCCAGCCAAGAGGTAGTGTTTCAAGAGAGTGCCAGCTGTAGTGGTAGAAGGGGGATATAATATTGCCCTACATTGGCCAGGATGAGTACTTGGGTTTCTCAGGTGATGGTTGGGGCCATATAGCTTCCAGGAGATTATGTCCTTTGTCTGCAGTTACCAGGGCAGGTAGAGAAAAAACATCAGGTGGGGTCAGGGCCAGGTGGGCCTGAGCTCATACTCTCCTTGGGTGGGGCTTACTGTGGCCACTATTGGTGATGGGAGGTGGTTCTCAGGTGATGGAGTTATGTTCCCAGGGGGATTATGGCTGCCTCTGCTGTGTCATAAAGGTCATCAGCTAAGGGGAGGAAAGCTGCAGTGACAGGCCTCACCCAGCTCCCACACAGTCAGCTAGGCCAGTCTCACTCCCATGTGTCTCCCCAACAGCACTGAGTTTGTATTCAGGCAGCCAGTGGGAGAGCAGGGCTGAGATTTTGCTCCAGACTATAAGCTTGCTTGCTGACCCTTCCCCAGTTCCACTGGCTGCCTTCCCTTCCCAAAGCACCTCTGTGAGATAAGGTCAGGAATAGCTTTCCTGGGGCTCTAGCTGAGGACCAGGAGTACCTACAGGGCTCTTCCCATTGCTTCTTCTACTTTTATATTTTTCTCAGCTCTCTAAATCTGCTTCAGCTCTAGATAAGGTTAAATCCTTTTCCTGTGATCTGGATTTTCATGATCTCCAGTAGGGATGTATGTTCAGAGGTCAACTTTTCCTCCTCTCATACTTTGGGTATTCAGTTTTTCAATTGTCTCACAGTGTTTGCAGTGGCAAGTTGCTTCTTTGAAATGGCCTGTGAATTTCTTCAGTTCTTCTGGTATGCTCCTGCAGTGGTTCTTGGAGCAAAAGTTCACAATGTGAGTCTCCAGACACTGTTTTCTTCATCTAAGTGGCAGCTGCACATTAGTCCTGTCTCCTATCTGCCATTTTTAGCCATTTCCTCCACTTAGGCTCTTTCTAGAAGAGGAAATCCAAACAATCAATTACCATATGAAGATTTGTCCCACATCATTAGTAATCACCAAAATGTCAATAAAATCATAATGGTTTATAATTTTTGATCCATCAAATTTTGAACCTTAAACAAGTTTCACAATGGCAAGTATTGTCAAGGATGTAGAACAATAATAATAATACACACTATTATTACTCTGCCTCCTGCAGCCTGGGTGGCCACACATCCGTGTCTGTCTGCAGGTGTGTGTGTGGTGGCATATGTTGGTAAAAACACTGTGGATTCCCAGGCAAGATGGCTGAATAGGAAGAGCTCCAGTCTGCAGCTCCCAGCTAGACCAGTGCAGAAGGTGGGTGATTTCTGCATTTCCAACTGAGGTACCCGGTTCATATCATTGGGACTGGTTAGACAGTGGATGCAGCCCATGGAGGGCAAGCAGAAGCAGGGCAGGGGTGTCACCTCACCCAGGAAGTGCAAGGGGTTGGGGAACTCCCTCCCCTAGCCAAGGGAAGCCGTGAGGGACCATGCCGTGAGAGATGGTGCTATCCATCCCAGATACTACGATTTTCCCATCCTTCACAACGCACAGACCAGGAGATTCCCTGGTTTCAAGCACAAAACTGGGCGGCCATTTGGGCAGACACTGAGCTAGCTGCAGGAGTTTTTTTTTTCATACCCCAGTGGTGCCTGGAATGCCAGTGAGACAGAACTGTTCCCTGCCCCGGAAAGGGGGCTGAAGCCAGGGAGCCAAGTGGTCTAGCTCAGCAGATCTCACCCCCACAGAGCCCAGCAAACTAAGATCCACTGGCTTGAAATTCTTGCTGCCAGCACAGCAGTCTGAAGTCTACCTGGAATGCTCAAGCTTGGTGGGGGGAGGGGCATCTGCCATTACTGAGGCTTTGGTAGGCAGTTTTCCCCTCACAGTGTAAACAAAGCCACTGGGAAGTTCGGACTGGGTGGAGCCCACCACAGCAGACTGCCTCTCTAGTTTTCCCCTCTCTGGTCAGAGTCAGACTGCCTCTCTCCATTCCTCTTTTCTAGGCAGGGCATCTCTGAAGAAAGGCAGCAATCCCAGTCAGGGGCTTATAGATAAAACTCCCATCTCCCTGGGACAGAGCCCCTGGGGGAAGGGGCAGTTGTGGGTGCAGCTTCAGCAGACTTAAGTTTTCCTCCTTGCTGGCTCTAAAGACAGCAGTGGATCTCCCAGCACAGCATTTGAGCTCTGCTAAGGGACAGACTGCCTCCTCAAGTGGGTTCCTGACCCCTGTGCCTCCTGACTGGTAGATACTTCCCAGCAGGGGTCAACAGACACCTCATACAGGAGAGCTCTGGCTGGCATCTGGTGGGTGCCCCTCTAGGACGAAGCTCCAGAAGAGGTAGCAGGCAGCAATCTTTGCTGTTATGCAGCCTCCGCTGGTGATACCCAAGCAAACAGGGTCTGGAGTGGACCCCCAGCAAACTCCAGCAGACCTATAGAAGAGGAGCTTGACTGTTAGAAGAAAAACTAACAAACAGAAAGCAATAGCATCAACATCAACAAAAAGAAGACCATGCAAAAACTGCATCTGAAGGTCCCAACAGCAAAGACCAAAGGTAGATAAATCCATGAAGATGAGGAAAAACCAGTGCAAAAAGGCTGAAAATTCCAAAAACCAGAATGCTTCATCTTCTCCAAAGAATCACAACTCCTCGCCAGCAAGGGAACAAAACTGGACTTAGAATGAGTTTGATGAATTGACAGAAGTAGGTTTTAGAAGGTGAGTAATAACAAACTCCTCTGAGCTAACGGAGCATGTTTTAACCCAATGCAAGGAAGTTACGAACCTTGATAAAAGGTTAGAGGAATTGGTAACTAGAATAACTAGTTTAGAGAAAAACATAAATGACTTGATGGAGCTGAAAAACACAGCATGAGAACTTCATGAAGCATACAAAAGTATTAATAGCTGAATTGATCAAGCAGAAGAAAGGATATCAGAGATTGAAGATCAACTTAATGAAATAAAGCACGATTAGAGAATAAAGAATGAAAAGGAATGAACAAAGTCTCCAAGACATAAGGGACTATGTGAAAAGACCAAACCTACATTTGATTGGTGTATCTGAAAGTAATGGGAAAAATGGAACCAAGTTGGAAAACACACTTCACGATATTATCCAGGAGAACTTCCCTAACCTAGAAGACAGGCCAACATTCCAATTCAGGAAATACAGAAAACACCACAAAGATATGCCTCGAGAAGAGCAACCCCAAGACACATAATTGTGAGATTTACCAAGGTTGAAATGAAGGAAAAAATGTTAAGGGAAGCCAGAGAGAAAGGTCAGATTACCCACAATGGGAAGCCCATCAGCCTAACAGTGGATCTCTCTGCAGAAACCCTACAAGCCAGAAGAGAGTGGGGGCCAATATTCAACATTCTTAACAAAATCAACCCAGAATTTCATATCCAGCCAAACTAAGCTTCATAAGTGAAGGAGAAATAAAATCCTTTACAGACAAGCAAATGCTGAGGGATTTTGTTACCACCAGGTCTGCCTTACAAGAGCTCCTGAAGGAAGCACTAAACATGGAAAGGAAAAATGAGTACCAGCCACTGCAGAAACAAACCAAAATGTAAAGACCATTGACACTATGAAGAAACTGCATCAACTAGTGGGCAAAATAACCAGCTAGCATCATAATGATGGATCAAATTCACACGTAACAATATTAACCTTAAATGTAAATGGGCTAAATGCTCCAATTAAAAGACACAGACTGGCATATTGCATAAAGACTCAAGACCCATCAGTGTGCTGTATTCAGGAGACCCATCTCACATGCAGAGACACACATAGGCTCAAAATAAAGGAATGGAGGAAGATCTACCAAGCAAATGGAAAACAAAAAAAGGCAGGAGTTGCAATCCTAGTCTCTGATAAAAAAGACTTTAAACCAACAAAGATCAAAAGAGACAATGAAGGGCATTACATAATGGTAAAGGAATCAATGCAACAAGAAGAGCTAACTATCCTAAATATATATGCACCCAATACAGGAGCACCCAGATTCATAAAGCAAGTTCTTAGAGACCTACAAAGAGACTTAGACTCCCACACAATAATAGTGGGAGACTTTAACACCCCACTGTCAATATTAGACAGATCAACAAGACAGAAAATTAACAAGGATATTCAGGACTTGAACTCAGCTCTGGACCTAATAGACATCTACAGAACTCTCCATCCCAAATCAACAGAATATATATTCTTCTCAGCACCACACAGCACTTATTCTAAAATCGACCACATAATTGGAAGTAAAAAAACTCCTCAGCAAATGCAAAAGAAAGGAAATTATAAGAAACCATCTCTCAGACCACAGTGCAATCAAATTAGAACTCAGGATTAAAAAACTCACTCCAAGCCACAGAACTACATGGAAACTGAACAACCTGCTCCTGAATGACTACTGGGTAAATAACAAAATTAAGGCAGAAATAAACAAGTTCTTTGAAACCAATGAGAACAAAGACACAACATACCAGAGTCTCTGGGAACAGCTAAAGCAGTGTTTAGAGGGAAATTTATAGCACTAAATGCCCACAGGAGAAAGTGGGAAAGATCTAAAATTGACACCCTAACATTACAATTAAAAGAACTAGAGAAGCAAGAGCAAACAAATTCAAAAGCTAGCAGAAGACAAGAAATAACTAAGATCAGAGCAGAACTGAAGGAGATAGAGACATGAAAAACCCTTCAAAAAATCCAGGAATCCATGAGCTGGTTTTTTGAAAAGATTAACAAAATAGATAGACCACTGGCCAGACTAATAAAGGAGAAAAGAGAGAAGAATCAAATAGACACATAAAAAACGATAAAGGGGAGATCACCACTGATCCCACAGAAATACAAACTATCATTAGAGGATACTATAAACATTTCTACACAAATAAACTAGAAAATCTAGAAGAAATGGATAAATTCCTGGACACATACATCCTCCCAAGACTAAACCAGGAAGAATTCAAATCCCTGAATAGACCAATAACAAGTTCTGAAATTGAAACAGTAATTAATAGCCTACAAACCAAAAAAAGCCCAGGACCAGATGGATTCATGACCGAATTCTACCATAGGTACAAAGAGGAGCTGGTACCATTCCTTCTGAAACTATTCCAAACAATAGAAAAAGAGGAGGGACTCCTAACTAACTCATTTTATTAGGCCAGCATCATCCTGACACCAAAACCTGACAGAGACAAAACAAAAAAAGAAAATTTCAGGCCAATATCCCTGTTGAACATGGATGTGAAAATCCTCAATAAAATACTGGCAAACTAAATCCAGCAGCACATCAAAAAGCTTACCCACCATGATCAAGTCAGCTTCATCCCTGGGATGCAAGGCTGGTTCAACATAAGCAAATCAATAAACATAATCCATCATATAAACAGAACCAATGACAAAAACCACATGATTTTCTCAATAGATGCAAAAAAGGCCTTTGACAAAATTCAATAGCCTTCATGCTAAAAACACTCAATAAACTAGGTATTGATGGAACATATCTCAAAATAATAAGAGCTATTAATGACAAACCCACAGCCAATATCATACTGAATGGGCAAAAACTGGAAGCATTCCCTTTGAAAACCAGCACAAGACAAGGATGACCTCTCTCACCACTCCTGTTCAACATAGTATTGGAAGTTCTGCCAGGGCAATCAGGCAAGAGAAAGAAATAAAGCGTATTCAAATAGGAAGAGAGGAAGTCAAATTATCTGTTTGCAGATGACATGACTGTCTATTTAGCAAACCCCATTGTCTCAGCCCCAAATCACTTAAAGCTGATAAGCAACTTCAGCAAAGTCTCAGGATACAAAAATCAATGTGCACAAATCATAAGCATTCCTATACACCAATAGCAGACAAACAGAGAGTCAAATCATGAGCAAACTCCCATTCAGAATTGCTACAAAGAGAATAAAATACCTAGGATGCAACTTACAAGGGATGTGAAGTACCTCTTCAAGGAGAACTACAAACCACTGCTCAAGAAAATAAGAGAGGACACAAACGATTGGAAAAACATTTCATGCTCATGGATATGAAGAGTCAATATCATGAAAATGGCCATACTGCCCAAAGTAATTGATAGATTCAATGCTATTCCCATCAAGCTACCATTAACCTTCTTCATAGAATTAGAAAAAACTACTTTTAATTTCATATGGAACCAAAAAAGAGCCCATATAGCCAAGACAATCCTAAGCAAAAAGAACAAGCTGGGGGCATCACGCTACCTGACTTCAAACTATACTACAAGGCTACAGTAACAAAACAGCATGGTACTGGTACCAAAACACATACATAGACCAAATAAAACAGAACAGAGGTCTTAGAAATAACACCACAGACCTACAATGATCTGATCTTTGACAAGCCTGACAAAAACATGCAATGGGGAAAGATTTCCCTATTTTATAAATGGTGTTGGGAAAACTGGCCACCGATATGCAGAAAACTGAAGCTGGACCCCTTCCTTACACCTTACACAAAAATCAACTCAAGATGGATTAAAGACTTAAATATAAGACCTAAAACCATAAAAATTCTAGAAGAAAATCTAGGCAATACCATTCAGAACATAGGCACGGGCAAAACTTCATCACTAAAACACCAAAAGTAATTGCAACAAAAGCCAAAATTGACAAGTACAGTCTAATCAAACTGAAGAGCTTCTGCACAGCAAAAGAAACTATCATCACAGTGAACAGACAACCTGCAGAATGGGGGA
Organism: Homo sapiens; assembly: GCF_000001405.40. Classification (NCBI taxonomy): domain Eukaryota; kingdom Metazoa; phylum Chordata; class Mammalia; order Primates; family Hominidae; genus Homo; species Homo sapiens. Next base: position 119,423,167 of record NC_000006.12, read on the forward strand.
AAATTTTTGCTATCTACCCATCTGACAAAGGGCTAATATCTAGAATCTACAAGGAACTTAAACAAATTTACAAGAAAAAAAAAAACCCCATCAAAAAGTGGGTAAGGATATGAACAGACACTTTTCAAAAGAAGACAAAGCCAGCAAACATGAAAAAAAACTCATTATCACTGGTCATTAGAGAAATGCAAATCAAAACCACAATGAGATACCATCTCACACCAGTTAGAATGGCCATCATTAAAAAGTCAGGAAACAACAGATGCTGGAGAGGATGTGGAGAAATAGGAACACTTTTACACTGTTGGTGGGCGTGTAAATTAGTTCAACTGTTGTGAAAGACAGTGTGGCGATTCCTTAAGGATCTGGAACTAGAAATACCATTTGACCCAGCAATCCTATTATTGGGCATATACCCAAAGGATTATAAATCATTCTACTATAAAGACACATGCCCACGTATGTTTATTGCAGCACTATTCACAATAGCAAAGACTTGGAACCAACCCAAATGCACATCAATGTTAGACTGGATAAAGAAAATGTGGCACATATACACCATGGAATACTATGCAGCCATAAAAAATAATGAGTACATGTCCTTTGCAGGGACGTGGATGAAGCCAGAAACCATCATTCTCAGCAAACTATCACAGGAACAGAAAATCAGTCACTATATGTTCTCACTCATAAGCGGGAGTTGAACAATGAGAACATATGGGCACAGGGTGGGGAACATCCCACACTGGGGCCTTTTGTGTGGGTTGGGGGAAGAGGAGGGATAGCATCAGGAGAAATACCTAATGTAGATGATGGGTTGATGGGTGCAGCAAACCACCATGGCACATGTATACCTGTGCAACAAATCTGCATGTTCTGTACACGTATCCCATAACTAAAAGTTTAAAAAAAACCCAAACACTGTGGAAAAAAGTTGACATTAACTAGAAGAGTTGAATAGTTTTATAAAGCATTTTACTATAAACATGCAAGGCCCAAGCTGCACTTTCATTAATACGCTTAGGAATTTCGTCTGCTAAATATCTAAATTTTATTGCTTGTAAATTTTACTTTCCACAAAACACTAGAACATAAACACAATTCAGCCAAATTATTTGCTACTTTCTAACGAGGGTCACCTTTCCTCCTGTTTCAATTAACATGTTCCTCATCCATCTGAGACCTCACCGAGATGGCCTTTAACATCTATATTTCTACCAACATTCTTTTCATGATTATTTATGTGTTTTCTAAGAATATGGAGCCTTTGTCTCCAGTCCTCTTCTTTTCTTTCTAAATTCTGACCATTATAACCAGTAACAATGGTATTTCTACCAACAGTCTCTTTATGACATTATCAACTTTTCTGAGCCTGCACCTCAAAACTCCTTCAGCCCATAACTATTACTTGGTTCCAAAGCCACTTCCACATTTTTGGTATTTCTTATAGCAACACCCTACTTCATATTACCAACATCTGTCTTAGTCTTCTGGGGCTATCATAACAAAATACCACAGATGGGATGGCTTAAACAACAGAAATTTGTTTTCTTATGATTCTGAAGGCTAAAGTCTAAGATAAAGTTCTAGCAGGGTTAGGTTTCTGGTGAGAGCTCTCTTCCTGGCTTGCAGATGGCTGGCTTCTTACTGTTTCCTCACATGGCAGAGAGAGAGAGAGAGAGAAACCCTTGCGTCTATTCTTGTAAAAACATTAATCCTATTGGGATCAGGGCCCCACCCTTATGATCTAATTTAACTTTATCTCCTTATAGGACCTATCTTCAAATACAGTCACACTGGGATTAGAGGTTCAATATATGAATTTTGGGCAAGACACAATTCAGTTCACAGCAGGTTCTGAGGCTGGAATATCTCTGGTACCATTGAGGAAACCAAGTTGCCTGTGTGACTGGAGTGGAGCAAATGAGAAGAAAACATTAAGAGATGATATCACAGAGATGATCAAGGCAGATTGTTAGGGCTTTAAATGTCATTGCAAGGACGTTGGCTTTTATTATGGAAGAAATGAGTAGCAGAGGAGTGACATGATCTAAATTACATTTTAACAGTGAAAAGCCAGTTGCTAAGTAGACTGTGGAGGAGCAAGAAGGAAACAGTGTCAGCAGGTAAGGAGGTATTATAATAATGCAGATAAGCGAAAATGGTTGCCTGAACTAGTGGTAGAGCAGTGTCAGTGGTGTTAAATGATCAGATTACAGGTGTCTTTTGAAACAAGTCAACTGTATTTGCTGAAGGGTTGGATAGTGATGTATGTGAGAGACAGGGGCATCAAAAATAACTACAGATTTTATGGCCAAAGAAATTGGAGAGATGGTCTTGCCTGAACTAAATTGAGAAGGATATATGTGAAAGTGTTTGAGGGGGAAAGTTGAGGGTTGAGTTTTAGTTATATTCACTTTAAGAGGTTTGTTAGATTTCCAGTGGAGATGAGGTGTTGGATATATGGATATGTAATTCAGAGGAGAGTGCTGGGATCAAAGTATAAATGTGGAAGTTAGCAACATGCAGATGGTGTTTAAAGTTATGGGATTAGGAGAGTGAGTACAGATAAAATAGAAGGGTCCAAAGACTTCACCCTGGATTATACCACCACTAAGATAGGCTTTTTTCCTGTGTACAAAACAGGACATGTACAAAAATATTTATAGCAGCATTGTTCATAGTAGCAAAGAACCAAAGATTATCTACATGCCTGTTAATGGTAGAATGGAAAATATAGATTGTGGATTACTATGGGTTATTTGAATGATGGAATATTACACAGCAATGACAACGAATGAACTAGAGTCATGCACCAACATGGGTGATTCTCATAAGAAAATGTTGATAGAAAAGCACAAACCACAAAAGAATACTCAAAGTGTGATTTCAATTATATAACATTCAAAACTGAGGCAAAATTGAGCAATATTAGTAATATTATGTTACAGGTACATTAACATCGGGCAAATATATAAAGAATAGCAAGGAATGATGAACACACAAGTTGGAGTGAAAGATAGGAGGATGTGATTACAGAGAGTCATCTAGGGACTTTGAGAACATTGCCAGCAAAATATATTGCAGCTTTGATTTTAAAAACACATGCAGAGGAAACTAGAAAGAATTATACCAAAACGTTAACAGTTGTATTTGGAGAGTGACTTTCAGCACAATTTCTGCTCTGTGGATTTGAGTTAAAGTGAAAGTAGCAAAAGCAGAATCAATCACTTTGTTTCTTGCTTTAGTTGATTAACATAATTTTAATCACAAATATTTCTTCATGCTTTTATAAGTTTTGTAAACAAGGCAGATAATTCAGATAATTTTTCTTCCTTTTTTGGATATACATATATAGTTTAAAAACACAGTATGTTGTGTTTATAATTATATAAACTTAAAAATAAATCATGCATTTTGTTTCCTCTTTCAAAGGTAGGACAATCTATTGAGAAGACTTTTAGAATGTCTTCATATGTTGTTATAAGCCAGAAAAGCATACTCTCTCTTTCGAAAGTGTGACAGCAACACCACACTTCAAATCCCACAGCATACCAGGAGATCTGACCGTGGCATGCCTGGGTCTGAGGCCAGCTTTAGAGTTAGGATTCATCGGCTTAGCATTCAGACTGGTGCCCAGCTGGTCTACCAAGAAAGCCTTGGCTTGGCTATGACTCCAAACACACATGTCAATACTCCCTAATAATCTCCTCTCCTGCCAGGTGGAGCTCCTGTGACAGAGGAAGAGAGAGTCTGGGAGTCCAGGCAGTCTACAAAGACTGCTGTTTTGTCAGTACCCAGAAATATTAAGCAGGATACAATGAGGAGAATGGAATAGGGTCCAGTTGGTGTTCTGTGTTACAAGGAACTGCAAATCTTGTTAGTTTTTGAAAACGAAATATAACATGATAAACTGGAAGAAGAGAGGGTCCTACACGTATATCTCCAAAGAGCCTACTTCTTGTCTTGTGTAAAGAGAAGAATGGATGTGGGAAGCTATGTATATTTATTTGCAGTATACCTTGATAATTTTACTCTACATTCTTATACTTTTATAACAATGAATGTGTTTCTCATTAGTAGTAACCTTGGTCCATAGGATACAGGGATGATTTGGGAGTTTTCTCTTTCATAGAAAAAAAAATGAGGACCTATATTTGTGAAATGATTGTTTTAGTGAATTGGAGTTTAAATTAGTAAGTTTTAGACATAGATTATATTGTTTAAATAAAAAGTTAACATGAAATATTTTCATGATATTTCACAATGTGTTTAGTAAACCTGACTGCTTACTTTGCTTTGTCTAGTTTATCTTCCCTGAAAATAGGGTGAAATTTTTGATTGAGCTAGTTGGTTGATTTCTTGCTTGCTAAAGATTTGACTGATTGCTTAAGTTTCCTGACTTATTTTTATTTGTTCTTCTATAAATTACCAGAGAAGGCTTCCTACTTTTCCTCTGTAGAGAGGACAAATATTCTAGAAAGAATACAGTTTCTCAAATAAACTACTTGTACAATAAGATTTCTCAAATACATAAAAGAAACAGAAAGCCTAAACTGTAATTTTTGTTAAGATGTGTATGTTTGAAGCTGGGATGGAAATAAAACCTCCTGGTCACCAAGCAAGGTTTTGAAGATCCTTTAAGCTAAACTTCTGTGATGACCTTTATTCCCTGGGAAAAGCTTTTTCTGTGTTCTAGGCCTTCTAAAGTTGTAAGGTCATGGATTGGACATGAAAAAAAATGACTTGGTGGAGAAAATAATTGATGTATGAATATCCTCCAATTCTCCTCCTTCTCTTGTCATGCGGCCTTGGGTAGATCATCCTTGGGCCTTTGTGCGGAATTCAGTTAACAGGTAAGGGAGAGGCAAAGAAGTTACATATACTTTTTTTTTTACTTACATTGGATAGAGTAAAAACATTTCTTCAGGATGGAAAAAGACTAGACCCAGGAAAAGAAGGAAGAAAGAGAAAGGAAGAGACTCAATAAGGACCACATTTCAGGGAAAATGTTTTAGGAATTTTTGGAGTAGAGGTGAGGAGAGAGCACTTCGTACTATGTAAAAAATTGAGAGAAAGATGTGGTAAAGGATAATTTAAATTTTTGCTGTACCTTATAAATATAATGACTCAGGCATTTTTGAGAGACAACAGTAAAGATTTTAATTACTTTCATTTATTTTTGGTCATTGAATTTGGACTGAATTCTAAATCGAAAAGAAATGAATTCCAAAAGAAGTAAATCTTTTGAATGGGATATTGTGTAAAAACAATCCTTAAAGAAGGTGCGATGACAAATGTCCCAGTTTTATTCTAGTTGGAATCATTGTACCTTCCCTGAGTGTATTTGATACTTCCACCTTCAAGGGAGTTAATAAATACATTTGTTTACTCTGATAATCCCTGAACTTAAGGGGATTGAGATAGGCCTATGGGGGTGAGCAGGAAGAACAGGTAGGAGAGAGAAGAAACCTTTTGTTTTCTATCTTTCCTTGCACTGGAAGCTTTGTCTTTATCAAGCCCTTGATTTCTGAGTATAGCAAAGAGGCAAGAGGCCAGTATGTTTTCTCCTAATTAACACATGACTGATGAGACATTGCTACTGTCAGAAAAATAGATTCAGCTGAGAAAAGCAGCAGCAGTTCAAGGGGCAGAACTTAAGTGCCTTGGAATGAGAAGCTGACTCAGACACTTGTCTTCTATCTTTATTCCCATTTGACTCTGAGGTTGGTTAGGAATAAAGATAAAAGTAGAAAGAGCATGATGTCTTGGAGGTTGGCCTTTTGCAGTGAGCTATGTTCTTCTGTGATTGTAGAGTCAAGCACTCCTATTTCTTGTTCCTTTCCCTAGGATTTTTCTTCTTGGCCTCACTTTTACTTGGGTCTATCCTTCCATTTCTTTGTTTGCATTTTCTGTCAATTGTCCATATTCACTGCTGTTTTCATTCCTGCAGACACATACCTATATACCTTCTCTCTTTCTTCATATCTCTTTTGTTTTTACATTCTCCTGCCCCCTAATGCACACCCACATAATTTTTATTTTTGCTTCATAATATTCATCAATATTGATATTTATCAAGGTTTGGTTGGTTCCCATCACCACTCCTTCATTTCATACTTGCAGCACTACAATGGACCTATACTAGTTTTTTACAGAGCTAAGAGCTTTCCTTTCTAAGAGACAGGATATGGTGTTCCAAGGGGCTACCAACCTTTCCTCCTTCTCAGGAACATTATTGCAGTAAATTCCTGTGATTTGCCCTGCAGCTGATTGAACAAAGGGTTCATCTGAAGGCACCATCCTTAGGTAGGTCAGTGACCTTGAGCAGCCTCATGGGAGAACTCTGTCTAGCAGGAATGCTCTTTCTGGATAGTGTCTAATTAATCACCTTGAGAGTTTGAATGCAGGTCACTAGAATAGGCAGAAGTGGTTGGGAACACGTGTACTCAGAAAAGAAGCAGCAGAAGTCGTGAGGCAATGGAGGCATGAGAACGTAACAGATCAGAGGAAAAAGGGCTTTAGAGGCAGAGACAGAGAGAGGCTGGCAGTCACTAGAGTTGTTAGAGGAGGGAGCAGAAGTACTCACTTTTGAGAGTTCAGCTGCTTTTCCATCCAGGAGGCCTGGCACTGGAGCTGTTAGACTGAAGCAACCAGAATGTACCTTCCTTTCCCTGGCGGCCTGAAATAACTAACATGTATATTATGTTATGTAATATTCACAATTCCAAAAGATTATTCCCATTTTATTGACGAGGAGTCATAATTACAGAGAAATTACACGATTTGACCATTGTCTTGTGAAAACCCCAAGTACTTGCTTGTAATGAATAATATTAAAGCAGTGTTTTTGGAGCCTATAATTCAAGTAGTCTAATGTGATATTTTTTCCTATTGTAATTCCCTTTTCTGTCTATATTCTGATGCAACTTTAATGCCTTACTATTTTCTTTCTTGCCACTCCTCTTTTTGTCTCATTAACTGATACACGTTTAGATTATTTCAACCATGTGCTCTTTGATGCCAATATTTTAAAGACTGTCTTTAATAAAGCACAATTGGGATATTCTAATTTTGACACAATTTATAAAATGAAATAATCTGTACATGCTCAATCAGAGCTACACCTGATTTGAATTAACAGTGTACAGGAATATATGTATAACTTGCGACTTGAAAAACTTAATTTCCCCAATTAGGAACCAAAGGGCATGATATGGTCTGTAGGTCCATTTTGGTTTAAAATGTTTACTTATAATTATTGAGGTTTTTAGAAAATATTTTAAACTCAGGACATTAGAAAACAAATTATTTGGGAAGTCACTGCAATATGTATAACAAAAAAGGTTGTATTTAATTACTATTCCCTCCTCAAGATAAGGCAGATTTTCTCTATTGATTTATTATCTATCTATCTATCTATCTATCTATCTATCTATCATCTATCATTATCTATCATCTGTCTGTCATCTCTATCATCTATCTTCTATCATCTGTCTATCTGTCTATCATCTATCTATTACCTATCTGTCGTCTGTCTGTCTATCTATCTATCATCTATTTTCGTCATTCCAGGATGGGAGGCTGTTGAGTCCTGGTCAGGCCCTCTTTGTTTTCCTCAGATCCTCACCTCCTCCTGAGTATTGACACAGAATTTCAATTTCCCTCAGGGGTTGTTCCTTCTTGAATCGTTGAGGATTATGTCTTGCTATCTTATCTCAAACAAATTCTCTACTTTTTCTCAGAGCTTTTGGGCTTTGTGCTGAGCTTGATTTCCCTCATGCATTTCTTGTGCTAAACTATGCAATCTAGCTATGTGCAATCTCTGTACATTCTCAGAAAACAAGCCTGAGGCCTCCTTGTCCAGGTGACATTTAAGCACTGGTGATTTCTCTGATTGCATAATATTCTTGTTTTCCACATTGCCATGGTTGTTTTGGCTGTGTGGTTCAATTGTCAGACACTACTATCTTAGTTTGGACTCTTCAATTCTTTTTTTCCATGATCCTTGAAATGCCACTGGATGAACAGTCCTTGAGAAAACATGGACATCCTGGTCCATGATCACTTCCCGCTTTCTATCCTTTTCCATATGTGGCTGAGAGAATTTAAATCATGCTGTGGCTTGCAGCTGGGGCTGTGTATAGCTGAAGAAAAGCCTCACAGCACAAGATTGTTTCTTAAATCCTCTATCCCTGCTTTATACTTTATAATGGTCTCTCATTGATGAAATAGAACCATAGAATAGCTATCAAATAGAAAAATAACAATAAAGACATCTGGCCCCAAATTTGGCTATTTACATTTTTTTCTTTACTGAATTTTTCCAGCAACTAAACTTAAAAAGATATTTTTCCATTCTCATCTAGAAGAAGGTCCTGTCATCATTCCTCAAGGATTCCTTGGGAAGAGAAGCCATCGTGGGCTATGCTTTCTGAGCTAATGTGGGGATAGATTTTATTTCAGTCACTAAGGGCTCTGGAAGCATCTAGCGTTGTCTGACTTAAACCTTACCTGGAGAAGTGTTTCTAATCTACCCAGTGGGGCTGGCTTCATGGGCTTGTGACCTGTGCAGTCACAGAGGGGCCCACATTTCGAAGGTCCTCACTCTTGGTTTATTACTTTGCTGTCACCATCTTGAAATTTCCAATTATTTTTTAGCAAGGGGCCTGCATTTTCATTTCCTACAAATTATGTAGCCAATCCTGCTCCTCAGACCATTTGCCTCAGAATCACTTGGTGTAGGAATATAAATCAGATTCTTACTGTATCAGATCCTCTAGGGCTAAGGCCCCTGAATCAGCATATTAATAAACATCCAATGCATTTTTTGCAAAGTTTGCAAAACTTGAGAACTACCTGGATAGAGAGTTAAAATATCAGGTTCTTGGGCAGCTCTGCTTGATGAAAGATTTAAAGCAGAATTCTTGACTTTTATTTCAAGTGAGGGAAAAAAGAAACATTCATAATTAAAAACGCTTTATTTGAAATATAATAGGTGGTTTTGTCTTATTGCCAAAACAAATATTTGGGAGTATGCCTAAATTGTTGATCTGAGGATTCTCACACACTCTTTGTTCATTCCAGCATTATTTATTTATGTTTATTTTTATTCATTTCCCATTAAGCCAGGGAAATGCTTCCCTTATTTGTTAACTAATTAGATCTGCTAAAAGAGAGTAATACTGTCTGAAAATAGTTTCACATTTCCTCCAATCCCCTCAATACCCTGACAAATCAGAAAAGATGGAATCCTCATAAATTACTTGTAGGTTTTTGAGAAGTGCTAGTTGATGTTTCTGCAGGCATATGTATTTAGTTTTTATTCCAAAGTAGCTCCAAGATAGGAAAGAAACAGCGTCAGCCTGCCAGACTATTTCAATGACAGATGTTAACCTGGCTCCAGAAGGCAAGGCCCCGGATTGAGGGCATCTGGGGATCTTTTTTGGGACTATGAACAGGAAGATAATTAGTATTAGTTGCTCTAAGATTGTAGCATTAAATATTTAATCTAGGCTAAATCACCATAGAGCCATTAGAAGGACACAGCTTTTCATTACAGTGCATAGAACAAGATTTTCACCAGCACTCTAGGGATGAACAAGTTCACCTGACACCAGAAAGTCTTGGATTCATCAGATGGCAGCACTGTTTGATATTTACGCTTCAAATTTTGTTCTTTCTGACCACACCTGACCAGATCTGTGAACATCAAGTATTTTTCTAACTCATATTCTCAGACACTTGCCGATCAATAGACTCTTTTAACTGATTTTTGGTGTACTTAAAAAATAATCTATATCACATTTTTTATTTCTGATAAAAATAAGATTTCATGGCAAAAGATTCAGAAAAAAACTATGTATTTGGTATGGTTAGGCTTTGTGTTCCCACCCAAATCTCATCTTGAATTATAAACCTCATAATCCCCACATGTCAAGGGAGAGACCTGGTGAGAGGTGATTGGATCACGGGGGCAGTGTCTCCCATGCTGTTCTTGTGATAGTGAGTTCTCATGAGATCTGATGGTTTCATAAATGTCTGACAGTTCCTTCTCTACACTCTTGCCTGTTAACATATGAGACATACCTCTTCCCCTTCCACCCTGATTGTAAGATTCCTGAGGCCTCCCCAGCCATGAGAACTGTAAGTCAACTAAATGTCTTCTCTTTATAAATTCCCCAGTCTTGGGCAGTTCTTTCTAGCAATGTGAGAACGGACTAATAGATTATTTTGGACAAATATTTTAAGGCCTTTTGAGATTTCATCTTACTGAATCCATTTTACTTAATACTTAAAATTGTTTATAATATATAGTTGTCATCCTTTTACTAAACGTGTGAATAAGAATGTAGTTTAGATTTAAAATTAAAATCTTTTAGGATGGAGTACATTTAAAAAAACACTCATTTTAACCTGAATTTTCAACAGTCTTTTGACAAATTCAATTTTTAGAGAGGATGGAAAAATATGCATAAGTCAGACCCAAAAGTAAATAATATAAATAGTTCCCTGATGGCCTCTTCTCATCTTTTCTGTGTTTCCTTTCTGATTCCTTTGCCTCCAAGCTTGGGGCGTGGATCAGTCCTGTGGCTAATAAGCAGCCCTTAACATAAGCCTCATCTGAACCTCTCCCAGAATGACATTTAGGCATCTATTCTGCCTGGATATAACAAACTGAACTTGATTACTAAAATAAGTCAAACAACTAGGCAAGAACCTTAAAAGATACAAACAGACAAAACTTCAAATATCTGAGAGGTCATTATTGTTTGTTTTTGATGTCATTGTTCAGTTAAGTAGTTACAATTTGTGTAATTGTTCCTAATTTCGTTTGAGCCCTTTCTCTATAAAAGATCTGTCTCATCATTACAGAATAATATACTCTGTAAACAGATTTTATGTAGTTTATAATTATTTGATTAAAAAAGGTAAACATTAGCAGGATGTTGAAGAAATATTTTCACGTGATGTTCATTGCAGCATTATGTAGAACAACCAAGGTGGAAGCCACTTAACCATCCATTGATGGATAAATGGACAAAGAAAATGTGCTATATGCATACAATGGAATATTATTCAGCTTTAAAAGGAAGGAAATTCTGTCACATGCTACAACACGGATGAATTTTAAGGACATGATGTTAATTGAAGTAAGGCAGTCACAAAAAGATAAATACTGTAATGATTCCACTTATATGAGAGATCTAAAGCAGTTGAACTCTTAGAAATAGAAAGTAAAATGGTAGCTTCCATGGGGTGGGGGAAGTGGGAAATGGAGAGTCGTTCAATAGGTATAGGATCTCGGTTTTGCAAGATGAAAAGGTTCTAGAGAGCTGTTGCACAACAATGGGAATATACTTAATACTACAAAACTGTACACAAAATAGTTAAGGTAGTAAATTTTATGTTACATGGGGGTTTTTTTTTAACTACAATTAAACAATAGCAAAAAGAAAAGCAAGAAGGTAAACACTATATAATGAGTGATTAGCTCAATTAGAGCAGGCAATAAAATTTAGCCCTAACTTTAAACTTAATTTTAATGTAAAACAGTGTGAATTGTCTGTCTTTGAGCCAGTTAGCTCTCTCTCTGTTGTATGTTCTGATTCTACATTAGTTAGGTTGGCCAGCTCTTTTCTGAATGCTTGCCTAATGTTTCATGGAATTGCTACTGAGCTGAAAATTTCAGTGGCATGCCTTTATAACAGCTCCGTGAATGGAAAGGATAGCACATTTGCTAAATACACCACCGTGTCACATAGCATTCTAAAAGTACAACTCTCTAATCTTCTTAAGTTTAAAGGTTGAGAAGAGGCAACAAAGAAATTCCCCACTGCCTTTCCATTTTTCCTTTCAAATTAATTTTTGTTTTACATTATAACAGTATATTACATTTATAAACTCTAAAGCTGGGGAATTAAAAGGGAATTTTATTTTTAATTAAACATTTTGCTTAAACTATGCATTAGTATTTAATGGATAAAGTTCATCAACAGATTGCCCATTTTACAAGTTCATTTTCTATTATTTTATCAGGCACTGCACTATAATTAGGAGATTATATGTGTACGTTTTCTATGTGCAAATCTTGTACAGTTCTTGTAAATACTAAAAAGATGTATTGGGTTAAGTGTTTACAATTTTTTGCCAGTGACTAATTTTTGACTGTTGTAAAATAAAAATGCTTTGGGAGGCCGAGGCGGGCAGATCACCTGAGGTCAGGAGTTCGAGACCAGCCTGGCCAACACGGTGAAACTTCATCTCTACTAAAAATTAAAAAATTAGCCCGGTGTGTTGGCAGGCACCTGTAATCCCAGCTTCTCAGGGAGGCTGAGGCAGGGAGAATTGCTTGAACCTGGGAGGCAGAGGTTGCAGTGAGCCGAGAGTGCGCCACTGCACTCCAGCCTGGGCAACAGAGTAAGACTCTGTCTCAAAAAAAAAAGCTTTGGATTTAATTTTGATACGGTCCAGTTACAGAAGTGCTTGGGAGGAGTAGTGCCAAATTTAAGATCATATAGTAACAACAAGGTTTACTGGCATAGCTACATTATTTTGTACCATATTCTCTGACTGATCTTTTGTCATTCTCAGTAGTGATATGTCCTTATAGGAATGAAACAGATTTTGACAAAAATATATTGAGCTAACTTATTACTTTGTGAAATGTTCAGCTTAATTTTTGTAGGCAACATTAATTTATACTTCATTGCATTATATTCTCAAAAAATTATTGGGAGACTTACACCAAAAGTTTTTGCTCAGATTTAGATAATTACTTTTGGCTTAAGAATGTAACTCCATAGGGATTCAACTATTAGCCTTGTATGAAATTCATTTTAGTTTTAATCTCACTTGTATAGCATATTTCAATTACCTCAGTTGTATATCATTTATCCCCAATCCAAGCTAAAATTACTGCCGTGTCTTAATCATTGTGTCATTTATTTTATTTTACTATTCCCTTTTGGATAATCAAAATGCAATTAAAGTAGAATTAGAACAAAATGAAAGGTTAAGAGAAAATTATAAGCAGAAGTCTATTATAATATAGCTCTTTGTAAAGGATTTAGATACACTGTGGTTACATTGTATTCTCTTCAATGTAAAAATTAAATTTATAGTTTTCCTATTAATGTAGCCTTAGGCCTGTCTCCCAATACTAATATCGTAAAGGAATTCCATTGTCTTGGAAAATAATGGAATTTATGGTAAATGTATACATAAGGTAAATATAGTGGGACAATAATTTTTTATGTTTGTTGCAGTAGTGTTGCAATTTGCTGTACAGAAAGCATTGCTGATTGTGTAGAATATGCTTATAGTGCTGGTGCCACTTACTGGCAGGGATCAAGGATTCAAATGAAATTAAGAAACAAAAGTTAGAGAGTGAAAGTAGTCATAAAAATAGTTTTAATTCTTTCATTTTGACAAATGTTTTTATTTTTGAAATTATTTTTCCAGTAAGCTATTTACTAATGAGCAAACGAGGGCTTCCATCTATTGAACAATTTTAGACCTTAATATTCTTCACTCGCCAGATCCTACCTGCTTCCTCATGCTCTCAGCAGATGGCTTTTCTTATCTCCTAAGGCACAGAGAGGATCAAGTCTATCAGGAGACAATTTTCTCGACTTCCTATTTCCTCCTCCACCTCTTTCTATTAACATAGCTCTGTCTAGGCCAGGACATAGCTTACTCTCTTCATTTTAGAGGAATTGTTTTTCCCACTGTCTGAAATTTAATCTCCATTTGTTTTGCTGATCCTCTTCCTATGATTTTGAATGTTTTGTAGCAGACTACTCCCTCTCTTATACCTTTGTTTTCCCAGGATCTCATCTTGGCCTGTAAACATGCTGCTGTCTCAGTACCAAATAAGACAAAGCAAAAACACATTCACAAACCCACATCCCTACAAAACCCTTTATTGACTCTATTCTATCCGCTGACTTCTACTCTATTCACTATCTTATTTTTCTAATTCATTTGTAACTGAAATTATCCCAAGAAGATGACAATTGTCTCCACCTCTTTCTCTCTTTTTTGCACCTGAACTCACTGCAGTCCACTTCCATCATATAATTAAAAATTATCTTTCCAAATCATCAGAGTCCTCATTGTTAAATCTGATGCTTTTCAGCTATTTTCTCACTGTATCTCTCAGTGTTCGGCATTAGTGGCCATGTTGTCTATGAAACATTCTCATCACTTGTTTTCCCATTATACCAATCTTTCATAGCTTGTGGAATATCTTTTTGGCTCCTTCTTCTTTTAGCTTTCCTAAAACATGCATACTCCCTAGTAGTCTGTGCTTAGACCTCTCTTCTTTTGTTTTGTTTTCTTTTTTTTTTTTTTTTTTTTGGAGACAAGGTCTCACTCTCAGGCTGGAGGCCGAGTGCAGTGGCGCGGGCTCGGCTCACTGCAACCTTCGCCTCCTGGATTCAAACGATTCTCCCACCTCAGCCTCCCGAGTAGCTGGAATTACAGGCCCAGGCCAGCACGCCTGGCTAATTTTTTCTGTTTTTTGGTAGAGACAGGGTTTCACCATGTTGGCCATGGCTCGTTTTCAATTCGTGACCTCATGTGATCCTCCTACCTCGGCTTCCCAAAGTGCTGGGATTACAGGCGTGTGCCACAGCGTCCGGCTAATTTTTGTATTTTTAGTAGAGATGGGGTTTCACCATATTGGTCAGGCTGATCTCAAACTCCTGACCTCCAGTGATCCACCCACCTCGACCTCCCAAAGTGCTGGGATTACAGGAGTGAGCCAACATGCCCGGCCAGACCTCTTTGCTTTCTAATCTACACACTTTCTGTGAAAGGCTTTATTTAGGTTGCTGGCTTCAACTATGACCTGCATGCAGATGAATCTCAGACCCACCTTTCCATCCCAGATTTCTCTTCTGGGCCTTTGATCCCGACTGTGCTACAGGCACCTCAAAGCCAACGTGTTCAAAACTGAAGTCTCCACTGAGTCTGGTCCTCTTCTGGGTGCTTTCTTGTTCAGTGGATGAGCAGCTAGCCAGTTAACCAAGATAAACTGGGACACAGTCTTGGTTTCAACGTACCGTCTTCACATTATGTCTAATTAGTGGCAGAGTCCTGTAAATGTTATATTTTTAATATCTCTGATCCATCCCCTTCTTTTGTCACTGGCTGAATTTAGAAACAGTTACCCTACTACTCTTTTTAAATCCAACCTTGATCCCATTAAAATCCATTCTTCAGCTTAAAAAATAGTAAGTTTTTGAAAACACAAAACCAGATCATGTCATTCATTGTCCAGTTTAACACCTTTAATAACTCTTCATTGCCTTTAGAGAAAAATTCTAACTCATTAGCATGGTAGAGCAAGTCCTTTCTAATTTGACCCCTACTGACTTTCCAAACTCATCTTGTAATACACTCTGCCATTTATTACCTGCAGCCATCACTCAAATTTTAGCAGACCACCCTCAGTTTGTGGAAAAGGCCAAGTGCTCTCCTGCCTCTATATTTTTACACACTCTATTATTGCTGTTTGGTACATCCTTCCTGTCCCTTTCACATTTGTATATCCTTCAAAACTCAGGGCAGGCATCAACTCCTCAGAGAAATGTTCCAGTTTGGTTTCATTGTCTGTCTTGTGAGCTCACTGTAAATCCTGTGCTTAGCTCATAGGGCTTTTTCATTTATATTAAAATTATTTTGCTCCCCAAACTCCTGGAGAGCAGGGACCTTTATCTCTGATTTCTCAGTGACTGAGAACACAGTAATTGTTGTTCAGTAAATGGAAAAGAATGAATGAAGATGAAAAGAAAATTAGCTGTTGTGTTACAGCCTAAGAAAGAACTTGAGATTCTGTTCTAGCTCATAGTGAGATTTGAGAGAGCCACTCAGTTTTGGTACTTAGAAGATAGAATCAATTGTGATGATGATTTCTATTTTTCCTTTGGACAGATTTTGATAATAGAATATCCTAGGTATAGAATTTTAGGACTAGAATATATGTTAGAAATTAAGGATGTGTCTACTAGCCACATATATTTTAGATTTTGTAATGTCAAAGAAATATAAAAGTATATATACATGACTAAAAGACAAGATGCAACATCCTCTGATAATTACTCTTGAAGCAATCTTGCTTATTATTTTCAGTGGTGTAATGTATATAAAAATGGACCCATTGTAATAAAGCTTTTCCTAAGATATTCTTCTAGAAAAATTAACATTTCCTTGGCTTTATTGTAATCTGTAATGTTTTTGAAACATGACTGTTGTATAAGTTCTTAATTAACAAAGTACAAAATAAGAATCATTGTAACTATATAATTTCAAAATCAAAAGGAGAAAAGTGCTTTCCTTTTTTTTTTTACCAATTCAGAAAATTATTTACCAATTCAGAAAATTTAACAACCATAAGCAAGTAAGTTTCCATTGCCATTTTTAGTCTCTACCTTGTCAAAAGTAATGATTGAACAGTAAACTAATTCAGTCAACTGAGTGTTTTATCTCCTTGACCTATAATAATGGGTTTGGCTTTTGCCTGTATTTCCTGGAATTGTAAAAAAATCAGCCAGTAATTTTGATATCCTGGAATTATTAGGAGCTAAAATGTATTATCAGGCACTACAGTTGCAAAGTTTTACACAACTATTCTTTAGACATTTTTGGACCTGTGTGGAATGGTAAAAACAATAGATATATAATTCAAAGTAAATTTGAAAACCAGTCTAATAAACTGACATGTCTAAAGATGCTTTAATCTAAAAAGTCAAAAGTAAACAAATAGCCAAAATATAAACATTAGTACTCCCACAAAACCTGCAAATCCTTCTCAAATCTACCACCTAAATATTTCTCGTTTGTGAGAATTTCTACCTGTAACCTCGTTCATTGGCTCTTGTTCTACCTACTTATGGAGGACTCTAGCCTCATAAATTCCTGGAACGTCTGAAAGTCCTCACATATATATACACACAAACAAGTCTCATCAATTACTGAGTGGCCTTACCCTTGCTCTCCTACACTCTCCCTCCCCTGTCCTATTTTCCCACCTCCTTCAGCTGCACTTCCAAGATTTGTCTTCTCTAAGCCAGTCTGGGGAGACATCCTCTATTTTGGTTTAATACACTTAGAAAGTTGCCAAAGTACCATTGCCTTGTGTCCCAATTGTTTAATGAGATTTTAGGGCAACTAGCTCTTAAATCAGTGGAGACAGGGCTAGGAACCATTCCATATTGTCTGCTTTTCTTGTTATATGCGTCACCACCCCAAATGCAAGCCTCTCCATGCACCAATAAATTCTTCTTTCTTGACTTTTTTAAAAAAATTATTTTTAACTGACATAATAATTGTATATATTTATGCGGTATTTATGTGATGTTTTGATACATGTTTATATTATGGAATAATTAAATCAAGACAATCAACAAATCCATTAAGTACTTTTTTTGTGATGAAAACATTTAAAGTCTACTCTTTTTAGCAATTTTGAAATACACATTATTATTTATGATAGGCACCATTCTGTGCAATAGATCACAAAAGCTCATTCCTCCTGTCTGACTGAAACTTCACACCCTTTGATCAACATCTCCTCCTTCCCCACCCACCCCTCTCCCCTACAACAATAAATTCTTGAACAGAGGAATCACATCTTACTTGGACGATGGATTATATAGTTATGAGAGGTGACAGCGTGTGCCCTTGCTCGCTCTCGGCGCCTCCTCGGCCTTGGCGCCCACTCTGGCCGCGCTTGAGGAGCCCTTCAGCCCACTGCTGCACTGTGGGAGCCCCTTTCTGGGCTGGCCAAGGCCGGAGCCGGCTCCCTCAGCTTGCGGGGAGGCGTGGAGGGAGAGGCACGGGTGGGAACCAGGGCTGCGCGCAGTGCTTGCGGGCCAGCGCGAGTTCCGGGTGGGTGTGGACTCGGCGGGACCCGCACTCGGAGCGGCCGGCTGGCCCTGTCCACCCTGGGCAATGAGGAGCTTAGTACCTGGGCAAGCAGCTGCGGAGGGTGTGCTGGGTCTCCCAGCAGTGCTGGCCCACCGGCGCTGCGCTCGATTTCTCGCGGGCCTTAGCTGCCTTCCCGCGGGGCAGGGCTCGGACCTGCAGCCCGCCATGCCTGAGCCTCCCCGGCCCCACCGCTTGGTGGGCTCCTGTGCAGCCGGAGCCTGCCGGACGAGCGCCGCCCCCTGCTTCACGGCGCCCAGTCCCATCGATCACCCAAGGGCTGAGGAGTGTAGGCGCACGGCGTGGGATGGTCAGGCAGTCCCACCTGCAGCCCCAGTGCGAGATCCACTGGGTGAAGCCAGCTGGGCTCCTGACTGGTGGGGACTTGGAGAATCTTTATGTCTAGCTAAGGGATTGTAAATACACCAATCGGCACCCTGTGTCTAGCTCAAGGTTTGTAAACACACCAATCAGCACCCTGTGTCTAGCTCAGGGTTTGTGAATGCACCAGTCCACACTCTGTATTTAGCTACTCTGGTGGGGACTTGGAGAACCTTTGTGTTGACACTCTGTATCTAGCTAATCTAGTGGGGAGGTGGAGAATCTTTGTGTCTAGCTCAGGGATTGTAAACTCACCAATCAGCACCCTGTGTCTAGCTCAGGGTTTGTGAATGCACCAATCGACACTCTGTATCTAGCTACTCTGGTGGGAACTTGGAGAACCTTTGTGTCCACACTCTGTATCTAGCTAATCTAGTGGGGACCTGGAGAACCTTTGTGTCTAGCTCAGGGATTGTAAACGCACCAATCAGCACCCTGTCAAAACAGACCACTTGGCTCTCTGTAAAATGAACCAATCAACAGGATGTGGGTGGGGCCAGATAAGAGAATAAAAGCAGGCTGCCCCAGCCAGCAGTGGCAACCCACTCGGGTCCCCTTCCACACTCTGGAAGCTTTGTTCTTTTGTTCTTTGCAATAAATCTTGCTACTGCTCACTCTTTGGGTCCACACTGCCTTTATGAGCTGTAACACCGCGAAGGTCTGCAGCTTCACTCCTGAAGCCAGCAAGACCACGAACCAACTGGGAGGAACGAACAACTCCAGACGCGCCGCCTTAAGAGCTGTAACACTCACAGCGAAGGTCCGCAGCTTCACTCCTGAGCCAGCGAGACCACGAACCCACCAGAAGGAAGAAACTCCGAACACATCCGAACATCAGAAGGAACAAACTCCAGACGCGCCACCTTAAGAGCTGTAACACTCACCGCGAGGGTCCATTCTTGAAGTCAGTGAGACCAAGAACCCACCAATTCCGGACACAGTTAGTATTTAAGACAAAATTAGAATTATTTTTGGAAATCCTTTAAATTATCCATAAAGGATAGTGAATATAGTTTTGAGGATATAGCTCTGTTCAGGAGTTCTTTGAGAACCACCAAGGTGGACAAGAGGAAAGAACAAAGAGAAAGGATATAGGCAGGTGTGTCTGACCTGTCTTCGAGGTAACCACTACATCCTTGGAGGTAAAAAGGGTTGAGGATTCTGGAATGTTCCAGCTTGACTGCTGATTACATCACTCTGTTTTAATATTAAGCCTTTATAATCTTAACACACATACACTTTGCTTTGTGGTTCTGAGGATTAAATAAGATAATATATGCAGATGAGCCTAGCTCAGGCCCTGCCATATAGTAGATGCTCAAAAAGTGTTTGCTGGATTCAAGGCTAAATCTTGCTTGGTCAGATGAACATGTGTACTGTTCTTCGAAAACGGCCACCTGTTTCCTGTTTTTCCAACTTGCTTTTTCTCTTTGAACAGCTGTTAGTTTCACGGCCGTTGAAGTGGAGTCACAGGGTTAGGAAGATCTAAAGTCAGCCTGTCTGGTAAACGTGCATGTCATGAGGGTCACTAAACTCTCAGCCCAACCGCGCACTTCTTTGTACATGTCTCTTCCGACTCAACAGACCTGCGTTATCCTCCCTGTTGCTCCATCCTCTAAAACCCCTCTTTCTTGAGTAACAAACTGTCCAGTATTGCTAGACTTTTATCTGACTTCTCCAATTCCTTTCCTTACCTGACACCCATATGGGCACTCAGCCAGGCGTTTTTTTTGTTTTTTGTTTTCTCTGAGACAGGGTCTTGCTATGTCACCCAGGCTGGAGTGCAGTGGTGCAATCTTGGCCCACTGCAGCCTCAACCTCCCGGGCTCAAGCGATTCTCCCACCTCAGCCTCCTGAGTAGCTGGGATTACAGGCACAGGTCACTACACCTGGATAATTTTTGTATTTTTTGTAGAGACAGGGTTTCGCCTTGTTGCCCAGGCTGGTCTTGAGCTCCTGGTTACAAGCGATCCACTGCCTTGGCCTCCCCAAGTGTTGGGATTACAGGCGTGAGCCACCATGCCCAGCAGAGATTTTTTTTTTTAATTGTATAAATCTGATGTACTTTTTGGTTTGTTCCATGCTCCATTTTTTTTTTTCTTTTTCTCTTTTTTTTTCCTACCAAAAAAAGGCAAAACCTTCCATGTTCTTCAAGGCCAGCAGTGGGTGAGTTTCTTCCTGGCTTCCCAGGGTTGCTTCCAGACCATCGCTCCTTATTAAAACCCTGCTCCTTGTCCTTTCTCCTCATAATATCGGTTAACGTTTATTGAACACTTCTAGGAGCTAGACAGTGTACTAATCATTTTGCATAAATTATTTCGCTGAAAACTCACAAAAACCCCATAAGATAGGAACAAACCTTATCATATCATTGTGAGGTTTAAAGAGGACAAAAAACTTATTCTCATTTGTGTAATGTGAATTCAGAAGTGTCTAACTCATTGGCTTATTGTGAGGTATAAATATATGTAAAGTACTTAGTAGATACCATCTGAGTGTTTGGTGTTATTTTTGTTGCCGCCAGGGTCTCTGTGAGAAGGTGGTTAAGCTGGGATTCAAACTCTAGCAGTCTGACTTTAGAGCACGTATCCTTAGTCATTATGCATGGCCAGGTGATGTTTTACCAACCTCTCTTCATTCAGGGGAGATATCCCTGGCTTACAGCTTTCGAAGCCAACTCTGCTGTAGTTCTCATAGGCTGTTTCATAATGCCTAGGCTGACTCATTCTCCACCATTGCTCTTATTTCCTTTGCCTTCTGATATGGTTTGGATCTGTGTCCCCACCTAAATCTCATGTTGAATTGTAATCCCAGTGTTGGAGATGGGGCCTGGTGGGATGTGATTGGATCATGGGGGTGGATTTCCTCCTTTGGTGCTGTTCTTGTGATAGAGTTCTCACGAGATCTATTTGTTTAAAAATGTGTGGTTAATCCCCCTGCCCCCACTCCTGTTCCAGCCATGTAAAACGTGCCTGATTTCTCTTTGCTTTCTGCCATGATCGTACATTTCCTGAGGCCTCCCCAGAAGCAGATCTTGTCATGCTTCCTGTACGTCCTGTGGAACTGTGAGCCAATTGAACTTCTTATTAATTACCCAGTCTCAGGTATTTCTTTATAGCAATGTGAGAATGGACTATTATACCTTTTCTGTGACAATGTTCTTCTTTTAGCTTCTCTACCTTAACTGCCAAAACATCCTGCATCCTGCCTCTGAAATTTCTGACTCAGGTACTGTATTCCACTTTCCAGCTGCAGGCTAGTATCATTTCACTGAGAACTCCACTCCATTAATGCCACCACAGTTTCATTATCTATCAACTATCCCTCACTTCCCTTTTTGTCCAGCTTAGATTTTATGGTAGAAGTCATAATCATGTCCCTACAGACACTCTCACCTCCCTTATTCAGTTCTGCGATGAGCACACTCATCTGCCACAACTTTAGCACTGGTTGGACCTATCTACCTTCTTTGTATTTAGATCTGAACAAATGTGTATGGCTGGAGAAAAATCAATAAGGAGGCTGCCTGTTTCATTAAATAAATTCATCATCATATTTAGGTGCCTTAAATAGGTACTCTGCACTGCCTGACAGTGTTTCCCTAATAAACTTAATCATTCTCAAGAGAACTGTTTTATACTTTCTCCCCTCCCCCTTACATCTTACTCACTCTCACTGATGACCTCATTTCTTATTTCATTAACAAAATAAAAGTAATGAGATAGGAACTCTTTAAACTTCCCATTGTCAGGCTCTGTATGGCAGACACGCCTGATAGCCGTAACTTAAGCATACACTGAGAATGATCCTGTATGGCAGATGCACCTGAATATGTGTTCAGAGTTACAAGTTAAGGAAACTGGGAGTGGCCAACTCAGAAATTCATTTCTTATCTATGAAGAACATATGAACCTCCACCTGTCCCATGGAACACGGGCTGTGCAGGGGGTTGAGGCCCTTTGTTTTGGGTTAAATGAAGGCTGTGAGGTGGAGGTTGCTGGAGGAGGATGCTATGCAAAAATGCTATATAAATTGCATGTTTTTTGCAAGTGGTAGCAGTTCTGTCATCCAACCCATTGCCACTGGGCCACTCTGTATCTAAGTCCCCTTAGTAAACCCTATGTCTTGTTTGCTCGCTCTGGGTCTCTTCTTGAGCCTCTTGAACCTGATACCATCCCTAATGAAGTTAATAGGGATCCAGCTTGACAGGTCCATAAAACCACCCCTGCATTAGTTCCCTCCTTTCCTTGCTTCTTGTTAATGTAGAGGAAGTGTCCCTCTTCTTGTCAAAGACCAGCCTCTACATGTGTTCTGGATCTGACTCCCTACTGTTTTCGCAAGGACTTTTCTGCATGTCTAACTCTCCCTCTCAGTGGGGATTCTTCTCTTAGCATTCCGCAGTGTTCCAGGCTGGCCCCTCTTAAAAGCTCTCCTGCAGCTGCATATACTTTTCAATTTCCGGGTAGCTTAGATCTGAAGTGGACCGCTGTCTGCAGTCTCTGTCTCTGCTTCCTTACCCCACATTCACTTTATCCCCACCTCATCAGCCCTCTCCTATTTGGCATCTACACCACTGTTCCACTGAAACTGCCTTTGTGAAGGTCTCCGATGAGCTTGATGCTGTCAAACCAATGGATGCTCTCCAGTCTTTAGTTAACTTGCTCACAGTATGGCTCCATCTTTTCTTTCAGAATCACATCTCCTTAGAGAGGCCTTACCTAATGACTCAGCCTGAAATATTCTCTCCCTTCCCCCCCTGTGGTGTTATTACATCACTCTGCTTCATTTTCTTCATAGCACTTATTATCTGAATTTATCTTGTGCTTATTTGTTCATTTGTTCACTGTATGTCTCATGCCTCCACCTAGAACAGTGCCTGGCACATCACAGATGCTCAATAAGGATCTCTGGAGTGACAGACAATGCTTTATTTAGAATCATCTCTCCCCTTCAACAACTCAGCTTTTGTTAACTGGATGGAGTTTGTCTGCCTGACTCTCTCTAACATCAGGATGAGTTCACTGCTGACAAGCTGCCTTGCCCGTCAATCAAGGAGATTTCCTGGTGGGCCCTCTCATTTTTGGACATATCTAAGCCCCATGTATGATCGGCCTCATTTTGGATCTGGGCTTTCCCTCCCTTTATTCCTTCTTTTATTCTGACTCACTCACATTATTCTGGCCACAGGTTTCTAGTCTTTTATTTTCTTTTTCAATATGAGCCTCAGTTATAAAACCTCCTTCTTTCTAAACACTAACTACAGGCTTCTCTGTTGATGGTAATGAACAGGCATCTCAGAACCAGTTTGGGAATGTAGCAGTCTTACATTTGCCCCATAGTCTGGAAAACTTCCTTGTTTTAGGGCCAGCTGGCTAAGCTCCAGATCTTGTCTCCAGTCTTCTGAAATCTTAAGTATCTGGGTCAAAGTTATTTGCAGACTTGACTTTGGTTATTTAGCCACAAAACTATTGTGGCCATCCTGCGCAGCATACTGACAGTGAAAATTAGGCGTGTTCCAATGATAAGTCCAACCTGTATGTTTTTCTAGGGTGTGTTTGACCAGCATGACAGGGAAAACCAGCAAAAGTACCAGAAAGAATATCCAATTAATAAATATCACCAACTGCCAGCCAGACAATGTTATTTTCCATTCTTCTATTGTTAAACAAACATGAAAACAAAACCCACAAAGTTATCATTGAGAAATTTTTAATGATAACTTCACTGTATGTTTTCTTTGAATTTGTTTCTTTTAACCATGATTTAATGTTAACACAAATATTCCTATATGCACAGAAGCGTAAACATTTTCTTGAGACCTGGACTCAGCATGGGTATATGCTAGAAATCTAATACTAAAAAAATGCCCAGAGCATGACCCAGTGCCATTGGTTGTTCAACTTCAGCCCTTATTCTGACTATGTCCAATAGCTGTATCTAGGGTGGTCATTTAATTTATCATCCAAACTGGGATACTATTAATAATTATGCTGGAATAGTATGAGTAGACATGGGCTGTTCTGAGAAAATGGAAACGTATGGTCATTCTTACCCTAACTTTGTATAATAAGTGTGGAACTCTCCAGCCTTCCCCAAGCAAACAAAGGCTCTGGCCTTTGCAGCTGTAACTCAGTACTGCCCTTGGTCCACAGGCTTGAAGGTGTACAGAGGCACAATTAGTCACTAACTAGAGCCTTCTTTAATTGCTATAAGTGCATTTTAGTTATCTTTTCACAAATTCATGATAACAGGGACCATATTAAGATTTACCACTGGGCTTGGTGGCTCACGCCTGTAATCCCAGCACTTTGGGAGGCTGAGGTGCACAGATCACCTGAGGTCAGGACTTTGAGACTAGCCTGGCCAACATGGTGAAATCCTGTCTCTACTAAAAATACAAAAATTAGCCAGGCCTGGTGGTGGGCACCTGTAATCCCAGCTACTCAGGAGGTTGAGGTAGGAGAATCACTTGAACCTGGGAGGTGGAGGTTGCAGTGAGCTGAGATTGCACCACCGCACTCCACCCTGGGCAACAAGTGCAAGACTCCATCTCAAAAAAAAAAAAAAGGTTTCCCACCCCACTTCCCACAAAATAAAGTAGGCCCTCAAAAATTCACTTTTAGAAAGAAGGAACTGAGAGGGAGGCTTGACGGAACAAGCTTCCATTTTCCTAACACAATGACTGTCTAATTCAACCCATAGGCTGTTATGGTAAGTTTGTGTGTGTTTGTGTGTTGGGCATGGTGGAGCGGGTGGGAAAACAGAGTAGAAAAGTACTGGGATTGGAATTAGAGCTAAATTTGCTTCTCTGCCCAAACTGTGAGGTACATATATACATATATATGTGTGCATGTGTGTGTGTGTGTGTGTGTGTGTGTTTGTGTACACACACACTTAATGGAAGAAACATATGAACCAATGAGTTTCTTAGAGAAAGTTTCTTAAATGACTGCCAAAAGCAAACAAATAATCAATTGGAAAATGCTTATATTCCAATAAATTTTTTAAAAAGTTCATGGTACCAGATTACTCTTCTTCTCTCCTTTGGGGTCATCAACTCCCACCTCCCTCTTGTTGGCAGCCTTGAGCTAAAGGCTAAACTATATTTGAGCATTTCCAGTGGTAGTAAAATTGTTATCTGCCTTTGAACAGCTGTCTTTTTGTTGTTTTATTTCATTTTAAAATAAAAATAAATATGCACATAAAAATTGTGCATATTTATGGGGTTCAGTGTGACGTTTCAATACATGTATACATTGTATAATCATCAAATCAAAGTATTTAGTGTACCCTCAAACATGGATCATTTCTTTGTGGTAAGAAAGCTCTGACTCTATGTCTTTCTTTAATTGAACTGAAATCTGTCATCCCAGGTGACCAACTGTTCTGGTTTGTCTGGAGCTGTCCTGTTTTAACACTGAAAATTCTGCATCCCAGGGCATCCGTCAGTCCTGGGCAAACCAGGACAGTTGGTCACTCTGCCTCTAATTGCCATCTGTTGGCCTTATTCTCCATCTTGGGCTATGCGAAGAATGCTATTTTTTCTTCCAAACAACATCCATTTTGACACATTTAAGGCACATTCCTCTAGCTCCAATCATTCTTACCTGACACAGCTTTAGATTGTTTACTTTCCACTATATATGCTCAGAGTGCACTATCCCCTGTTCCAGGAGGAGCTTTCTGTTCCAATCCACGTTTCCATAGAGAAGGGGAATTTCTCTTCCCTCTCCCTGGGGAGGGTGGGTGTGAACACTGGTTTCATCCTCCACATTCTCTTTCATCCCTCTGAGAGGAAGAGTTACAGTAAACCTGGTTTTTGAGAATCCCACATCCTTTGGGCCAAGGGTCTCACAGTGGCCAGGATTCCTCGACCTCAGAGGTGACAAACAGGCTCTGTACTGCCTCTTCCACTGCCTGCCTTGGCCTCATGGATTCACAGAAAGAACCTGGCTCTCCTCCTTCCTCTTTTCTGCCTCTAAGCAGTGAACACATTCAATGTAGAGAGGCAGCCTAGAAGGAAGTTTCATGTTTTTGCTGTAATTTCCAATTTCCCTACTTCCTGGGTGAATGCTTAGGTCAGCTATGCCCTGTAAGCTTGGTTGTTTTTCGTTTAGAGTGGGTGGGAAGGAGGAGGCCCCCCACTTTCTCCTGTTTTTCTAGAGCGCCCAGCACATTGAAAGGTACACTTGTCATAACAAGTCTAATTCTTTGATTCCTCTTTTGGTTTAATTTCCCACACTTTTTTCTTCCTTGCTTGCAGTAGTGATGGAAAGGAGAAGTGAATCTCTGAACTTTAAAGTTCATTAACCTGGCCTGTAAGATGTGGAGTAGCACTGAGTACAACACTGAGTGCCACACTCAACTTTATTTGCTCCAGTTCTAGCACTTCTTTAATCCAGCCTGTGACCAAATCAGTTTCGTACTGACTTTATTGTAGATTCAGTTTTCTTACTGATAACTGACATCCCTGATAAGGCACACATTTCTCCCCACATGTGTGCATTGATTGCTTGTATCAAAGTCCAAAGATTTGATAATCTCTGTTTCTGCTATTCCCTTCTCAGCTCACGGCTATGAGGCTCCTGGTCCCCAACACTTCAGAGCAAATGCTACCACTAAGCTTACTGATGACTTTCACTAAATGATGATCTTCATCTGTGACTCCTCCGCCTTATCTCTATTCACTTACTCTTCTGTGCCTCCTTCAAACCAATGGCTTTATCTATCACCTATGTATTGATGATTCTCAAACCTATACTCATGTTCCTGACCTCTCTTCTAGGCTTCATATTCACATAATCCACTTGTTTGCAAGAGAGCTCTATCCAGATATCATACTTGCACCTTAAATTCAACATGTTCCAAATCAAATTCATTATCTTGGTATAAGATTTTGATTTTACTCCAGTATTACCTATATTGGAGACTGCAACCACTATTCACATAGTCTTTTAAGTCAGAAATCTGATTACTCTTTATAGTTCTCCTCTCTTTTTCTTTCTCCATCTTTAATAGGTCCTGTTAACCCCACTTCCTAAATATCTTTTACAACCTTCTCTTGCTCTTTGTTCTCATTGTCGCTACTTTTCTGTGCCCTTTCCTTTTGGCATTGCTTCAGCAGCTTCTGAATTGTTCTGTCCGCCTCCAGTCCTGGCTGGCCCCATTGTCCACACTGTTGCCAGAGGACCCTTTCTAAATGGCAAATCATACCACGTCATGCCCTACTTTCTAAATCCTCCATAACCGCTCATATTCTTCAGAATATGGATCAGATGTTTGGTTTAATATGGAATGTGTTTCATGGCTTGTTCCCTGACTATGCTTTAGCCACATGTCCTGCCACGTCCCTGCCTCTTGCACCATCCTTCCTCCCATTCTCAACAACCTGAGAGTTCAAGAGTGTGTTACGCTGCTCTATGCCCCAGTGCCATTTCCACACACACTGCTTCCTCTACCTGGAGTGCCACTTGTCTCTCTCCCCCAGCAAACTCCAGCCCACCTACCCTTCAGGCTTATGTGAGGACTCACCCTCTGCAGATGTTCCCCCGACCCCATTATCTCCTCACCAGCAACCAGTCTCATTTTTGATGCTCCTATTGAAATCTAACTAAAACTCATGGCTCAATAGATGGCCATTGCAGCTCTACACTGAGGTGGCTCAAAAGATTATTTATGGGTGGAGTGTAGACTTTTCTGTAGAAAGCCCTTCTACATCTATACTATCAACAAAACATATATATATGATCAATGTCCCAAAGCTATACTATAGAATGCATGGGCACGTGTATGTGTGTGCGTGTAGATGGTGGTGGATATAACATATCCTGGAATATTTTCAAAGGAAGACTTGTCAGTTGCCTGTAACAGTCAGAGGGAGTTCTTAGTAGTTTGTTCAAGAAACGTCTGGTTTAGTGAAACTGAGCAACAGAGCTTCCCAGTGAAACTGCCAAGTTCCTATGTAACCACATGAATGATTGTTAGATGGAATTATTGAATATAAACTAATTAAACCAGGGAATAGCTGCCAAAAATAATGATTTTTATCTTTAGAATTATTGGTCATAACCTATTCTTTCTAACACTCAGACAGCTGAACCAATTAATTTTCTATTACTGTTATTAGTTCATGACAATAAAACTTTGTCATCAGCATAGGAAAGGGATATTTTTCTTTCTCTCTATAGTTGAAGACTGTGCGTTTAAATATCCTGAGGGGGTTTTGCTTCATTAAAATATGTTTAAGAGGTTTAAATTATAATTTGATCTTTTAGGAAGCTTTCTACGGATCCCACTTCTCACAGTGATGCTAAAGAGAAGGTTCTGTATAAGAATTGCCAGCTGGGGGGCATCCAGCTTAAACTAAAGCTCTTGGTTTGCAGAGTTGAAAGCTGAGGACAGTCAACAATCTTTCATTTATACCAAAATGACTGCCTGTGTGGCCAATACTTGTTATACTTTTGTCTTGACAAATGTCTTCACAAGGTGATTAAAGTTTAACAGGGTCTACATTGAGATAGGGAACACTGAAAATTGCCAGCTCGACTCATGCTTTTTTAGCCTAAAAATTTAGAACTAAATGGACATATGGGTTACC
This sequence comes from Homo sapiens, assembly GCF_000001405.40. Taxonomy (NCBI): domain Eukaryota; kingdom Metazoa; phylum Chordata; class Mammalia; order Primates; family Hominidae; genus Homo; species Homo sapiens. The sequence goes on from NC_000006.12 coordinate 119,452,076, forward strand.
TACAAACGTGACTGTAGTTTGAATAAGCAAAGGATTGTTTATTTTTACAAATGAGACAACTGATATTTCATACCTAGCTAGCAAATATCACACCTAGATGTAATAAAGACCAATTAATTCTCAAGAATTGAGAGCCATCAGTGAGAACAAACAAATTCATTTTCTGGATATGGTTTATAAAACAGAGAAAAATAAGTCTCCTAGGTGCTAGTAAGAATCCAGGCTTCTGCAGACTGTACCTGATCCGTGCCACAGATAAGTTCATCCCCAATTACACCTAGATGTTTAATATCTAATTAAATTGATAAATGTCAAAAAAAGTTGTGTCGAAGAACATGTAATTAAGAAAATTCTTATCAATGTATATTTCATGAAAAACAAAATATTTAAATGAAAAAGCTTAACAAAAGCATATATAGTACGATCTTAATTTTTAAAGATGCATATATATGCCTATAAAAACATTGATGAAGCATTTGGAAAGGCATTTTATTTGTTTGTTTATTTTGAATAATTAAAGTGAGGGGAAATGGCCAACACCATTTAACTATGCTTCAAAATCCATCCTCAGGATTATAGTAAGCAGATAGAGGCAAACTGTACTGTAGTCTCCAAACATGTGGCCCTCCAGAGATGGGTACAGGAATGAACATCTCCTCCATCTTCTCTCAAGTGCTATCTTGGTTTCTGTTTTTGATTCTTTTTGGTGAGGAGTTTTTAACAAGAGCTGACATAGCTGATCCTAGAAGAATGGCACGGGAGGAGATGGCCCTCTACCACACCGACCCTGGCAGAGCATGGTACTCTGTGGGTAATCAGTTCACACAGAGCAGTTTTCAACTGTACTGCAATTGTTTGTCTTCACTACCATACAGTTGTGCTCATTATTTCTCGATGTGCACATATCTGGAGAAGCCCAGAACTTCTGGCTCTTACATGGAGGACCCCAGTGCAGATGAACCATTTTCACTGAAGAAAGACATTAGGATTGGTTTGGGGAGGCGAAGTAATGTTTTTCCTTGTTGCTGTCTCTGTCATATGGTACATAGGCATATGGAAGGAAGGGTAACCACTCCTGACATCACTGTGAGCATTGTGTGGGCATGTGTGTTTGTGCGTGTGTGTGTGTGTGTGTGTGCGTGCTTGTGTTCATGGGTGCATGAGGGGGTATGAAGAGGATGTGGTGGCTTGGTCTGTAGGATCAAAGGGCTTGAGCAGCATGGGTGGACGTTGCCTGCACACACAGGGATAGAAAAAGGCATGTTTTTGTTTCTGGTGGTTGGGGCAGATGGTGGGCTCATTCCAGCCTCTGTGTGCTTCGAGAAATGAGAAATCAGGCAGCACAGGGAGCTGAGCGGGCCCGGAGCTGGTCCTGCTAGGTTATGAGTGAGTGAAGGAGTGGGCTGTGTGTGTGTTTCCAGCTTCTACTGTGGGAACGACTTCCATACAGGCCTTAAATAGGAAAACTACTAGCAATTCTAGCTCAGTATCCTTTTTAGATATGCATGAGGAGAGAAAGTTGGGAGACACACATTCAGCTGGCAGGAAGTTCCTTTTTTGTGCCGACTCAGACATGGTTGAAAGCTGTCTCTACAGGACAGTACTCATGGCATTTTAGGCTGAAGCTTTGAAGCTTTGCCTCACTGCAGCTATTTATAGAGGAGCTGATTTTTATAAGAACAGAAAGTGTATTCTTGAGGGCAAGCTTTCCTTTCTTTTAAGATTTCTTGAAAAGATTTAGAAAGGTTAAACAGTTACTACAGAATCTTATGGTAAAAGGCATAACACTGTTTAGAGTAAATAAGGGAGTCTTTATGAAAACACCATGATGCATATACAGTAGCTTCTGCATGAATCAAATTGTATGCTTTGAAAGCATAATTGATATTCTTAGGTGGGATGATGGCTTGGTCCTGTCAGTATACTGAATAGACCAGTGCCAGCCTGTAAGGGATAATGATTAAATCAAAAGAAATGACACCAGCAGAGGAGAACAAATAACCCATATTAGAATATCAGCATGAACTTGAGTTTGGGAATTATTTATAACCTTGAAATTCAAAAATAATTTCTAGGGAGCACATATGAACACATACAGATGACTTGTCTCAGCATCTAATAGAAACTGCTTTTCACTGGTTTAAGTAAATGGTAATTCTTAGGTGGAATTGTGTATCTCTGTTAGGAAGATTATGATAATTTGCTTGGTCTTGGAAATCATATGAATAAAAAAAGAGCACAATTCATAGATGGAGGGCCTCTTTTTTCTTCTTTCACTTTTTCTTAGCATATACATTTTAAAAAGTAACTATTTCAGAAAGCAAAATGAATACAAGTTATTGATAGAGTGTGTTGCAGAAGAATTTTTCTTTTTGAGCTTACAGTTCCTATGGGAAGGAATGCAGAATTCTTCTAGCTATTGAAAAGCATTGGAGTGTGATGGCAGAGCTTAAATAATGTCCTGTTTTTAGTCAGGGAAAGGGTTCGATATGTCCCTTGTGTACCATGGTGAGAACAAATATACAAATACTTACATGACATTGGGCTGTCTTCCTCTAAATGTTTTTGTTCTGTCAGTGGTGTGAAGGGGGGAAAAAGCCAGTAACTCATAAAAATCGCATTTCTCCATTTCATTTCAGGTGCAAGTTTTGTTCCTGAGATATATTCAAAGTGGTGAATAGGACAAAATATGTTTTGTGTTCCCATTCATCTTTAAAATAGCCTCTTGACACTGTTAGCTTGTGACCAGGCAATTACTTGGCACGTAACCCATGCAGACACCACCCTTGACAGAATTAGAGGAAATTCTTCTCCAAGGATGAAGTGTTCTTGAACAATTCACTGGAAGCACTAGATACAAATTCGCTCTTTTTTCTATATCTCATGCATGCCAACTTGCTTGCTTACTCATTTTCATGTGTTATAAATGGTTTTGCTTGTTTCCTGTTTCATTTCCACAATTATCCCTTCCCTGTGGTTCACATCAGTTAAGCAGAAGATGGAGGTATTCCACACACTTGTAATTCAGGTCTTCTCAGAGCATTTTTTCTGGGTTATTTTAGAGGGTGCTTACATGGTGTCAGCAATAACCTACATAATTCTTCAAGTGTCATAACGTCTGTAAAAAAAAAAAGCCTCCATTTAGCTCACTTTTCTTGCTGAACAAAACGCGTTCTCTGAGCATGGATTATAGTTATAAAGAATAACATTTATTCCAGCCCAACCTTAGGCTTCCCTATGCTCAAGTTATAGAGTGAATGACTTGCTTACTTAGGGAGACTGTTAGCTGCCATTCTGGATCTTCAAGGGGTAGGGTAGAAACATCTTCAGCACCACCCCACCTCCCCAAATGACAGTACTATATGTGAGGAGAAGAATGGGGGTACAATCCTGAGAATTTCTTGAGAAGCACAATGCCCTAACTACTCCCACCTAACCTCCTGCCCAAGAAAACAGATACAGAGACGCTCATACCCTTTATCTGTAGTGTTGTGTCAAGGAACATTTTTAAGCTCAGTCTCCTGAACTCATTCTCTTGGTCTTGCCTATTCTCATTCTTTCAGACTTCTAGCTTCAGATCCCATTTTTCTACCTGGCCTTGGCCTTGATGCTTTAGACTTTCCCTTGCCTTCCGGCATACTCATGTCTAGGATGACTGCTCCTCTCTGATTTTATGTCCTGCTTCCATGGGTAATCTTTACCTCTGTGTGGCTTCAGATTTCTCCCTGCTCCTTACTGGTGCTCATCACCAGCAACAGCCTCAAGGGACTGTGGCCAGGGTCAGAGTTAAAGGAAGGGGAGGCTGTAGAGAAAAGAAAATGCTTTTTCTTCATCCTCCTTTGTTCGAATCATGGCCATGAGTATCTGTAAGCTATGTGCAGAATTCTAGCAAGTTGTGCATGCCTGGAGAGATAGAGAGTTATAAGGAGGAGCTTTCTTACTCATTTACCTAAGACTCATTTTAAGCCTCTTTCCTTTCACTCGATAAAGTAGACCACTCTCTCATGATATCCATGAATTTATCTTTTACTCACGTGAGTGTGTCTCTGTGGCTTCTGTGTCTCAGTGACAGTTTGGGAAGGATTGATCTAAGGTTGCATTCCCTGTTTGCCTTCCGTGGCTTTCCTTGTGCTCTGTTTTCACCATAGCAAGGGCAGGAACACCAGACAGTCATCCCCAAAGCAAGCCAACGTCAAGAGGAGAACTTGAAAAGGTCTGTCCACTGGGAATGTGTTCATAGGTGGTCACTCTTCACCACATCTTCTTACACAGTGCTTACACAGTGCCCTGTTGTGCTCTCCTGAGGGACACGGGCATGTGGAAATCAGGAGCCAGGCAAACCAGCACAGAAAGCACTCATGGTTATTACAAAAGTGGGGTTCAAAGCCTCACAACATTTTAATATTACAAAGAGTTAGATTTTAGCGTTCTATTGCTTCAAAGATTATAAAATGAAAGTCTTCTTCTGCACTGTTATAATAAGCATGGATCTTTTGAACATATTGGGCAGACTTCAACATAAATGATGATAGTGGTCTCATTCCCCTGTTAGAAGTTTTATCTTGGAATCTGAGAATCATTAAATTATTATACAGTTCAGAGTGGTATTGAATCCATTTATTTTTGCAGCACCAGAGCCAAAAAAAAGTCTTTTAATGCCTTCCTAAAGACTCCCACTAGTAACAGTTTTAAATAAGGTGAAAATATATTTGTGTTATCTAAAGTTTTAGATTAAGTTTGCTTTGGAAAGATCTCTCAAAAGAAGAATTGTTTGAAGCTTCTAGTTGATTTAAAATTTATTTTATTATAATTTCAAAGGAGTTATCATTTTTTACCACTTACCCATGGCACAGAAGACATTAGCATTCCCAGGCAATGTTGGTAAGGTTAGGTTTTCAATGTGAGATGCATACTGATAAATAATGCAGGTTCTTTCTCTTATCTCTATTAGTAGAGATGGCTTAGTGGTATTGAGACTACAGGAAAATTATAAGTTGATATAACTCTGACAGAGGATAGCCCCCTGCAAAAAAAGTTGACTCATAATCTCTACTTTGGAATTGACGCTTTAAATCCATTCCAATCACTGTTAGCCACACTTACGCTGATCTGTTAAAAAAAAAAAGTTGAAAGCACTGTTGTTTGAGTGATTCGATACTAATTTTTGGAACATTTGCTATATATGTCAGGGACTGTGCTGGGCCCCAGGGATAGAGCAGTGAACAAAAAGACAAGAGCCTGCTCTCATAAAGTTGTGAAACAACATACTTAGACGACTCAAAGCCAAGAATCAAATAAACCCTACTGGTTTTCTCCAGATGTTTTTGTCCTTGCCTTTTCCCCCCTCTAATGAACTCCTGGCTCTAGACCCAAGCATTGGCTCCCACCATTTGGGAGCCATACCATATTTGAAGCTTTGCCACTCACCTCTGGGCATTAAGGATCTTTGCACAATTTACCACTTTCAGTTTTGCACTTCTCTTTGACTTCTGCTTCCCACATTGCTTCAGGCTAGGACTTACTGCAGGTGACCCTGGCCCTAAAAGACCTACCCGTTTCTACCTCCCCATGCCCTGACACCCAGAAATCTTGGCGCCTGCATGGTGATGGTTTCTGTGACCACAGAGTCCCCTTGGAAGTGATGTGGATCTGTCTCTACTTCCATGATTGCAGCTGGGAAATTACATGGAGAAATTTGGGGGACTGTAGCTGAAACCCCACCATGACAGATATTCAAATATGAGACAATAATGCAAGGATGACAATAAATTGGAAGAAAAACTTCTGAGAATTGTTTGATTTGCCCTCCTGATAGTTTCATTTCTTATAAATAAAAAGGGGAGCTGCCATCTTGGATCTAATTCTGATGAATAAGGGAAGAAGCTGTTGCTGAAGTGGAAGTGACTATGTTATCCTATATGTACTAACCAGAGGAAAGAGCCCTCAACTTCTGGGGAGAGGCGGATTTTTCAAAAAGCAAAATTCTAAAACCTAATATTCCAGAAGGGATCCAAGAGGCATGAGTGGCTCTTAAAAATAAAATTTAAAAAATAAGATAAAATAAAATTCTGATAGTCCTGCAAGAAATAGTTCTTATAAGGGATAAAAGTTAGTCATCTAAAGAAGTAGGGAGCTCTCAGGTGAGCTCTCATCTTGAACTGTAGTTCTTATAATCCCATGTGTCGTGGGAGGGACCTGGTGGGACATAATTGAATCATGGGGGCAGTTACCTCCATGCTGTTCTCATAATAGTGAGTTCTCACGAGATCTAATGGTTTTATAAGGGGCTTTTCGCCCTTTTACTCGGCACTTCTCTTTGCTGCTACCATGTGAAGAAGGACGTGTTTGCTTCCCCTTCTGCCATGATTGTGTTTCCTGAGGCCTCCCCAGCTCTGTGGAACTGTGAGTCAATTAAACCTCTTTCCTTTATAAATTACCCAGTCTCAGGTATGTTTTTATTGGCAGTGTGAGAACAGACTAATACAGAACATAAACCTGTTCTTGGAATCTAAAGTGAGTGTAGATAATGAGTAGCTGTTTTATCAAGCCATGTCTTTCCTACTCACCCTTGTTCAGTTTACTTTGTTTGCCCTTTAATGGTTCCTCTGGCTTTTGATTTCCTTCTGCTTGTGAATTTACCTATGTATTTAAATTTCTCTCTCTTTCTCTCTCTCTGTCTCTCACTCTCTCTCATCTCTATATTTGTTTCTTGGAATATCTCTCCTTGGATTTCAAACCTACTTCAACCTATATTTGCATGTGATCTCTTTCTCCTTCATGGTCTTGGTATACTCCTGGTACCATACTTACACTTTATTGGTTTCTTCTTCCCCTTCCCTAACCCTTGCTCCCTGTTGTGATGGCCAGAAAGACTCTGCAGAAAGACTGTGTCCTCAGTAGGGGTGGGGGACTGAAAGATTCGGAAGCTTTCTACAGTGATGCTTCCTTCTCATCAACCCTACCATGCCAGCTCCACTTTTTACATTCAAACACTTACCTGAAAATTTAAAGATAAATTCAAGAGTGAATTCATTCACTTTACAAAGTAAAGAGGGATGAGAGTCCCTTTAAGTAGCATCTTCTCAAGTGTTTGTTTACAGATCATTAAATATTTAACTTAGTAAGAAACTAAAAGCTGAAAATGTTCCAAACCACTGTTGATTAAATAGAAAACTGGAATTAAGATAAGGCAAATCTGAAATTGAAATAACAACCAATTTGAAATTTTCATGTTATTAGACAAGAAGTTAAAATACTTGACTGTCTGGTTCAACAGGGGACATCTGGCAAGCCCAGGTCTTGCCTTTTCTGGCAACTGAGACCTGATGTTGAGCTTTTGGGTCATTCTGAAACCTGTACTGCATCTCTCCAGGGCAGAGGGTGCCTGCTCCATTCTTAGCCCTGCTCCCTACCCGCTTTTGTGTCTTCACCCTTGGCCAAGATACAAACGATTGAAGGATGAGCTAGTTTCCAAGGATGAATATTGCTAACGTGGCTAAAAATACAAGAATATAATCAGCAAGTCTAATCCGCATCATAAAAGTGCTAAAGATAATATAAAAGGATGTCCAGAACTGTACCTTGAACCAAAGAATGAGGAAGAAATAAAGGCTTGATGGAGTAGAGATGGGTGGGGTAAGGCAAAATGATTGAGAAAACAGAACCACTCAACTTTGAATTCACCTTCGTCTACTGTAGCAAGGAGAATGATCTTCAAACTGGAAAGAACAAAGCAAACATAGTTAAGAAGGAACAGAAACCCCAGATAAGGAAAGTGATAGTGAGAAAACACTTAGCTGACAAAGCATTCAAGTCTGTGGATAAACTGCGTTCTAGTAGAATTACAGTGTTTACAAAACTACTCTTGGTAATTGTGGAGAATTTATGAAGAGAGATACAGAAAGACTAGATGGATAAACATCTTAATTTTTTTTGTTTTTTTTGATATTGTACTTGATATTATATTTGGTGTCTGTTATATATACAGCAAATTGCAAAAATAGATGATAGAAATATATATTATATCTAATATAATGTATATTAGGCACCCTGAAACATGTTATGAAAAGACTAGCTCCAAAAGATGAGAGGGCACTGGTCATGTGGAGCAGTTGTCCTGGCGACGGTGTTGCAGAGACCTCATGTTGAATTCGTGTCTGCTTGTCCATCATCTGAGCACAGTGCTCATCATGTTGCCCCATCTTAATGGTTAATGAGGGGAGAAAGTGGATTTTAGACACTAAAGACAGATTAATTTGAAATCAAGATCTAGAAAGGGACATAATGACTCCTAGTATCAGCATGGATTTAGAAAGTATTTTGTTTCCTTTTTTCTATGTGAGTATTTAATTTCTTTTTATAAAAATTGCTGCACACTATGCCATTATTTACTTTACTGATTCAGGCATTTGATAAATACATACATATGAAGTACTTACCTGGCTCTGAGTCCAAGTATGGGAGGACAGAGATAATCAGACCCTGACTTTGACCTTGAGACCTCCCAGTCTATTTGAGAACATAAGGAATTGTGAAGAACAGAACAGATCTGGGTCAGTAGATGATGACTTTGGTCTTTGGGTGTGGTGATTTTGAGGTGCCATGGATCTCCAGGTTGGGATATCTAGTAGTCATTTGGAGATGTCTGGAGCTCTGGACAGAGCTCTTGTCTGGGAATATAGGTAGGAGGTAGGTAAAGCTGTGGTCATGTTGAGAAGAAATGAGAGTGAATTATGGAAAGGGCTCAAAATATAGGTATCAGGAGAGGAGCCCGTTACTGTGACTGAGACAGAATCAGCAGAAAGTTAGAAGGACCATGAAAGGCTGCCAGGTGGAAACCAAGGGAAGTGAGACCATCACAAAGGAAAGGATATGGAGGTTAGAAAGATGAATTCTGCAGAGTCTACTACTTCCAGAATTAGATCATTGATGGTCTTAGGTAGGACAGCTTAGTGGAGTGGTGAGGACAGCAGCCAATAGCAGTAACCTAAAGAGCGATGGATGTGAGAAACTAAAGTGCCATGGTTTGGATGTGGTTTGTCCCCACCAAAACTCATGGTTAAATTTAATTGTCAATGTGGTGGTTTTGGGAGGTGGGGCCATTGAAAGATGATTAGGTTGTTGAGATAGATTAAGTCTTTCTTGAGAGACTGGATTAATTTCTGCAGGAGTGGGTTGTTATAAAGTGAAGTTGCCTCTCACGTTTTGCTCTCTGCATGTGTCCATTTCCTCTTCCTCTTCTTTGCCATGATGTGATACAGCATGAAGCCCTCACCAGAAGCCAAGCAGATGCTGATGCCATGCATCTTGGACTTCCCAGCCTGCAGAATCATGAGCCAAATAAACCTCTTTTTAAAAATATGTAAATTACCTAGTCTCATGTATTCTGTTATAGCCCCAAATAAATGGACCAAGATCTGGAGAGAGTGAATGAAGATTTTTATGGTCTTGGTTATGAAGGTTAGAGTAGGGCATGAGGTAGATGGAGAGATTTTTTTCTTTCAAATGATGATACAGATGTAGTCATTTTCTAATAGATAATGCAAATACAGCTTCTGTTTATTGAATATTTAGGCATTGTACTGAGCATTTTACCTACATTATACCATTTAATCTTCATACCATCTGTGGAGGTAGGTACTATCATTCTCAGTTTATAGATTAAAATATTGAGGCTTAGAGATGGTAAGTCATATGACCTCAGTACACAGATTGGAAGGGGCAAAGCAGGGCTCCAAACTCAGATTTCTCTGGTTGCAAATCTCTGTTTGTACTCAATATGCAGAGCAGTGGTTCTCAAACTTTAGCATGTATGAGAATTACCTGGAGATAAATACCTGTTGAAACACAGACTGATGGGCCCTAGCTCTGGAATTTCTGATTCAGTAGGTCTGAAGTGGGGCCTGATAATTGTGCATGTCTAACCAGTTCCAGGTATGATTCTTGTCTCAGGACCACACTTTGAGAAACACTAGAAATGCAAACTCTTGGGTCCTAGCAGTCTGTATTTTACCAAGTTTTCCAGATGATTCTGATGCATGCTAAAGTTTGAGAACCACTTTCCTAAGGTAAAGAAGAAGTTGGTGGAAAGAAGGATGTGGAAAATAAAGGAGAAGAAAAAGTGATGCATAGAGGACCTGGAGGGGATGGGAAGTGCTGGGATTCATGACACAGGTGGACCTGGCAAAAAGAGTGAACTAGTTCTGAAGTGGGATGAGGTGGAAAGAGGGGATGAGGATTTGCAAATGCCTGAGAGAAGACTGGGGACTGGAAAATGGAGAGCAGTGCTATGGCTTTCAGTGTTTCAGGATTTTAGCAAGACACTTGACAGTACCTCTTTTGATATTTGTTTTGGAAGGTGAGGAAATGAGAACTCACTGAGAGTGTATTAAGTGGCTTTGAAGCTGGCTGTCTCCTAGAAGAAACTTTCAGGGATGTGCCACTACGTTCTGTCGAACTTTTAATCAACCAGTGGCAAAGCACAGAAAGTACACTCTTCAAATCTGAAGATGACATGAAGCTGGGAGCAATAACTAATTACTGGACAGCAGAGTCAGGATTCAAAAAGATACTGACTGGCTGGACTGATGGGCCAAATGAAACAAGATGAAATTTAATAGGTATAAATGTAACTTCCGGCACTTAAGTTTTTAAAAAAATCAACCTTACCATTAGAGGGGAAATTTTAGGAACCTGAGGCCAGTAGCTCAGGCAGCTCAGAATTGTATTAGCCTTATGGCTGCCTGGTTTAGCCTTAAATCTGGGTTCTATACCAAAATTATTGACTTATTCCTTATGCCAAATTCTTTCCTTGTCACCTACCTCTGGTAACATTTAACCACCTTTTGTTCCTGTGTCTCCACGTGTTCCACACTCCTGACCTGGTTTTTCTGTTCCTAAGTTTTTCTGGAATCAGAGTTGGCCTTTACTCTTGCCATTCTTTCCAGAGCCCACAGTCTTGGCCTGAACTCAAGTGCCCACATCTCTCTAGGATTTCAGCCCCTGGGGATGCCTGACCTCCCAGATACCTATCACATCTCTTCACGTCTTAGTGTGTTATCTGTCTGTGATGCATCGTAGCTGTTGCCAAAACTGTGTGGGTCCTATTGCTACTTGGCAGTATTTCTGACATCACCTGCTTGCCTGCCACTTGCTCTTGTTTTCTGCTGTTGGGTCCACCCAAAGCTACAGGAAATACATAACTGTAGAGATTTCTAATGAAGTTTCATTTTGAATGAGTGGGAGCTTTAGTTTCAACTTATGTGTAATTGCTCACAAAAATAAAATCTTGTACTCATATTGCGCTGTAAAATTTATGAAGTACTTTCATGTATTTTTTTTTCATTTAAATTTGACTGTAATCCTGTAGATAGGTTTTGGAATCTTCATTTTACAGCTGAGGAAATTGGAGCTCAGTATGGTGAAATGACTTGCCTAAAGCCACACAGCTACTAATTGGTAGAACTGGGATGGAAACCCAGGCCTTCTGATGCCAGCTACCGCCTCACATCTGCACCTGTTAATCAACTGTTTGAAAACTTGGTTTTTCTCCCAAGTATTAGCTTTTTCTAAAGACACATATATTGTGAGAGTGTCAAGTAGATAATGACTCCAGTGCGTTCAAGTACTGCAAGGCCTTGAGAAGGGATTACCAAGTATGACATATCAGAGGGTTTTTTAAAATTATTATTTAACACATCAGCAACCACATCACACTTAAACTCTCAGTAACTAAAATAGATAATTGTCTTAAGGAAACATAAGCAATGCAGCTTAGTTCAGTGGTGAGACATCATTCATGTTTCTCTGGTTCTTGTCTAGGCCCTCATTAGTTTATGTTTGGATTTCTGTACCAATGGTTCACTGATGCACCTGGTTCCATTCTCTTTAGCACCAGTTCATTCTGCATCACACTGTGAGGTGACTCTTTCTTAAACATTGCTTTTATTATTGCCTCACCTTGGATCAAATACTTTTATTGGCTTCCTCTTGCCTGCGGCATCAAGTTTAAACTCCTTGCCTGGCTTTCAGTGCCCTTCATAATTTGATCGTATATTATCTGGCACAAACCTATTCCTTAGGAAAGACCAATCTCCTCTCTATTTTATCCATGCTGGTTAGTCTTCATGTTTTCTGAACTTCTCAGAAGGAATTCACTTCTTCACACATTTTAGTTATCTACCATAGGCAGTACACTGTGCTCAGCCTTGCATACTTGTGGGAATATTATTATAGTGACTGATTTAGCTAGAGAAAGCATTTGCCACCTAAAACAAGTAATTGTAGTGGAAAGCCAGGTTTCCAAGCATGACTGAGAAAATTTCCTTGAAGAGAACACAGATTGGGAGTTTAAAACCAACCCTAATAAAAAAAAAAGCTTGATCCTGAGGAAGATATTGTTTGAAATCTGTGAAAATTGTGACTTTACAGAGGTCATGAAATCTCTTTGTTTCAGATATGGAAAGAGCATGAGAGGTTACTTTTAGATGATAAATATAGTGTAGTAGGAAGAATAAGAGGTTTGGTGTTAACATCTCATCTCTAACATTTACCAATTTGTTAACTTTGACCAACATTTTACCTCCTCAGGCCTCATTTTCCTCCATCTGTAATATGATAATGATACTTACCTAGATATATGGTTGCTGAAAAAACAAATGAGTGAAGTGACGTACATAAGTGTGTACAGTACTTACCACATAGTGTGGTGCTTAATAAAGGAGCTACTATTACATAAAATAAATGTTAATTTGGATGTTATAGTGTTTGGTGGGAAACTCAGATCCAGAGTATCCTAATCCTGTCTTATTTTTTAGGAGATACCCATGCAAAATAAACAACCCCAAACAGATGCACATAAGGCAATTGTCCTCCAACTCAATGTCCTGGCCTTCCCTGGAGAGCTGTAAGTTCTTTCTCTCAGACACTAAGGAAGAGACCAAAGAAAGAGGCATGTGCCTCAGTGTGGGCAAACCCTTCACCTCCTGTAGACATCACCCTTTCACTCTCAGTGCACTCCGTCATGGGCTGACATGAAGTACGCAAGAGCAGGAGACCGTGCATCTCCTTGCCTGGTCTAGCATCCAGCGTCCCAAAATCTTACTGATATGAACTTTCTTCCACAGACTCAAATTGTATATTTTTTATTTGAATACAAAACAGAGAGAACTGGCCCTTCTTGGGGACAGTACTTTAGAAAACAGGATGTCAAAAGGTCTCATGTGGAATCTATTTATCTTTAGGCAGTCATTGGACTATAGGTTAAAAATAATAACATGGGGTCCTGAACACATAAAGAACAATTTGAAACAAACTTTGGGCCTTTTTCCCTCTAGGGAGCGAAAATTTGGAAATTTTAAATTGCTTGGCTCTTCCCAAAAAGAGGAAAATAGATGTACTCTTTGATCTAACAAAAAAAAGTAACTAAATGATGTGTATTATGGCCTTTTGAGGAAGAATGAAATAATTGAGGAAGAAAAAAATTAGGAAAAAAGAAGGGGAGAAACCAAGGGAGAGAAGGCGATGGGAAAAGCAATGCCTGGGAATAAAGAAGGAGTAAAAGGAGAAATAACAAATGCATGGAAAAGAGGGAGAGAGGATAAGAAAGAGTGGAGGGGATGGGCCAGGGGGAGATATCTATGTAGAAACATTTAATTTCAATATGGTAGCTGAGAAGACTTTCCTGGTTATCTCTGTAACTCCATACCAGGCAAGGAAATGGGGACTGAGACTACAAAATGAATGTATGTATGGAGCGGAGGGGAATGGTAGGAGTATGAGAAAGCCCAGAAAACAACAAAAACAAGGGAGAAAGAGTCTTCTAAACCCCCAGCAGAGTTGCCTACAAGATGAGTTCTATGTGCCTGGCAGGATACCGAAGCAGTGAGGAGAGGAGTGGGCCTGAAGAGACGGGCTAATGAGGATGTGATTGTCATCTGGGTGACAGTGACCTGTGAGGACTGCTGAGAAAAGACCACAGGGCCCGAGGGCATCTCACTGATGCTGCCATGGATAGACAGTATCCCAAGGGGACAGATCCTGTATTGACTGAAACTTGAAGTTCATTGCTCAGAAGAATGGGGGAATTCAAAATAGAGATAAAGTTACAGAAAAAAAAAAGGAAGGTATATTTATTTGTATGAGAATTTAGTGTCTGAGAATTTGGTCCCACTATATGGAAAGTAAGCATGGTTATACAGTTACCTTATTCTGTGCCTGTACTAGGCTGAATCGTGCCCCCTCCACCACCCCTGCCCAAAACAGATGTCCACATCCTAATCCTGGAACCTGTGGATATTAACTTACTTGGAGAAAGAGTCTTTGCAGATGTAATTAAGTTAAGGATCTTGAGATAAGGAGATCATCCTGGATTATCTGGGTAGGCCCTAAATTCAATGACAAGTGTTCTTATGGGAGGCACACAGAAGAGAGACACAGAAGCGTAAAGGATGTGCAGATGGAGGCACAAGTCAAGGAATCCTGATAGTGACCAGAGGCTAGAGGAGGCAAGGAACAAAATCTCTCCTGGACCCACTGCAGGGAGTGTGGCCCTGCTGACACCTTGATTTCAGACTTCAGGCCTCCAGAATCGTGAAGGACTAAGTTTTTCTTGTTTTAAGCCACCAAGTTTGTATTAATTTGTTACAGCAGCCACAGGGAAGCTAATAGTGTTCAAATTCATCTTGCTAGAGATCTGTCTCCCAGAACAATTCTGAGCAAACACTCTTTTCTATAAATTAAAGTGAACACTTTACATACTTGAAGACTGACATAAAATGGCAGAAATTCAAAATAAAAGGAGATCTTAGAGACAGTCTAATTGTCTTGCATTGAGGTCCTTTGCTTGTGGTTGGCAAATGAAGTACTGGCCAAACAAAGATGAGAGCCACGTATCTGCCCTCCCAGTTCAGTGCTCTTTCTCCTACCCTGTGCTACCTCGTTGTAAGAACATAGGCTGTGTGTTCATCTGTTTTCATGCTGCTAATAAAGATATACCTGAGACTGGGTAATTTATAAAGGAAAGAGGTTTAATTGACTCACAGTTCCACATGGCTGGGGAGGCCTCACAATCATGGCAGAAGGCAAATGGGGAGCAAAGTCACATATTAATATGGTGGCAGACAAAGAAAGAGCTTGTTCAGGAGAACTCTCCTTTATAAAACCATCAGATCTCCTGAGACTTACTATCATGACAACAGCATGGGAAAGACCCACCCCCATGGTTCAATTTACTCCCACCAGGTCCCTCCCACTACACTTGGGAATTATGGGAGCTACAATTCAAGATGACATTTGGGTGGGTACACAGCCAAACCATATCAGGCAGTATCTTACACATGTTTCATATATTCATCTATCAATTATGTATTGATCACAAATGATGGGCACTCTTCTAGCTATTAAAGATATAATAAAATATATTTTTAAATTATAGTATATGTTAATGTATGTATTGGGAGAGGGAGTGGTGGGAGTATGAGAAAGGCCAGGAAACAACAAAAACAAATCTTAAAAATAGGGAGAAGAGTCATCAGCACAGTTGCTTACATAGAGAAGGTGCTCAGATGTTGGTTTACTACTTTCGCTTTCAGTTCTTTTCTTCCCTAAAGCTCCTAAGGAAACTCCAAGATCATTTTTGACTCTGGCAAGCTGCATTACACAGCTCCAGTTTCCTAACATTTCCTTGATGGATTATTGTGGTTTCTTAAGAATGATCTCCTTTAAAACAATATTTATGTTACTTCTTAAAAATGTAGCATGGCATTTAAGGTACAAAGATAGATGTAGCCTACATGGACTCATCCATATTATCAACACTGATTAAATTCACCCTGTGGAAATCGTGCCACACACAGGCTTGGTAAAAATAAAATTCTTAACCAGATTGCAAATCAATTAGTAATATTCTGAATCATATGTTCCTAAGCATTATACTTAATTTTAAGTTTTCTATAGTGATTAAATATCCTTTCACATGTTATGTTTTATATCTTAGCCATTCTTAACAAATTTTGGTTATGCTGGCATCTTGCTAACAGAATACAAAATATTCCAGCTTCCTTAACAGCACTTCTAATAATGTTGTACTTACACTTGTCATCAACACACTTCACAGTATTTTTTTTCTTTTAGACCAGAATTATATTAGTATTTCTCATAGCATTAAAAAAATTCCAGTTTTGCCCACTAAAAGGTCATAGTACTTAGACAAGGAAACTGATTATATTTCTTACGTAGACAAATAGAGACACCAGGAACACTTACAGACACAGTCACAGGCTGTGAATACGTAACTCCAAATGCCTAAATAAAAATTCAACATCAAGTTAACTTCCAATTACTTGGATACTTGCTGACTTTTGGGGAGTATTACATTTAATGGAATTTTAAAATGTTGTACTAAAAAACTTTCTATTTTATAGACTGTGAGCACCATGAAAATGAGGTAATTTTTATCTGTGTGACTTCAACAAGTTACTTAATCTTTTTGTGCCTGTGTCCTAATCTTTAAAATGAGGATAACAGTAGTAGGTACTTCAGAGGCCTTAGTGAAGACTAAATGACATATATATGCCAGAAAATAGAACACAGGCACTTGACATAGACTCTTTATTGGTATGCTTGCTGCCTTGCCCAGTGACTGACACAGAGGAGATGATCAATGATATTTGTAAGTGAATATAGACAATGACAGGCATAGAGGGAGGAACCTGGAGTGCCCCCACAGAACATGACTTAGGAGCACATTTACAAATACATTGTGTTTCCTTATTCCAACGCAGCAGATATTTTCTTCCTTTGCTACCATCTGGCTTTTAGACTGGGTGGTTGGGGAACAGAAGCAAGAAAATGTCATGAAGTAACTTTGCAGTCTCTTCACCACTCTCAGGGCAAAGGTGTCCAGAATTTAAAGTTTATTTGGGTCTCCACCCACCTACTGATTTAGTGTCCCTCTAAGTCTTTAGTGCCCCTGTGAGAGTCCTACTAGAGTGTTAATGGGTTGAGATTGAAATAAAAATTGCTAACATTTATTATGTACCGAATGGGCCAGGCACTAGAGGAAGCATTTCACCTGTTTTATTTCATTTAGGCTTCACAACAAACAAAAGAGGCAAGCACTATTATTTTGACTACTTTATGGAAGGAGAAACAGAGAGTTAAAGAGTCTGACTGACTTGCTCAAGATCACCTAAATTTGCGATGGATGGTCTGGAACCCAGCTGGGGCTCCTGCAGTTCATATTCTTATTTAGTCGGTATTCCATGTCTGATGGCAGCCTGTGATCTTACACTCAAGGAAGTTTGGATGTCTCCCAATATTTCTCCCCAGGTTTAAGGAGTCACTAGCTGGTTGGACATTATCAGATACTGGGAGGTAGCAGTGAATATGATCACTGTCCCCATTTCACTCAGTGTGGCTAAATGCTTTTGTTCATTAGAGAAAAAAAATGAGATGGATGAGTCTCCAAGGGAGTATTGGATTCAATTACTTTAATTTTTGTGTGTGATTTAAATGCACTTACCACAGTTTAGAAAACAGGATCTGAAGCTCGGAGAAATATAACAAAGCTGGCATATGGAAAATGAAATCTAGGCCTTAAATCTCTCTTAGTGCAGCATTTCTGCTTCTTCTTCTGCTCCCTATGCAAGAAAAGTAGTTATTTGTAGGAAAAGAAGAGCAAGAAACCAGGTGAATTTTATATACTGGGCTGAAACAAGGCCAGTGGCAATGCCACTATATCAAAAAAAGTTGTGGGAAAACCAATCTTAAGACTGGTTATAAATGAACAACTTGTTGCAGACAAATGCTCCTGATGGGAACAGCTTAAAACATCCAGCTAAAATAGAAAAATCGTATGTTTTAAAGTCTTGGCTAATTGTCCGGGCAGTCAAGACTTGAAAAGCGAATAACAGAAAGAAGGGAAACTAACTAAGGTGAGCACAATATTAGAAGCTGGGCAGAAGGTGACAGCCAAGAGAAAATGAGGCCAGCAGAACTTTAAGCAATTGCATAGCCATGTGAATAAAAAATTAGAATTCTGGCCAGGCATGGTTGCTCACACCTATAATCCCACTGCTTTGGGAGGTCGAGGTAGGAGGATCACTTGAGGCCAGAAATTTGAGATCAATCTGGACAACAGCAAGACTCTGTTTATAAAAAACAAACAAACAAAAATAATTAGAATTCTACTTTGCCATAATAGGCAGAGCTTAAAAAGCCAAGATCCTAGAGAGAAATGAAGTACAGAGAAGTGAGCCCAACACTTGAGACATTTACTGATGAAGATATGCAAGGCAAGAGGCTAAAAAACTAAGCAAAAAGTAACTGAATGTAAAAAGGAATTTTATGCAGCCTCGTGTGCTGGAGAGACAAAAACTGGAGTTCAGGAATTGGTAAGGAGGAAGGGCGCTAAGAAAGAACTGTAGATATTGGGCTTATTAGATACAGACTTAAAAATAATTGAGATTAATATATTTGATTAATAGATGACAAAAATGAAGACTTTCACTACAGAATTGAAATTGTTAAAAAGCAAGTGGAAATTCTGGATAAGAAAATATAATAACAAAATTACTTGAATTAATTAACTCAGATGGGTTTAAGTGGAAACTGAACATACTCGAAAAGGGAATTAATAAGCTGGAAAATAATCAGTACAAAATATCTAGATTGAAGAGTTAAAAGTAAAAATTATAAAAAGTAGAGAAAATTGTGTAAGAGATTTATGGGGCATGGACTAATATGTATAATTGGAGTCACAGAAGGGTAGGAGAGAGATTGGAGTAGAAGAGATTGAAGTAGATACTTCAACAGAAGAAGCATTAATGGCTGAGAATGTTCAAAACCAATGAAAGACAACATCACAAAATCAAAATGCACTTGCAACCCAAAGCAAGGTAAGTACAAAGAAATCATGGATAAATACTTAACAGAAAAACTGCCAAGAACCAAAGTGATAGATTAGATATTAGCATCTAGAAAAAACAAAAGCACAATACCTTCAAAAGAGTAATAACATGACTGACAGCTGGCTTCTTAAAAGAAATACCAGAAGCTGAACGAAAATGTCTGCCAACTTAGAATTTTATATACAGCAGAAATATCCTTCATAATTATGATGAAATAAGAAATATTTCCAGACAAAATGAAGGAAATTATCACCAGCAGAAAATATGCAAAAGAAATACTCAGTAACTAAAGAGAGCTTTCCAGGCAGAAAGAATCTCAGCAGAAACAAAGTGAAAGCAATAACAATAGCAACAACAGCAACAGCAAAAGGAAAGGAAAAGCAACAGAAATGGTCAATACAGTCAGTTCTGTTACAGCACATTTCTAAAAATCACAAAACTATACAAAATTAATAATGAAAACCGCAGGCTTAGAGGGAAAATGAGTTTACATTTACAGCATTTAAAAATTTCATAGTTGACACGAAAATATAGACAGAAACCTAATGAAAACTAGCAAAGTTTTACACATTAAGTGGTTAAGAAACATATCAGTTCTACAATAAATATGGCGTTTTATCTTGAAAAAAACTTTGTGTGTGTGTGAACGTGGGTATCAGAAAGTTTGCAGCTTGTGAAGTGGTGAAAGTAAGGTTATCTGAAATTTGACAAAAAGTTGTAATGGATATAGCTCATAACACACATGGTGAACTGAGGCAGCTGACAGATGTTTGAGATGAATACCTGTGTACATTTTTATATTTTATTTTGCTCAGTTAAGCTGAGCACAGTTTTTCTTTTTTTGCATTCACCTGTGTTTCTCATGGATAAAATTGAGCAAAAGCAAATGCAAAATTTACATTATACTAAAGTGATTTTCTAGTATATCAATTGCATTAAAACAAATTCATGTTTTCAAAGCAAGCATTATAGAAGCACTGACTGTATGAAAGAAAACCTAAATAAATATTGGTTGTACAAAGCAATAAGAGATATGTGCATAATTAACATTTATGACAATATTGGCACAAAAGTTTGCAAGGGGGAAATGATGTTAAATTTTTTTTATGATCATAATATGGTTTGGGAAGTGGAAATAGTACTAATTTAGTCCTAATAACTCAAAAGGCATGTAGTAATTTCTAGGGATATAAAAAGTATACCTAAGAAACTAACAGAGGACAATAAGTAGAATTATAAAATAAATACGGGTTAAATCCAAAGAAAAGCAAGAAATGAGAGAAGGGAGGGAAAACAGGTGGACTAAATAAAAAAATAGTAAAATAATAGATCCAAACTTAAATATATCAGTAACCACAGTAAATAAAAGGGATCTAAATACTCCAATCAAAAGACAGAGATTGTCAGATTATATTTAAAAAATTCTCTGTGATACTTACAAGAGACATCATGTATATATAAGTATGCACAAACCTGAAAAAAGTGAATCAAAAAAATATATTAAGTGTATCAGTTTGCTATTGATACTGTAACGAACCACCAAAAACATTACTTAAAACAATATGAATGTATTATCTTACAGTTTTTTCAGGCAAAAATCTGAAATTGATCTTATGGGGCTGAAATTAAGGTATCAGTAGAGTTGCATTCGTTCTAGAGGGTAGAGGAGAGAATCTGTTCCTTGCCTTTTGCAGCCTGCATTCTTTGTCTTGTGACCCTATTCCAGCAATCATATCACTCTCACCTCTGCTTTTCTCATCATATTTCTTTCTCTGATGCTCCTAACTGGCTTATATGAAACACTGTTCTCAACAATGGCACCACACATACTTCGTTTAAATGCATGTGAAACATTTATCAAAATTGAGCATATAATATGTCATAGAGTAAGTCTCCACATTTTGAAAGATTAAAATCATTGAGAGTACAATCTTTGTGTCTGAACACATTGTAATTAAACTCAAATTCAATAATATAAAGATAACTAGAACACCCCAAATGTTTTGGAAACAACCCATGGGTCAAGGAGGAAATAACAATGGCAATGAAAATATTTTGAATTGAATAATTTTGAAAATTAGACATATTAAAAATTGTGGAATGCAACCAAACCTGTGTTAAGAGGAAAATTTATAGCTCTAAATGCTTTACTATAAAAGAAAAAAAGCTGAAAATCAATGATATAAGTATCCATTACAAAAGTTACAAGATAACAGGAAATTAAACATGAAAAGCAGAAAGATTAAGATAATTAATGTAAAATAGGAATTAATAAAATAAAATAAGAGAAAAATTACCAAAGTCAAAATTTAGTTCTTTGAAAAATTAGTAAAATTGATAAACCCCAAGAAAGATTGATCAAGGAAAAAAGAGAGTACAAATGACTACAATTAGGCATTAGAGGAAATAACTAAATTTTCCACAGACATATATTAAAATAATGATATATTGTCAATATATTTGGTAGTATAGATAAAATTAAAGCTTATAATTTACCAAAAATTATACAAAAGGTAATTAAATATAAATAGTCCTACATGTATTTATACACAAACACCTTCCCCCCATCCCCAAAATCTCCAGGTCCAGAGCCTTCATCAGTGAAATTGAAATGCTTAAAGAAATAACATCAATTTTAAGAAGCTCTTCTAGAGAATAGAATGGCAAGCAACACCTTCCAACTTACCTTTCAAAGCCAGCGTAACTTTGATACTAAAATGTGAGAAAGATGTAAAAATACAGGCCAATTTCTCTCAAGGATGTAGATGCAAAATTCTACTCAAAATGCTAGCAATTTGAACCAGTAATGTATATGCAGAGGATAATACATAAACAGTAAACTGGGTATTAACAGTAAACTGGGTATATTCCAGGTATTCCAGGTATGCAAGTTGGCTTCACATGAAAAAAATCAGTCAATGTAATAAATCACATTAATAGAATAATAACAAATCACATACTCATCTCAATAGATGCAGTAAAATATATTTGACTAAATTCAACAGTCATTTCATGATTTAAAATAAAACTAACACCACCACCCCCGCCCCTCATGGAAAACTAGGACTAAAGAGGAATTTCTTTAACCTGATAAATGATATCTGCAAAAAATATATAGTAAATATTCTATTTTGTGGTGAGTTATTTAAAACTCTCCTGAGATTAAGACAATGCAAGGATTGCCTTACCACCTCTTCTTTTCAACACTGTACAGAGGTTTTAGCCAGAGCAATAAAGCACGAAAAAGGTGTTAGGATTGGAAAGCATGAAATACAACTGTCTTTATTCTTAGATGGCATAGAAATCTAAACATTATAGAAAATAGAAAAGAGTCTATGGTCAAACTATTCAAATAAGACAACTTAAGTGGGACTCTAGATACAAAGTGAATGTACAAATTCAATTGTATTTCTTTATACTAGCAACAAATAATTGCAAAGAAAATAATAAAAATATTGACATCAGCATCAGCAATCATCAAATACCTATAATTAAATCTAACAAAAGCTATATGAGGATTTTATACATAAATCTACAAAAACATTATTGAGAGAAATGAAAGCAGACAAATGGAGAGTCATTCTATGTTTGTGGATTAGAAATTTCAATATTGTAACTATTTCAATTTTTTATAATTGGTCTATGGATTCAGTGAAAAAACAATCAAAATCCCAGCACAATATTTTTCCTGGAAATGGACAAGTTAAAATCTTAATTATGTATGGAAATTCAGAGGGCCGAAAATACTCAAAGTATTAGTCAGTTTTTCTAATTGAAGAAGAAAAAAAGCTAAGATACACACTACAAGATTTTAATATTTGCTACAACATTATAGTAATTAAGACAATGTTGTATCAGCTGGAGGATAAATAAATAGGGTAATGTAACACATTAAGTCCAGAAATAAACCTACTAGTATGTGGTCACCTGATCACCGGATATATGATGACATTGACAGCAGTGAAGAGAGAAAAGAATGGTCATTTCAATGAATGGAATGTTTCAATTGGATATCCATGTGGAAAAAAGTGAATCTCACCTGTATGTCACTTTACACACAAAAATCAAATGCAGATGGATTATATTTCTAAATGTAAAAGGTAAATCAATAAAGCTCACAGAAGACAACATAGGAGAATATATTTGTGACTTTGGAGTAGGCAGAGAGTTTATCTTAAAGAGGACACAAAAGGCATTAGTCATAAAGGGAAATATTGATAAATTGGAATTCATTAAACTAAACAGCGCCTCTGAAAAATACACGGTTAAGAGAATGAGAAGGCGAGCCACCATGGGTAAACATACTTGGGATACATATTTAATAAAGACACATTCTCAGTATAAAACCAATTCACAATAAGAAAATGATAGACAACATAGTTAGAAATATGCATAGACTTGAACACGCATTTGAGAAAAGGATATCCAAATGGCCAATCAAGAGTGAACAAATCAATTGTAGAATATTCACAAAATGTAGTAGTATATAACATGAGAATAAAGAAATCACTACTACATGCAATAACACTGACGAATTTCACAAACGTTGCTCAGAAGAAGTCAGACAAAATAAAATACATATTGTATGAGTCTATTTACATACTCTTCAAAAATGGGCAAAAATAATGGATAGTAATTGACATCAGAACAGTGGTTACCTTTGGGGAGCCAAACTACTGGGGAGAGAGAAGTGTGGGTAATATTTTATTTCTCAGTCTGGGTGATAGTTACATGTGTTCACTTTGTGAAAATTGAGTTAGACACAGGATTTGTTGCATTTTTCTGTACACTTGTTACACTTCAATAAAAAGAAAATTTAAAAAATGAGGTGATAGAACACTCAAGTGCAAAGTTGAACTTAGATTAGACACTGCTAATATGTTTTTGGCACAATATGGGAATTTGAATATTATCTAGATAAGAGATGACATTAAAATATCTTTTAGTTTTTTGATGTATCATGGTATTATGGTTATTAAGGAGAGTGTTCTCATTTTTAGCAGAGGTAAACTGAAGGGATTATGAGTTAAGTGTCAAGATGTTGGCAACATACTTTGAAATGGTTCAGTGAAACATATGCATATATAAATACATATATATATGTGTATACACACAGGGAAAGCAAACACAGTCAAATGCTAACAAATATTTACAACTGTCAAATTTAGGATACTTATGATCAATGTGCCAATCTTTTGACTTTTTGTATGTTTACAAATATTTATCATAGTCAATTAGGAAAGAACATTCTGAGGCTTTAGAGTTAGTGTTTGTCTCCATGTGGCTTATGTGCCTGAGGTCCTATGGCTATGTATATTAGCCAGAGTGATATGTAACGTTGTTTTGCCTGTTTCCTCCAAATCTTGATCAGCTCATTTCACATTCCCTGGAGTCAGAACACAAGGCCCAGGCCAGCTGCCCCCTCGGACTACCAGATGTCAGGCTGCCCTTTGCGGACTTCTCACTTGCCAACCTCTTCCTTTTCCTTTTCTCCTCACCTTGGACACTGCCTTCCTTTTCTTCAGCCCCTTCTCATGGCACCAAGTGGTTCAACTCCATTGTTTTGGAACAAGGGAAAGAGAAACAAGAAAAATAAATATATCGCCCCAATTCACTGGAGGAGTCTGGAATTGAGCAAAATTAAAACAATTTCTCTGTAGCCAGCACCACAGCAGGAGCTGGGCTCTCTGACACATGTGAAACACTCTTTCTGTGTGTAAATATTTTTAAATTGCCTTGTTAAAGAAAAGAGGAAACCCAGGCAGAGTCATACATTGCCCAGATGTATCGGATCAGAAGAATGAAAGTGCAAAAGGTCAGAGACTCTATTCTGAAGAGGAGAGAATATCTCTATTATTTATAAAGGGCAGAATGAGGATTACGCGCATGAAGGAGAGAGATACAGACAGGCTGCCCCTGGAAAATTAATGGAGCACTGGAAGGTGCAAGCAGAAAAAAATCCTGGCCACCTGTGAATTGGGTTAGAGAAAAGAGGAAAGGCTTTTGTACAGATATCCTGCAATATGAGGGCTAAAGGTCTCCCTACAAGTAGGTGATTGCTTATTGATCCTAATTTCCCCTATGTACACTACTGAGGAACACCAAGAAGAAAAGTTCTTCCAACAAAAACAACGTTTTGATGTCTGTCCCTCACTCAATTTTAAAAATTTTCAAGGTGGACTTTGGAGTCAGACTACTCAGACTCTATTACTTATTTATTAATGATGTGACCTTGGACAAGTCACTTAACCTCTATCTCTAAATATTTTCTCATTTATAAAATGACAATATTATTAGTATGTACCTTATGGGCTTTCATTTAGTGTTAGTTACTATGTGTAAAAGGCTTGGAATGATGCCTGGCATAGATGAAATGCCATCTACTTGTAAACTGTGACTATGGTAATGGTGATGATGATGATGAGGAGGAGGAAGAGGAAGAGCAAAGAGGAAGAGCAGCAAAAAGAGCACTGCATAGGCATTATCTTCTTTTCAACAATCTTAACTTACAAATTTCTGTTTATGAAACCATCAGTTCAGCGGCAAGACCCCAGCTCTCCAAGTTGTTGCAGACTTCTTATTTTCTGTAACACTTCCAGCACTCAATCCATTAGTTGACGAGTTCTGTAGATTTGACCTTTTGTGTTTCTCCTATCTCTTACCTCATTTCATTAACAAAAATTTCACTCTAAGTTTGCTTCTTACCTGAAAAACTTGAGAGGACTTCTTGGTCTCACTGTATCCCTAGACCTCTCCCCTCCATGATGTCTCCACTCCATGTGTTGACAGATTGGGTAACGTAAAAACCTGCTCATAACCCTGCAATGGCTGCCCATTGCCTGTCAACTAAGCATGAAACCTTTAATCCAGCATATGGAGCCTTGGGAAATCCTGATCTGCATTTCTAGACTTAGTCTTTTTATTTATTGATGTGTATGCTAAATGTTCTATTCACACTAGATTTCTCATGGTTACCTGAATCTTGGTCAATTTCAGATTGCACTGCTTTTAGCTATATGGCCCTGGGCAATTAACCAGAGTATCAGTTTTCTCTTCTGTAAACTGGGAATAATAATAGACTTGACTTTGTAGTGTGATTATGAAGATTACAGGATTTAACACGTTAAAGATTTAGCACAAAGCCTCATACAAATTAAGTATTCAGTAAATGTCAGTTATGATGATGATAATGATGACATGAATGCTCTTGGTTATGCTGTTCTTTTACATACAACTTCCCTCATTTCTGTTTTCTTTTGACAAAACACATGCCATCCTTCAAGTCTTAAGTCTTTTCAGAAATCCTTCCCATTTATAGTCTTTTCTTACTCCATCCAACCAGGTGTCTGCTTTCCCTCTTCTGAATCCTCCAGATGCTCCCTTTTCTTTTATAAATTAGATTCCTGTGTGACCTACAATTATTTTTGTACTTAAAATGCCTTTCTGCAGCTTATCCTCACTTTAAAACCATAATAAAAATTTCTAAACAGGCAACTAACCCTTCGAAGGTAGGGACTGCTGCTTTACTCACCTTGGTATCAGTTGCAATATCTTGTGCAGCCATATGAAAAGCACTTATAGTGTCCTTAGTTGATAATTTAAGTTTAATGGATAAATTAACTATTAAGCTTTTTTTTTTTTTTTTTTTTTTCTGTTTTAGACGGAGTCTTGCTCTGTCGCCATCCAGGCTGGAGTGCTCTGGGGTGGTCTCAGCTCACTGCAACCTCCACCTCCCAGGCTCAACCGATTCTCCTGCCTCAGCCTCCCGAGTAGCTGGGATTACAGGCATGTACCACCACGCCTGGCTAATTTTTTTTTTGTATTTTTAGTAGAGACAGGGTTTCACCATGTTGGCCAGTCTGGTTTCAAACTGCTAACTTCAAGTAATCTTCCTGCCTCGGCCTCCAAAAGTGCTAGGATTACAGGCGTGAGCCACTGTGCCTGGCCAATTAACTATTAAGTTTAACTGATAAGTTCACTTTGCTAGATTACCTGTCATAGCTCCCAGGAATCCTATATTTTGAGAAGATAACCATAGAATTAGGTCTTAAATACTTCCTAAAGTCTCTGACTCCTGTAGGGGACTAGCTGTCCTTAGTACAACCATAAAATGATGGTATCCAAAATTGTTTGGAAAAAGTATTATGTTTTATATATTACTGTTAACAAATAAAGATCAAAATGATTCACATGATAATTATTGGGGGCAGGGAAGAATTCGCCATAATTTTTCCAGTGTTTAGGACTATAAAATTCTTAAGTCTCATCCTATTTTTTCTTCTCCCTCTGCAGGGAACTTTGCCCAAGCTTACCGTTTTTCCCCCGTATATTCTTCTGCACCCGTTTTTCACTTGTGTGTGAGGTGGTGGTGGGAAGTTTAAGGAATGAAAAGGATGCCTTCTCGTGGGAAGTCTCTCTAAACTACATTTCCTTATCTCCTTTACCCCATCTGCTCAATTCTAAAGTAGCTACTTGCCCCTAAAACCCTGCAGGAGTTTTAGCAGCAGAGAACTGCTGATTCCAGGCTTCAGAGGAAAATCAACAATTTCCTCCAGCCAAAACAGAGACTGTTTCTTTGGGAGGCTGTTACACCTGGAGACTGCACTTCCTGGAGCACCCTTCAGCAAACCAGACCACCTTAGGCAAGATTTTGAAAAACCAGACAGGTGCGATAATGAGGACTTTTTTTTCCCCCAGATTTATGACTTTATTGATACTCTCTCTATAGACTGGCTATATAAGAATCCACGCCCCATAAGCTGAGTAAGCGAGGACAAATCTGACCTAACCTAAGGAAGTTATAGATTCAAGAACTAATGATTAGTAAGTCTTCATCTTAGGACCAAGGGATTGCTTATGCTTATTGGTCCTGCTATAAGGCCAGGTCGCAGTGTCTCTCACCTGGATCTGCTACAGTCATGATTGAAAATTGCTGACTTACACAGGTAATAGACTCTCTTTAAAGATATCTCTCTAATGTATTTACTTTCCAGAAAGCAAAATGCCAGGCTGCTAACAGATGAGTTGTTTGTACTTTAAAAGTTTACTGTTCCAGTTAGGACATTCTTGATGGTATTTTGTATTCTCTTTGCAGTGCAGCCAGCTGATTCATGCTGTATTCTGAAGGTTATGAGTCTCCATGTGATGTTAAGAACTATATGTCTGAACCATTAAAGAAGAAGTGTATAAAATGCAATGCTGCTCAGTGGAAGTATATGAACCAGAAGTATTTCATTTTATGCCACGGCTCTGGTTACATTTGTAGCTTTTGAGCACTGGCATGTCTTCTACTTTCTCTCACTTTTGGAGTTATAGCTGTCTTCTCTGTTGGAAAAACATAGAGCAAGGTTGTTACCAGATAAGCTTTCTGTATTTATTAGATATATTTTCAATTCAACTCAAAAATGCCTATATCTACTGAGTTACTGCTGTAAGTAAGGTTTATGGCTAGATGCCAAGAGGCCTACCAAGCTGATTATGACATAGCTCCTGTTTTTTTTTTTTTTTGGTGGAGGAGGGAGCTTGTAAGTACACCCATAACTGAAAGGCATGGCAGAATGTGCTAGAGATTCTCAGAGGAGTACAAAGAAATAGATTCAAAAAGAAGGGAGAAACATTTGTTTAGAAGATGTGGAAAAATTGCATGAAAAAATATCTTTTGAGATGTGCACTGAAAGATGAGTAGGATTTGAAAAGACAGAGCTTGTTCAGGGTAAAGGAATTCCAGGAAAAAGGAACATCATGAATTCAGCTATAAAATCTGGGAAAGTGTGAAGTACAATTGAAGAAGAATGGGTAGTCATGGCTGAGGCCTTGGGGGCTTATAGAGGAATAGACAGATCTTTGCCCATCTAAGCCTCCTACTCCCCTCTCTAGTGTATATGAGTTATAACCCAATCAAAGACTACGTTTCCCATATTACTTTGGAATGGAGGCAGAAATGATGGGTTATTTCCAGGCCTCATGTGCCAGTTAGATATTAAATTATGGGATAACCTTGAAAGCCTCATATTGAAGTTGATATAGCTTCTGTCAGCTTGGATGCTGAATGACTGAGTGGAGCAGAGCACTCCCTACCTTTCCTTTCCTACCTTGAGTAGGAAAAGGAAAAAAAAATCCCTTCAGTGTGTTAAGCCACTGAGATATTGAGTTTTCTTAAGGCAGCTGTTGTTTACCTTTAATGTGGCAGTTAAAAGGGAAGGATAGACTTGGCCTATGTTTTTACAACTCAGCATGATATAGTAGAAAAAACTGTAGTCTAGAAAACATGGATTTCACTTATTTATTTGTTCATTCATTCATTTGCTCATTCATTCATTCATTTGCTCATTCATTCACTCATTCATTCATTTCATATTTATTGAGATTTTACAGACTGTCAAATCTGAATGCTGGACATGTTATGATTAACAATGCATAGTTCATGGCCCTATGGAACATACGGTGGAGTGGAAGAGAATGAAATATAACCAGGCTGTGAGGATACACTGCAATGTCTTATTTCCCAAAGTGTGGTCCTCAGACCAGCAGCATCAGCGTCACTCAGGAGCTTGTTAGAAATGCAGAATCTCAGGCCCCACTCTCAAATCAACAGAATCATAGACTGCATTTTTGACAAGATTCTAAGGTGATTTGTGGGCACATTAAAGTTTGAGAAGCCCTGGTAAAATGAGTGGTATTGTAGGGACAGGCAGGGGGCAATGAGGACTCAAAGAAAGGACACTTAGACTTGAAAGTTTCCAGAAGGCTCCCTAGACTAGATGGCAGCTAAACTGGCTTGTGAGCAGCACGTTTTGGTCATAAAGATTGTGCGAATTTGGGTAAGCCACATATGTTCAGCTTTGATTTTCTTGTCTATAAAAATAGGGATAGTATTACGAGGCTGTTTTGAGCTTCAGGACCTTCCAAGATTGTTTTGAAGCTCAAATATATGTAAAAGTAAGAGTGATTTGAATACTCAAAAACTGAATATGAATGGAAAACTTATACTTTTTCAGCGACAGTTAAATTATAGAAAAGATGTGTTCTTTGGCATAATAATGCATTTTAGCAGTGTTTAGTAAGAAAAAATATCTAGTATGGATTCTTTGTTTTGATTAAACACAGAACTGAAAGAAGTTTTTCCTCCTACTTATTGCAGAAGGGTGTAACATCTGAAAAATAGGTCTGGTATGTTGGTCAAATAGAGTGTCTGCTGGAGTTGGAAAATGCATTCTCTTGGGGTTTGTGCAGTCTGGACTTCAATCATTTGTGTTCTTATATAGTGTATCCAAAATATACATAGAGACAGTGGGAAGGGACTTTCTTCTGGCTAGGGGAAACATCAATTCCTTGACACAAACAAAAATTGAATTAAGAGTTTATTCTGAATTAATAGTACTGAGGAAGGTTAATGAAAAATAAACAAAGAGTAGTCATTAATTAAAAATATTAGCAATCCAGTAATATAGTCTCCGTATGGAGCATCCTCACTACTAACAGGCATCTTTAGCATTTATTAGATTTCAGGCAAGGCTCTCTTTAGTAGCCTTTGTTCAGGCACACAAAATGACCTGCTCCTTTATACTTCTGTACTTTTAAACAATCTATTTATTTATTTAGATGGAGTCTCACTCTGTCACCCAGGCTGGAGTGCAGTGGCACGATCTTGGCTTAATGCAGCCTCTGCCTCCTGGGTTCAAGCGATTCTCGTGCCTCACCCTCCCGGGTAGCATGTGCCTGCCACCACGCCCAGCTAATTTTTGTATTTTTAGTAGAGACGGGGTTTCACCATGTTGGCCAGGGTGGTCTTGAACTCCTGACCTCAAGTTATCCACCTGCCTTGGCCTCCCAAAGTGCTGGGATTACAGGCATGAGCCACCTCAACCAGCCCTTCTATGCTTTTGCACATGGTTTTTCCCTTTGCCTGGACTGTTCTTCCTCATCTTGATCACCTCGGCCGCCATCTCAGCCACCAGAAGACTTCCTGCAAGACTTGGTTCAGACATCACAGTTCAGACAGGATGAAGCCTTTATCAACCTTCCTCTGTAGTGCCATGCAGGCAAGAAAAGTGTATTGAATTACACTGTGTCCGTCATTCAATGTGTTTATCTCACACCTGATACTGTGACAGCCTGAGGACTGTACTGTGTCAACTCATTTCTTATCCTTAGCATCTGGCATGGTGCCCAGCACATAACAGGTCCTAAATAAATGTTTGTTGAATGAATATAAAAGTCTGGCAGCTTTAAGAATAAATAAATAAACAAAAAACTTCGTTCTAATCCTGATGGAAGTTTAGTTACTTCTGTCTCTCAGAAGGGGAATCCTGTCAAATAGTCTAACAATGTGTAAAAGGAGGTAGTTACTCACAGATCTTAGAGGTTTCTATCAAAACATGCTTAGATATTAATAGGTACCTAACATTAGAAATTCCTTAACCCAGAAAGGCTACTTATAGAAATTTATCTTAAGGTAATTAAGAATGTGCATAAAGACCTAGCTATAAAGATGATCATTTTATTCTGTTTATAATACCAAAACACTGTAAATGTGCTACGTAGCCAACAATTGTGTATTAGTTAAATAAATTATAGTATAAAATTAAAGCGATGATGTAAAATGTATTTACTAATTTGGAATGATATTCATGTTACAGCAAATGTAAAAAGCAGGTTACAAAATTGTATATTCACTAAGTTGCCATTTTATTAAAAAGAAAAAGAATTTAGATACTAAGAAGGAGAAGTCTGGGAAGAGATATACATGAAAATGCTAATAGAAATTTCCCCTAGCTGTTGAAATTATGTGTCGTTTAAATTTTTATCTTTGCCTATAGTTGTTCAACATTCTCACATTAAAATGTATTGATTGGATAATCATCTTTAAATTACAAGAGAAAACATATAATCCTCTTGAAGGCTTCTAGAAAGGCCCATCGCTTTTAACATTCTCCATATTCTTTCAAAAGCCTTCCTCTTTCAGTGGATTTCTAGAATACTATAGGCTGGTGAAGAAAAAGAGGATGGAATTAAGGAACAGAAGGTGTAGGACATGAATTCATTGTATCCATACTCTCCAAGATTAGCTGCTGAATGTAACCACTAGAAGTTGATGTTTGGGCTGGATGAGTTGTCCTTTTGGGACACTGATAGCAGGACTTGCAGTGAAGAGGAAGATGTGAGCCAGAGGTCAAAGATATTGACAAAATGAGGTATGTGTGATGTGCTTCTTAGACATGACAGGGAGCAGAGAGAGAGAGTGAAACAGCAAAGACTCATGTTCTTTAAAAGAATGTGACTTTTTTTTTGAAGTGAGTGAGGGAGTTTGGTTCTAAAAGCAGCATTGGGGAACAAAACACTCAGCACATCTATAGATCCTGAGGTCCACGAGATGTGAGAGAACAAATGGGTACCCCATAGAGTGTCATAGGGGGATATGGAGTACTGGGAGAGCCAGGTTTCAGTTAAGGCAGGAGGTGTTGTTGGTATTAGATCATAATAGTCTTACACCTCCAGGTCAAGTGGCAGTGGCTATCCCAGGGATTGTGGACTTTCATGTGTAGCTTAGGTTAGTTATTCTTGTGGAAAACTGCCCAAGAAGAATGAGACATCGTTCCTGGCTTTAGGTAACTTCTTCCAGGTAGGAAGCATACCTACCATACATAAAAAACATAGAAAACATTTTGATGTTGAGCCATTGCAGTTGGCTGTCAGGCTTCGCTTATAAAACCAGTTCAGCTGGATCTAAGCTTTTGAACTTATCACCCTTTGAAGGCAATCCCTGCCGCTGAGTCCCTTCTACTTTCTTGGCTGCTATCCGACACAACATGCTGAAATTCCATGTCATCAAGGAGGCACCAGACTGACTCACAGTGCAGCAAGGATTTAGAGAAAACACATCAGAGTAGCAGGGAAGAGCTGGAATGGGGATGATGCATGAGATTGACTGAATCAGCTCTTAAGAGATGAATAAGTTTACTTGACGGACACTGGGAATAACGTGAGTGAGCAAAGACATAACAGTGAGGATGAGCGTAATATGAATATTATAATAATTCTTTTTGTATCATTAAATTGTATTTTGTAACATTTCTAATTTCCTAGCCCATATTTTAAAATTAGGTTTATTAAGGTATACCTTACATATAATAAAATTTGCCCTTTTTAGTGTATAATTTGAGGAGTTACGCATTCAGTATCACAATCAAGATACAGAACTGCATTGTCCAATAAACCACATTGTCCAGTAGAAATAAACCACATATGTAACTTTACATTTCTAGTGGCCACATTAACAAAGTAAAAAGAAACAAGTGAAATTTAATAATATGGTTTATTTAACCAAATATATAAAAATATTCACTAGTAATCAATATAAAAGTTATTGACATTTTACATTTTTTTCAAATCTTTGAAGTCTGATGTGTCTTTTATACTTACAGCACATCTCAATTCAGACTAGTCACATTTCAAGTGTTTAATAGCCACATGTGTCCAGTGTGTACTGTAATAGACAGTAAAGATACAGATTATTCCCATCACACCAAAACGTTCTCTTGTATCCCTTTGCAGTCAATCTGTTTTCCCCAATCCTGCTTGACTCCTGGCAACTACTGATCTGTTTCTGTCCCTGTACATATTTATCAGAGTTGGAAAAACAGACCTGAGAGAGAGAGAAAGAGAGAGAGAGAGATTTTTAAGGAATTTGTTCCTGTGGTTGTAAAGGCTGGCAAATCTGAAATCTGCAGGGCAGGCCAGCAGGTTGGAGGCTCAAGGAAGAGTTGATGCTGTAGCTCAAGTCAGAAGGCAGTCTGAAGGCAGAATTTCTTTTTTATGGGAACCTTAATTTTTTTTCTGAAGGCCTTTATAAGGCCCACTCATATTGTCGGGGGCAATCTGCTTTACTCAAAGTTTACTTATTTAAATTTTAATCACATCTGAAAAACACCTTCCCATCCTTTTCATTTAGCAACTCCACTTCTGGGTATATACCCAAAGGAATTGAAAAGCAGGGTCTTAAAGAGATATTTATACACCCAACTTTATAGCAGCATTATTCACAATAGCCAAAAGATGGAAGCAACTCAAGTGTTCATCAAGAGATGAATGGATAAACAAAATGCAGCGTATACTGTTATTCAGCCTTAACAAAAGGAAATTCTGACATGTACTATAACACAGGTGAACCTTGAGACATCATGCTAAGTGAAATATGCTAGCCACAAAAAGGCAATAGTGTATGATTTTACTTATATGCGGTAACTAGAGTAGTCAAATTCACAGAGACAGAAGGTAGAAGGTTGATTTCCAGGGTCTGGGGGAAGGGGAGTGGAGAGTTATTGTTTAATGGGTATAGACCTGCCGTTCTGTAAGACGAAAAGATTTCTGGAGATAGGTTGTACAACAATGTGAATGAACTTAAAACTACTAAATTGTACTGTCAAAAATATTTAAGATAACAAATTTTATGTTACATGTATTTTACCACCACCACAACAAAAAACACCTTCAAAGCACATCTGTACTGATATTTCATGAAAAACTAGGTACCAGGACAGGCGTGGGGGCTCATGTCTGTCATCCAAGCATTTTGGGAGGCTAAGATGGGAGAATCACTTGAGCCCAGGAGTTTGAGACCAACCTGGGCAACATAGCAAGATCTTTCTCTCTAAAAAAAAATTACAACAAAAAACTGGGTACCATGGCTTAGCTAAGCAGGCACACAAAATTAACCATCATACTGTAAGTTTTCTCTTTTCTAGAATATTAGACAAATGGAATTATACAATAAGTAGCCCTCGGTGGCTGGCTTCTTTCACTTAACCTAATGCTTTTGAGATTTTTCTATGTTGTTGGAGGTATCAGGAGTTTATTCATTTTTATTACTGAGGAATATTCCATTGTATGGATATACTATAGTTTCCTTATCCATATACCAGTTGGTGGACACCTGGGTTGTTTCCAGTTTTGAGGTGTCATTAAGGCTGCTATGAGCATTCCCTTGTAGATCTTTGTTCTAGTTCATTTTGAGCATCATTGTATCATGTAGAATGCTTGTGGCAACAAGTAGCAGAAAAGCCGCCTCAGATAGAATAAAAATAAAGAAATGTATTATTTTATTAACAAAATCCAAAGAAGCATGGCTAACCCCACCCCCACCTGATGGTCCTTCCTTATCCATGCTGGTAGTGGAAGACAAAGGGCATATAATCTTGGGAGTTCTAGGGCCCTGCCCACTGCCAGTCCCTCTCCACACTACTACAGCTGATGCTTTCTGGAAAGCACACCTCCTGGCAGGAGGCCAAACAGCACAAAAATAGAGCATTAAACCACCAAAGCTAAGGACCCTCATGGAGTCCATTGCACCCTCTGCCACCTCCACTGGAATAGGTGCTGGTATCCACAGCTGAGAGATCCATAGATGGTTCACATCACAGGACTCTGTGCAGACAACCCCCAGTACTAGCCCAGAGCTGGGTAGACTCGCTGGGTGGCTAGACCCAGAAAAGAGACAATAATCACTGCAGTTTGGCTCACAGGAAGCCACATCCATAGGAAAAGGAGGAGAGTACTGCATCAAGGGAACACCCTGTGGGACAAAAGAATCTGAACAACAGCCTTCAGACCTAGACCTTCCCTCTGACATAGCCTACGCAAATGAGAAGGAAACAGAAAACCAACCTTGATAATATGACAAAACGAGGCTCTTCTACCCACCCCAAAATCACACTAGTTCACCAGCAATGGATCCAAACCAAGAAGAAATCCCTGACTTACCTGAAAAAGAATTCAGGAGGTTAGTTACTAAGCTAATCAGGGAGGGACCAGAGAAAGGTGAAACCTAATGCAAGGAAATCCAAAAAATGATACAAGAAGCGAAGGGAGAAATATTCATGGAAATAGACAGCTTAAAAAAAAACAACTAAAAATTCAGGAAACTTTGGACACACTTTTAGAAATGCAAAATGCTCTGGAAAGTCTCAGCGATAGAATTGAACAAGTAGAAGAAAGCAATTCAGAGCTCAAAGACAAGGTCTTCGAATTAACCCAGTTCAACAAAAAGAAAAAAATAAGAAAATATGAACAAAGCCTCCAAGAGGTCTGAGATTATGTTAAACAACCAAACCTAAGAAAAATTGGTGTACCTGAGGAAGAAGAGAATTCTAAAAGCCTGGAAAACATATTTGGGGGAATAATGGAGGAAAACTTCCCTGGCCTTGCTACAGACCTAGACTTTCGAATACAAGAAGCACAAAGAACACCTGGGAAATTCATCGCAAAAAGATTTTGCCTGGGCACATCAGGTTATTCAAAGTTAAGATGAAGGAAAGAATCTTAAGAGTTGTAAGACAGAAGCACCAGGTAACCTATAAAAGAAAACCTATCAGATTAACAGCAGGTTTCTCAGCAGAAACCTGACAAGCTAGAAGGGATTGGGGACCTATCTTCAGCCTCCTCAAACAAAACAATTATCAGCCAAGAATTTTGTGTCCAGAGAAACTAAGCATCATATATGATGGAAAGATACAGTCATGTTCAGACAAACAAATGCTTAGAGAATTCACCATTACCAAACTACCACTACAAGAACTGCTAAAAGAAGCTCTAAATCTCGAAGCAAATCTTGGAAACACATCAAAACAGCACCTCAAGTCAGTGTGGCAATTCCTCAGGGATCTAGAACTAGAAATACCATTTGACCCAGCCATCCTATTACTGGGTATATACCCAAAGGATTGTAAATCATGCTGCTATAAAGACACATGCACACGTATGTTTATTGTGGCACTATTCACAATAGCAAAGACTTGGAACCAACCCAAATGTCCAACAATGATAGACTGGATTAAGAAAATGTGGCACATATACACCATATACACCATGGAATACTATGCAACCATAAAAAATGATGAGTTCATGTCCTTTGTAGGGACATAGAGGAAGCTGGAAACCATCATTCTCAGCAAACTATCACAAGGACGAAAAACCAAACACTACATGTTCTCACTCATAGGTGGGAATTGAACAATGGGAACACATGGACACAGGAAGGGGAACATCACACACTGGGGCCTGTCGTGGGGTGGGGGGAGGGGGTAGGGATAGCATTTGGAGATATACCTAATGTTAAATGACGAGTTACTGGGTGCAGCACACCAACATGGCACATATAACTAACCTGCACGTTGTGCACATGTACCCTAAAACTTAAAGTATAATAAAAAAAGCATAAATCACATAAGACCTATAAAACAAAAATACAAGTTAAAAAGCAAAAACAAAAAACAAACAAAAATCCCAAAGTACACAGGCAACAAAAAGCAGGATGAAAACAGCAAAACAAAGGTACCACACATTTCAATGCTAACATTGAATGTAAATGGCCTAAATGCTCCACTTAAAAGACACAGAACCCCAGAATGGATAGTAACTCACCAACCAACTATTTGCTGCCCTCAGGAGACTCACCTAACACAGAAGGAGTCACATAAACTTAAAGTAAAGGGGCGGAAAAAGGCATTTCACGCAAATGGACACCAAAATTGAGCAGTGGTAGCTATTCTCAGAGAAAACAAACTTTAAAGCAACAGTGGTTAAAAGAGACAAAGAGGGACTGTGTATAATGATAAAAGGCCTTGTCCAACAGGAAAATATCACAATCCTAAACATATATGCACCTAACACTGGAGCTCCCAAATTTATAAAACAATTGGTAATAGACCTAAGAAATGAGATAGACAGCAACACAATAATAGTGGGGGACTTCAATGCTCCACTGACAGCACTAGACAGAAAGTCAACAAAGAAACAATGGATTTAAACTATATGTTGGAACAAATGGACTAAACACATGTATACAGGACATTTCATCCAACAACTGCAGAATACACATTCTATTCAACAGCACATGGAACTTTCTCCAAGATATTCCATATGATAGGCCTCAAAATGAGCCTCAATAAATTTAAGAAAATTGAAATTATATCAAGCCCTCTCTCAGGAGACAGTGGAAAAAAACCTGGAAATCAACTCCAAAAGGAACCTGCAAAACCATTCAAATAATGAAAATTAAATAACCTGCTCCTGAATATGAGCATTGGGTCAAAAATGAAATCAAGATAGAAATTAAAAAAATATTTGAACTGAATGACAGTAATGACACAACCTATCAAAACCTCTGGGATACAGCAAAGGCAGTGCTAAGAGGAAAGTTCATTACCCTGAATACCTATATTAAAAAGTCTGAAAAAGCACAAACAGACAATATAAGGTCACACTTCAAGGAACTAGAGAAACAAGAACAAACCAAACCCAAACCCAGCGGAAGAAAGGAAATAACCAAGATCAGAGCAAAACTAAATGAAATTGAAACAAAAAAATACAAAAGATAAATGAAACAAAAAGCTGGTGTCTTGAAAAGATAAATGAAATTGATACACCATTAGCAAGATTAACCATGAAAAGAAGAGAGAAAATCCAAATAACTTCACTAAGAAATGAAACAGGAGATATTACAACTGATACCACTGAAATACAAAAGATCATTCAAAACTACTATGAACAACTTTATGCACACAAACTAGAAAACCTAGAAACCTAGAAGAGATGGATAAATTCCTGGAAAAATACAGCCCTCCTAGCTTAAATCCAGAAGAATTAGATACCCCAAACAGACCAATAACAAGCAGTGAGATTGAAATGGTAATTAAAAATTACCAACAACAAAAAAAGTCCAGGATCAGATGGATTTACAGCAAAATTCTACCAGACATTCAAAGAAGAATTGGTGCCAATCCTTTTGACACTATTCCACAGGATAGAGAAAGAAGGAACCCTCCCTAATTCATTCTATGAATCCAGCATTACCCTAACACCAAAATCAGGAAAGGACATAACCAAAAAAGAAAACTACAGACAGATATCCTTGATGAACATAGATGCTAAAATTCTTAACAACATACTAGATAAATGATTCAAGCAACATATCAAGAAGATAAGCCACCATGATCAAGTGGGTTTCATACCAGGGACGCAGGGCTGGTTTAAAATATGCAAGTCAATAAATGAGATACATCACATAAACAGAATTAAAAGCAAAAATCACATGATCATCTTAGTAGCTGCAGAAAAAGCATTAGACAAAATCCAGCATTCCCTTATGATTAAAACTCTCAGCAAAATCAGCATATGAGGGACATACCTTAATGTAATAAAAGCCATCTGTGACAAACCCACAGCCAATATAATACCGAATGGGGAAAAGTTGAAAGCATTCCCTCTGAGAACGGGAACAAGACCAGGATGCCTACTCTCACCGTTCCTCTTCAACATAGTACTGGGTGTCCTAGCCAGAGCAATCAGAGATGAGAAAAAAATAAAGGACATCCAAATTGGTAAAGAGGAAGTCAAACTGTCCCTGTTTGCTGATGATATGATAGTTTACCTTGAAAACCCTAAGGACTCCTCTAGAAAGATCCTAGAACTGATAAAAGAATTCAGCAAAGTCTCCGAATACAAGATTAATGCACACAAATCAGTAGCTCTTCTCCACACCAACAGCGATGAAGCAGAGAATCAAATAAAGAACTCAATCCCTTTTACAACAGCTGCAGAAAAAAAAAACAAAAAAAACTTCAGAATATACCTAATAAAGGAGTCGAAAGACCTCTACAAGGAAAACTACAAAACACTGCTGAAAGAAATCATAGATGACACAAACAATGGAAACACATCCCATGCTCATGGATGGGTAGAATCAATATTGTGAAAATGACCATACTGCCAAAAGCAGTCTACAAATTGAACGCAATCCCCATAAGAATACCACCATCATTCCTCACAGAATTAGAAAAAACAATTCTAAAATTAATATGGAACCAAAAAAGAGCCTGCATAGATAGGCAAAGCAAGACTAAGCAAAAAGATCAAATCTGGAGGCATCAAACTACCTAATTTCAAACTATACTATAAGGCCATAGTAACCAAAACAGTGTGGTATTGGTATAAAAATAGTCATGTAGACCAATGGAACAGAATAGAGAACCCAGAAATAAACCCAAATACTTACAGCCAACAGGTCTTTGACAAAGCAAACAAAAACATAAAGTGGGGAGAAGACACCATTTTCAACAAATGGTGCTGGGATAATTGGCAACAAATGGTGCTGGAATATAGGAGAACAAAACTGGTTCCTCATCTCTTACCTTTTACAAAAATCAACTCAAGATGGATTAACGACTTAAACCTAAGACCTGAAACTGTAAAAATTCTAGAAGATAACATTGGAAAAACCCTTCTAGACATTGGCTTATGCAAAGATTTCATGAGCAAGAACCCAAAAGCAGATGCAATAAAAACAAAGATAAATAGCTGGGACCTAATTAAACTAAAGAGCTTTTGCATGGCAAAAGGAACAGTCAGCAGAGTAAACAGATAACACACTGAGTGGGAGAAAAATCTTCACAATCTATACATCTGACAAAGGACTATATCCAGAATCTACAATGAACTCAAACAAGTCAGTAAGAAAAAAATCAAACAATCCCGTAAATAAGTGGGCTAAGGACATGAATAGGCAATTCTCAAAAGAAGATATACAAATGGCCAACAAACATGACAAAATGCTCAACATCACTAATGATCAGGGAAATGCAAAACAAAACCACAATGCAATACCACCTTACTCCTGCAAGAATGGCTATAATCAAAAAATAAAAAAACAGTAGATGTTGATGTGGATGAGGTGAAGAGGGAACATTTCTACACTGCTGGTGGGAATGTAAACTAGTACAGCCACTATGGAAAACAGTGGGGCGACTCCTTAAAGAACCAAAATTAGAGCTACCATTTGATCCAGCAATCCCACTACTGGGTATCTACCCAGAGGAAAAGAAGTCATTATTTGAATAAGATACTTGCATACACATGTTTATAGCAGCACTATTCACAATTGCAAAATCATGGAACTATCCCAAATGCCCACCAACCAACAAGTGGATAAAGAAACTGTGAGATCAATTGATCTATCTATCTATCTATCTATCTATCTATCTATCTATCTATCTATCTCACAGTTATATATATATATCTCACCATATATATGTTATATAAATATCATATATGTTATATAAATATCATATATATTTATATGATATTTATGTATCATATATATTTATATTTTATATATTTATATATGTGATGGAATACTACACAGATATAAAAAGTAATGCATTAACAGCATTTTCAGTGACCTGGATGAGACTGGAGACTATTATTCTAAGTGATGTAACTCAGGAATTGAAAACCAAACATTGTATGTTCTCACTGATATGTGGGAGCTAGCCTATGAGTATGCAAAGGCATAAGAATGATACAATGGACTTTGGGGACTTGGGGGAAAGAATGGGAAGGAGTGAGGGATAAAAGACTACAAATTCGGTGCACTGTGTACTTCTCAGGTGATGAGTGCACCAAAATCCCACAAATCACAACTAAAGAACTACTCATGTAACCAAATACCATCTGTACCCCAATAACTTATGGAAAAAAGAACCCATTTTCTGGGGATGAGGCATGTATAATTTCCCCTAAAGCACAGAACTGTGCAGATGAAAGTGGACACCTGAACAAAGTAGGCATTTGCCTGGAGAAAGAATAAATCTGCTCCATGCCACTTTTACACTGATTAGATTGTTCCTGACTTATGACACACTCTTCAAAATACTTGCACATCTATTATTCCATTTGTACTAAGAGTCTAACCAAAACAAAATGAAGCTCCAATCTCATCTTTTAGAATAGATAAATGAAACTTGTATTTATTCCCCCTTCAAGACTCAGTTCTAAATTGTTTCAATCATTTATTCAACAATAATCTGCTGAACCTCTATTCTGTGGGAGGCTTTTCAGGGCAACTGAGAGGGAATAAAATTAAGATTCTTGTTCTTATTACTTTACAATCTAGTTTGGAAGACAAATAAAAAGTGATAAGTTAAATAACCACAGAAGATAGAAACAGTGGTTCTACATAACTCTGCAAAGCTGGCACAGGTGAGGTTATGATTAATGGTTAAATGACAGTAAGTACCACAGCAGTTCAGAGGAGGACAAGATACCTGCAGGCTGGAACAAGCTGAGAAAGCTTTCCAGAAGAGGAGGGATTATAGATGGATCTTGACAGATAGGATTTGCAGAGACAAACAGGAGCAAGGGAGGGCCCCAGCTGCAGCATCAGGAACTATTTGAACAAAGTCATGGAGCAGTAAAATATTTGCTTGTATCCAGGAAGTAGGGCAGACTGTTCAAATACGGTTTTTTTTTTCACCCACTCATTAGCTTAATATTTTTTGTGGCTTATTATGTCTTAGGCAACTGTTATGGGAAACAGGGATACTGTAGGAAACCAGACAGGTAAAAATTCCTGTCCTCATACAGGCTGTGTTTTAGTAGAGGAAGATAGCCACATAAATAAGGAAAATATATCTAATGTCAAATATAACTGGGAAAATAATGAAAAGGGAGAGGCAGTATGATACAGAAGGCATTGTGATTCTGGGGATATCTAGACCTGGGGGTCTGAACTGGCTTTTCTGACACATGTATGCAAAGATACAGAGCAGGGTCAGATTGGCCTCAAAGGTTTCAAGGCAGATGATGGGGGCAAGGCTGTAGAGGAGAAGATAGGGTGGGGGTCTTGCCAGGAGTATGCAGAGATCAAGGCCCCCTCTTTATTCCTGCCAATGGCGAGGGAGAGCCTAGAGAAGGCTCAGACTTACCCAGAGCTCATGAAACTTTTGAGGTTCTTCCATACTTCTGCCATGGAGAGGAAAAGTTGAAAGGGAGTGTCTTACTCTTATGCACCGTAGGAGTTATGGCTGGAAAAAGAGGTTGGAGCCAGGTTACAGAGGGCCTTCAAAATCAGAGTGAGGAGATTAGGTGTGGCCTCAGTGAACTAGAAGATGGTTCAAGTCTTGTTGGTTTGTATGTCAGTTTGTCAGCATGATAAAAGCAGTGTGTACAATGAATCAAGTATTCCTTAAGTATCTTACAATTTGTAAAATTCCTGATGTGTTATAAAACAGAAGAAAACATGAAACGGGATAGCAAAAAATTGTGGACTATTTAAAATGTGTAAATTTCATAAATGAAGGCTTTCCTTAGGTATGAACACAATGTAATATAATTGTGCTTTTCATAAGATGTTACAAGATTTATTTTAGAAAAGTTAGTTCAAAGTGCACTTTTGATAGTAGGTTCAGTCACGGGACTGTTATTTAAAGTTGTGTGACAAGTGCCTTCTTTCAATCCTGTCAGCATGTCTCTGCAGCTGTGTGTGTAACCTCATCTGAGTGTAATAACCCTCTACTTTGGGCTAACCTTCAACTCTTGCTGATTTTCCGGTTGTTCATTGTTGGCCTTTTATCATTCTCTGTCCTCTGCTGTCAGTGTCCTTTTGACTTTTTTTTTTTTTTTTGGTTAATGACTTCTGACTAACTCCATTGCTGTTGTGACCCTCATGTTTTATCTGTATCCCAGTTTCCTGGTTCTGGCTGCCTGCCTGTTTCCCTTGACCTGCTGTCATTTACAACCTGGCATGACAGATGGCCATAGGCTAATGGCAAGGGCACTCCATCAGAGCCTTGGCTGTGCCGTCACTGAAGACGCGTGACAGGCAGCAGAGGGGAAAACATGAATAGGCAGCATGATGCTTTCCACGGCTCCGGTACAGTGCCAATTCTTGGCTGGACTGTTTGTTGCCCACCTGAATGAATCACTGTAAATGAGACTTTGCGTAAACAGAATCTCCCTTTGGGTTATACTACAAATTATTTTAATTCAGTGCATGCTTAAGTACCACAGCAGTTCAGAGGAGAACAAGATACCTGAGGGCTGGAATGAGCTGAGGAAGCTTTCAGGACCAGTTGTACACAAAGCTGCGCTGGGTACTGTGAGGGATGACACAATACAAAGATGACATGACATTGTTACTGCCCTCAAGGAGCTTACAGTCCAAGGAGGGAGATGCCCA
Source organism: Homo sapiens (assembly GCF_000001405.40). NCBI lineage: Eukaryota > Metazoa > Chordata > Mammalia > Primates > Hominidae > Homo > Homo sapiens. Next base: position 119,495,993 of record NC_000006.12, read on the forward strand.
TATAGGCAGCAAATTATAAGTCAAGATGGGTAAAGTCCTGTGGCAGACATCCAAATCAAGCCTCAGGAAGCACAAGGATGAAGCCATAAACTTGACCAGGTGAAGGATACATGGAAGACTGTAGGTTGTAGCTTTAGTTTTGATGGCTGTTTGTGGGCCTTGAGAACCACATTCATGGCAGTTGTCCCTGCTAATTGTTTTGAATAGTTTAGCAGTCATTTCAGCTTTAGATAGAATCACCATAATAAAGAATTTATCTACTCTGTAGATGGAATTCAAAAGTCAGTCGTAATTATAGAAGAGGAGGAAACAATGTAAAAAGGGCAAAGAAGAAATAGCTCATTACGGTAAAACTGATATATATTAATCAATGAATGTTAATGTTGAAGGTCAAACAGTATGTAGACTATTTTAATCATTCCATTGTCAGGGACCCACTGGGCCAACTTCAATAAGCCATTTGTCATTTAACCATTTTAGGCTATAAGTTTTTCACTTGAAAACAAAAATGTCTGTTCTTTACTCATTATATGTGGCCAAGATTGATCAGAAAAACTCTTGAAAGTATTTTGAAGTTATGGAAAAAGACTTTTCGGAAGTACACTATATGAATTACTTAAATGCTCCAACTGATATTCCTAGAGCTTATTTTTAAATAACTGTATTATCAAAACAATCCACCTTATCTTTTTGATAAAAACAACGACAACAACCTAATGACAATTTTAACCCCACAGAAAATGTACAGGAAGATTTTCTTTGTAAAATGTAGTTAATAGCAGCTGGTTCACATTTTTCCTACCAATGTTTGCTCTGAGAAATGCTGTACATATATGAATTCATGTAGCTGGACATATGCATGTATATAAGCATCACCTGCTAGCCTGTTGTGCCACTGGAACTCCCATATACATGTATATAGAAAAATCATATCATCCTGTTTCATGTTTTGAGTCTCAATATGGACCCCAGTGTATAGAATGAGGTCTGCAGGAAATATAACTTTATTTTTCTAAAACCATAATTTCTATTTCAAGTGGGGTTAATTTATACTTATAAATACAAGCGTTCCTCCCATATCCCTCAGACTGATGACTGAGATGTAGGGGTCTCCACTCTGTCAAGATGTTGGAAAGTAGCTTGTCTAGTTCCAAATGCTATCTGTCCTTTCATAGAGACATCAGAAAAGATATCTTTTATTTGTGTTTTGAATGATCCTAAGATAAAAACCAATTACCATCTTAAAATATCCCAAGGCATTAAATAATGTATTATTTTACTGCAGTTCATTCTTTTAGGTATCTCGTTAAGTATTCACCCAACTGTTCTGTAGGTATGTAATATCTCTATGAAAAAAGAATGAAACTGCGGTAAATATAATCTGAGTTTCAGTTATTTTTAGATATACCTGATGGAGCCATCTTAAATCCTTTATGCAAACAGATATAGATATAAATAAATAAATAAATCATATGACTGATGAATTTGTAAATTACATTATTTATAATTTTATTTCCTCCAGGAGAATTTTAGGAAGCTAACAGAAATTAATACAGTAATATATCATTAAAAAATTCATAAGTAAGTTTATGGAAAATTGCCAGAACTGGGTTGCCAATTTGCTTCTGAGATTTTTAGTAGTCAAAGCAAAGAGGAGATCACGTTCTACTGAGGGATTCATGTGTCAACACAGTACTGTTCAGAGGTAGCACAATTTCCCCACCATTGGGGCCTCACAGAGAGGTCTCTGGCACTTCTTCATATATGGGACCTTAAGATTTTTATGGGCAATATCCTTAGTGGAATTTCTAAAAATTATCTAATACTATCAAGTGCAGTTCATGAAAGGTGATTTTCTAAGGGGCCAAAGCCATGTTTTTCAAGTCCTGAGTTCTTTGCTGGTGTGGCTTGAACCAGGAATGGTTTTTTTAAGACATCCAGAGGAGTAGAAGTCAAGTCAGCATTCAGTTGAACTGAACACTTCGATTTTGATTGAATGGAGGTCAGGGGTGTCCATCCAACAAGAACACATCCCAGCATAATGTTGGTATTTAGGAGCTCCTGTACCACTAATTGGAATCTAGTTGCTGACACACTTAGTTTAGAGTAAAAAACATTACATTATGACCTTAGAGTTGAGAGCAAAGCAGTCTTGGAGCCCAGGACAAGTAGAATGAAAAGCAAATTTGTCACCTATGTAATTTATTATGTCGCTTTCAGTTAGTGCTATTATCAGAGGGTACCATCTGGTCACTGTCTATTTTTACTGGTTATTTTTGCAGCTAAGTGCTGAGCTCACTTGTTTCTGTGTTGCTGAAAGGGGACATATACTGTAAACAAGTAAATGCCACATATTTTAAAAGGAACAAATTTAAATATATATGTAATATATATAAAATTATTACTTGATTCTAAATTCTAAATTGTGATGGCCCAAGACAAATGCCTAGGTACTCTAGTCCACTGTAGTCACATCCCAAAGTAAGCGCCTCAGAGCTTTGTGAATGTCTCCTGTTTCAGATCTGATCTCTTGTATCCTAGCCACACTCGTATCTCAGAAACCTGAGAATCAAAGTCCTTGCTGGTATATTGATTTTTATGAATTGCAAAGGTTTATTTACTGTTTGGCTCTGTATCACTTTGCAAGTTTCCTGGAAGCACAAAGTATTTATTTGACTTAGACATATATTTTTAAATTTTAACTTTCAAATATTTTAAAGTTTTTTTTTGGTAAATACAAAAAGTGTAGAGAATTATTCTTTACCATATATCCACCAATCAGCATTAACAAAGGGTGACTTTCTGTCATATTTTCTTCCATCTTTTTGTTGGGAGAAGAAGAGTTGAATTATAATTTACGTACAATAAGATATATAAATCTTAAGTGTGTGGTGTGAGGGATTTTGACAATTGTATGAACCCATTTAACAACCACCCAAACTAAAATATATGACAGTCTCATTAGTCCAAAAAGTTTCTTCATTCCACTTTTCAGTCTATTCCCTGCCCCTCCAGGGGCAACCACTTCTTGACTTTTCTGTCATAACAGATTATATTTTTCTGTTTTGGGACTTCATAATAAGGGAAATCATCCAAAGGATATTCTTTTGTGTCCATGTTCTTTCAGTTAGCATAATATTTTTGAGATCTACTCATGTTGGTGCATATTATAATTTACTTATTTTCATTGCTAATTAGTATTTCATTGCATTTGTCCATTTTCCTTGTTGATGTGTGACATTTAGTTTGTTTCTAGTTAAGGCTACTGTGAAGATTCTTGTACAAATAAGTCTTTTTGTGGAACTATGTTTTCGTGTTTTTTTTTGGGTGGGATGGTGATGGTGGTATAAATACTTAGGAGTGGGATTGCTGGGTCAGAGGGTAGGTGTATGTTTAACTTTATAGGAAAATGCCAAACTATTTTTTAAAGTGGCTATGGCATTTTACAGTTTCACCAGTAATATGTGGGAGTCCTAGTTGATTCACATCCTCCTCAACATTTGGTATTGTCAGTCTTTTCAATTTTAGCCATTCTAGCATTTTTAATTTGCATTTTTCTGATGACTAAAGATGTTGAGTGCCTTTTCATGTACTTATTGGACATTCGTATGTCTTCTCTTTCTAAGTGACTGTTCAAGTGTTTTTTATTGCTGTTTTTCATTTCATTGTCTTTTTATTACTAAGTTGTAGGAGTTTTTTATATTCTGGAAACAAGTCCTTTGTCAAACATACATATTGCAAATATTTTTCCCCAGTCAGGTACTTGACATTTTCATTTTTGTCTATACCAATTTGTAAAGATGTTCTCCAATTTTTTTTTTCAAAAAAGAAACTTTAAAGTTTTAGCTTTTTTCAGCTTGAATTAATTTTCTCTATGGTTTCAGGGTTCTCATTTTCTTCTCTCATCTGGATGACTAGTGATCACAGAACCATTCATTGAGAAGATTTTCTTTTCCTGTTCAAATATTTTCTTTGACGTCTTCATTGAAAAATCAATAGATTGGTTTAGTGTGGTCTATTTCTGAATTCTCTATTCTGCTATATTGACCTATTTGTCTGTCCTTATGCCAATACAATTCTATCTTGATTACTGTAGCTTTTCTTTAAGTCTTGAGGTTAGGTGGTCTAAGTCCTACACCTTGTTTTTTAAAGACTGATTTGGTTATCAAGGATTATTGTATTTCTAAGTAAATTTTAGAACTGGCTTATAATATTCTATAATATAAGACAGCTTCTTGGGATTATAATTAAAATCGAATCAACAAATTAATTTTGAAAAAATTGACACTTTAATAATATTGATTCTTCCAACCTACTATCATAGTATATCTCTTTATTTAGATCTTTGAAATATTTTCTCAATTTTTAAAATCAGTGTAGATGTTATGTTTTTGATGCTATAATAAATGGAATTATTGTTTAAATTTTACATCTAATTGTTTGGTGCCAATGTACAGAAATACAACTGAATTTTTCATATTGACCTTGTATTTTATGATACTGCTAAATTCACTTAGTAGTTTCAGTAGTAGCTTTGTAGATTTCTTAGGATTTACTTTATTACAATTATTTCATCTGAAATTAAAGATAATTTTATAAAATCCCTTTCAATCTTTTTCTGTCTTTTGTTTCTTTTATTTTGTTTACTGTAAAAATGGTAACATTCCATTATATTTGCTTCAGGTAATTTTTCTTTTTCATGGATTGTATCATATTACCTTATCCATGTTATTCTTGTAGCTCTAAAACTCTCTTAAGATGTCCATATTTCCATTTCTGCTTGTAGATTAGTCATATTTGCATTGATAATCCATAGCATTTTAAAGTATTCATGTTAGGGAGGCTCAATGCAGAGCATTTTCATCTATGATTAATAAGAGAAAATTAAAATACACATTTTTGGGGAGGGCTATCCTTTACAGTCAGGAAATAGCAAAATTCTAAGTGGATAGTAAATTCCAAGGCAGGGAATTTAGTGCAAAATTACCTGAATAAGTGAATTGCAAATAAATCCAGAAGTGACTATTTACTACTCAGAAGTGCCAGACTCTTTCTAAGGGCATCTTGACATTGCCTAATTGTGGAGATGTAAAAGTCCTATAAATTGCAAGTCATTGATATAACAGTTTTATTTCGTTCATTTAAAATGATAAATTGATAGAAAAAATTTGTTCATGGCAGCAGATGCTCCCTCATATTACAGCAATTATAAAGAAGACCTCTTCATTCCCCCTACAAGTTACAAAATGGATCATTGCATACAAGTTCTAATCATAATTTTACCTTAAAAACTTACAATTGATTTAATTAATCAATTCATATGTGAAGTACTATTTTCTCTAAATTAACTGAGATTTCTCCTAGAAACAATAAGACCATCAAATGATAAATTGAAATTGCTTTACCAATATATAGTTCATGAAATAAATGGAAATCTATTTCATAAGAAGAAAATACTGATAAAATGCTGAAATCTTATCAGATTATTACTTTTCTGAATCTATGTGCTTATCCATCCACTTGCTTATCTATGATAGTTCATATTTGAAATAAAATTTATGTTATATAAATACACCAAGACTCAACCTTTAAATACAATTAATTTTAGTTCTTAAAAATTAATGGGTGACAATGAAAAATTTGTGCAAGGGAAAAATGCATTCTGTATGTTAAAATCTAGTATTTATTTTCAATTAATTGATGGTCCTAAATATGTGAGGATCTGTAGCACTGGATATGCAACACATAACCTTTAGGGCAAAGGTTTTTGTCATGGATGTCACATGAGACTCATCTGTGGTGCTTCTAAATATCTTGATGTCTAAGTGACACTTCCTTCTTCCCTGTGAGATTCATGTCATTTGTCCATATCAAGTTTTCTCCATCCTGGTCACTGGCACCGCTGTATTAGTGTGCTATTGCTACATAACAGATCACCACAAAGTGAGTGGCTTAAAGCAACAATCACTTATTAGCTCACAGATTTGTAGGTCACAGTCCAGGTAGGCTTGATTAGCTTCCCTGCTCAGGGTCTCACAAGGCCAGAATGAAAGTGTGGCTGGGCTGGGCTTTTTCCTGGAGGATTGATGATGGGGGTTGGGGAGGATAACCTTCCAATCTGATTTTGTAATTAGCAGAATTTAATTCTCTGCTTGTAGGACTGAGATCCCCATCTTCTTGCTGGCTGTTGAAAGTGAGTTGACCTCATCTTCTACAGTCTGTACTCAGGTCCTTCCCATGTGCCTGCCTCCTTCTTTGAGCTAGCATTGGAGAGCTTCTCATGTACCAAAACCTCCCTGTGCTTCTACTCTCTGACTTCCTCTTTGCAACCAGCTGGACAAGAGTTTCAGTTTTGAAACGGTTCATGTCATTAGGTTTGACCCATTTAGATAATCTCCCTGTTTGTAGGTCAACCGATTAGTAAGCTTAAATACATCTATAATTGCATTATGCTAGGTAGTGCAACCTAATCACAGGAATAATACCGTCTTTGAGGTATGAGGACCATCTTTGAATTCTGCCTACCTTGCCCACCAACCTCCAGGCCATGTCCCCATATCAGCTAACCACTTGAGCATCAGCCTCCAAATTCCTTCACTTTGCTTAAATGATATTAATCTCTAGACCTTGTTATCATCATTGAGAAATACTGTATATCTGAAGTCTGAAAACTTGTTTTCTACTCTTGGAGAATTGTCTCCTAATTTTTAAATTATAATCCATATTGATTTTATCATGAGGTGTAGCATAAAGGAAAGGCAGAAAGTTAGCAATGGGTGCAGCCAGTGATATGGGGATTGACTTTGAATTCCAGGAGGTTTGGATGGTTTAGTTCCGCAGAGAAGTAGCAGGTCATTCGCTGTGTTCAAGAGACAAGGCTTAGTGTTGATACCTAAGAGTTCGCTTGCATGGCTAGCGCACAAAAGCTGGAGTTTTTGGCTTCAGTGATGCTGAAATAAGTCGAGTGGTCATGTTTTGGGACTGAAGGTCACTCCGGATTGAAGCTGGATCCCAACCCAGCAGGTGACAGCTTAGCGACTAAGTTCCATGTTGGGTGTGAAGGCTGTCCGGGATTAGGTGTATTGTTAGCATTGCAGGCAATTGTTTAGCATTATGGCAGGTCTCCACTCTCACTTTGGAGCTTCTGAGGAATCAGGAATTGGGGTATAGAACTGGGCAGCCACTGGAGGAGTTGGGGGAAGACTGTGGCTAAGGTGAATATGGAGGCTGGGCTTCAGACAGCAAGATTATTTTAGATCCCATGTGCTGGAAGGACAAAGTCTCTAATAATCTTCTGGGCTTGTAGTCTAGACCCAGTGACTACATCAGGCTAAGTGTGCTATCTAAACATCTAATTCCTCTAGCTGGATGGGGCTAGGAAGGGCAAGACCAACACCCTCTGGCTTTCTAGTCTCGCTGAACTTCTCTCTCCACAGCCTCCTGCTTGGTCCTTTCCCCATGTGGGAATTGAGAAAAGGGTCTCCTCTTCTAGTTCATCCCACAGGGACTCAGTGGGGTGTGAGGTCCTGGATGCCTTTATCCCCTGGTCACACTGCAGATGGTAAGCAAGTGGATGGATACCAAGTCAGGTCCTGGGGTGGGAAGTGCTGAAGTCAAAACACAGAAAGTGGATCCAAACCTAGGAGCCTATCAAGAGGGGTCAGCTGAGCAATGGTAGCCAGGGCACAGGGTGAAAGGAAGGGGTTAAAGAACCAGGAGAGTTAGGGCAGCAGAGAATGGGAGGCAGACTTGATGAAATGCAGGCCCCTAGGCCAATTAATTAATTAATTAATTCATTTCTCTCTCTTTCTCTGTCTCCTTCTTTTTAAATATTGTCAGTGCATTTTAATATGAGTCAGCCAGAGTAGGTAGACACATCTATATGCATCTTTTACATCATTATATTCTCCAGTGCTTAGGACAACTTTTTTGAATACTTAATGATAATTTAAATTTACAAAAGCGTAATAAGAGAGATAAAAAAGATTTTGTTCACAATCAGGGCAGAAATATCATCCTAGGCTTGTATAATAATAGGATTTTAGCACTATCTTCCTCAAAAATGATTGGCAGCTAACAGTAGGCCCAAAGTATAGTTACTATGGGTGTTACTTGCATTTCGTTTTGTGAACTTATAGTTGAGTTAAGCATTGTAAATGTACATGGTTTATTCCATTGCAAGGGGGAAATTCCTTTCAGCCCGTCCTGTTCCTGTTCTTATAGAGCTCTTGCAAGTAAAAGCTTGTCAAGTATTGTTACAGAGAAGTGCTTTAACAGAGTGTGCCCAGTTGATTGTTTCAGTGGCTCTGCTGATGTCCAGATCAGTAAACCCTCTTCCCTTTGGGGTCTGACTCTGGAGGTGCCCATGAAGTAAGAGTCACAAGACTACTGTATACCCTTTACAGCAAAACCAGATAAGGTCATGTCATGGTAATGTCATGCCACACCCCACAGGGCACCCAGTGTTCCAGAAATGCTATTAGAGAGTTTGAAGAGCTGCTCAGGTTGGGGTGGTCAATTTATGTTTTCAGAGGGCTTTGCTGTTTTTTTTCTGAGCAAGAATGTGGAAAGCTGGCAGCACCAGTGGCCTGCTGTGGCCTGAAGTTTGCTGGTAGTGTTTGCTTCACCTTTCTCACCTGGCCCAAAGTGAGAGCACAGGCCTCATTCCTACCTGGCTCTCAGCAGCACTATTGGAAACAGCTGTGTATCATCAATTCCCTAATAATTCCTGAGAGACTGATGCATTTCTGTAAGAAGCCTGATTTACATGGTGTGACTACAAATTAAAAAGATGGATTTTATTCTGGCTTGTTGAAATTATATTTTACAGACAATGTTTGAAACAACACTTATCAAATGCTCTGTGGTCTACTTACTCCCAGATATTAATCTCTGCCTGCAGTGCTGCGAGGCGCTTTTCCTCATGAAAAATTCCATTCTTGTGAATTTAGTCTATTCATGTGGAGTCAACCTTATAGGACTATTATTGCCTTCTCTTTTTTGAGAGAATAGAATAAAAAAAGAAAAGGCATTGGCAACTCATTGTGTGGCCCGGTTCATAGAAAGGGAGACAAATGATCTTTTCTTATTTTTTAAAGATATACAAAGCTCTACTAAAATAGAACTTCGTATTACAGGTTGCAGTTATTAGGAGGTAATAGGGTTTCTACCTTCTCATGATAAAGGCTTCCTATGTTAACACCACCTACTGTATAATGTCTTGGCATGATATGCAGAATTTTCTTTGTTATGTAGTTAGTGAATGGCAGCTTTTCCCTCATGCATTCCAATTTTCAGGCTAAGATAACTGTGAGTTCTAAGAATGTAAGCTTGCATTCTCCTTAGGAACAGTGAGCAAGGCAGTAAAAGAGATACTATTTTTAGATTTCTTGTTGATCTCTTGTTTTATTATATGCCACATGTACATTATTCGGAAAACTTTCCTAAAACATGAACATGAATAAATAATTTAATCCTTTACCATCAACCTAATATTTCTAGAAAAATGCGTGGAGGAAGAAAGGAGGCATAAGGTTCTATGGCCTTCATTCTCAATCTTCCTGGCCCCACACTCCCGACATCTATAAACTTACAACTTCGCCTAGACCCTGTTCCCGATGACTCAGAAAGACAGGGTCAATGGATGTGACCAAGGAGACAAACTTTTTGAGATTCCCAAAGCTTCCTGTACTGGGGAACGGGAGTGAGTGCTGAGGAAAGAAAATTTGTCTCTAACACAGGGATTGATTTGAATTATGGCTGTGGGACATAGGGATTTGTTCTTACTAATTAGTTGATAATGGTGACTTAAAATTTGCGTAGGGCAAAATTCTTTCTTTTGGCAATCTCATTCTTATGAAGGAAAAGTTTTCCTCCCACCTCCTATGCAAATTCTTCCTTTCTTCCCTTGAATTGTAATCTTTCTATATTAGCTATTTAGAAAATGTTTATTTGGAAAATGTTTATTGACTATTAGGACCTAGGAGTAGTGGCAAATTGTTTCCAACCAAATTGCTCCAAATCTTCATTTTGATTTGAGATCAGAGGGACAATCGAGGAGTTATTGGATTTCCATAACATCCTTAACAATTTCAGAGTTTTTTTTTTTTTTTTTTTGAGATGGAGTCTCACTCTATTGCCCAGGCTGAAGTACAGTGGCACAATCTCGGTTCACTGCAAACTTCGATTCCAGGGTTCAAGCGATTCTCCTGCCTCAGCCTCCTGAGTAGCTGGGATTACAGGAGTGCACCACCACGCCCGGCTAATATTTGTATTTTTAGTAGAGACAGGGTTTCATCATGTTGGTCAGGCTGGTCTCGAACTCCTGACCTCGTGATCCACCTATCTCAGCCACCCAAAGTGCTGGGATTACAGGTGTGAGCCACTGTGCCCGGCCTTGAGAGTTTTAAGTAGTGAAAAGATTTTTAGTTTTAAAAATTTTCAGATTCATGTTGCAAATTAGGATGGACTTAGGGAAATATTGGTGTGTTGGAAAAGTATAAAATATAGTTCTGAATGTCTTTAGTGTAGGACAGTAGAACAGTAGATCAATAAGATTCAGAAATAATAGAATAATAAACCCATTTTTACTTTTAAAATATGGGAGACATTTCACTCTGCTTGTTATATAGAATAGATTGGAGGAGAAAACATTGAGAATATCATGAAGTTTTGTGTTTTTGACTTAGGATTCTGTTTAGAATGCTGATTGTCATTCACATTTTATGCATGTAAAACAATAAGAGTTTTATAAAACTACAAAGTTTATGAGAGGATTAGGCAGGTTTTACTTTTATAGTCATAATGTGTTCAAATGCATTTGCATCAAATGGTAGATATAATTTCTCTTTGTAATTGAAGTTTAAATTCCAGCATAAATATAGTGCTTAGAAAACTATTTTATGAGCCTTTCTTTTATAAGGATCCTGCATGAAAAGAAGGTTACACAGCTGGAGATTGTTTAGAGACAATTAAGACTTACTGGCTTTTCAGCTGGTGAGAAAAAGCAGGACTCTGAGACTCTTGCCATCTTGAAATTGTTACTCAGGTGAGTTTCCTTTACAACACCAAGCTCTTTAGTATTTTTTAAAAATTATTTAGCATCAGAAACTTAAGAGATGATCCATTGGAATTTAAGTTCATTATGAATGCAAAGTGCACATTTGACTTTAACATGATTCATCTGGGTGAATCTGAGACCCTAGCCATTTTTTCAAGACTATTGCTCACCTCTTTTCCTAAGGCAAATATTCAAGTATGCTGCTGGTTTTTAGCACTCTCTGCTTCCTATCTCTCATCCTCTGAAGTGGTACCCCACTCCCTTTAGATTTGAACATCTACCTCCTTCCCTTCTCTCCTCCAGCCTAGGAAAAAGGATGCCCGATCCAAATACCCTAATAAGGAAATAATTTTGTTTGATAGCCAAAATACCTCTGATAGGGGCAAGGGTTTTACGGATGACTCTTACAAGTGAGGAGCTTTCAGAATCTGTTGGTAAAGTATGTTTCATTGAAGGGATATTTCCGGTGGCTCACAAATCAGATCTATATTTTCACAAAACCCCAGAGAATAAGATGTTTTATAGTTATACACTTTAATTTGGCTGTTGGCTTGATCCACTGCTAGAGAAACCCAAAAGTGACCCCAACACTCAGGTGCAAATAGATTACCTGAAGAAATCTATGTTTTAAGTGCTTTTATTAATGTGTCTACTAAGAAATTTGACTTGTCTTATTCTTATTAGTGTGAATATGGATATTATACAGGTAAGGATGAATCTATGTTACAGAAGTTTGATTTCCCACTTGAGATTTTTTCCCCTTATTAAATTTCTCTAAATTTTAAGGTGACAGAATGTATTTCTTGACACGTAGTTCAAGGCAGGCTGAATACTAAGTTAATTAATTTGTCTTATTTTACCAGTTCTATGTGTCTATTAACTTAGTGTGGGGGGCATATATTGAACTTGTCTTTGATTTCCTGTTTCATGCAGGGATGAGAGATGGTGTCACAAATGCTTCCATCTCTACTTTGCTTCTGCTTGACATGGTTTTGTTCTCTTTGACAGACATTCAGTGGCAAAAAGTAGCATAATTATTAATTTCCCACTTGACATTGTGAACATTTCAATGCTAAGTTAGCAGGTAAAAATGTCACAATCTATTTCTCTTATATCTACTCATGAACTTCAAAGGGTTCTTAGCAATTGTTCTTGAGTCAGAAGGAAGACTACTGTGACATGCAGATACCAAGTAAAATTAACTTTGTTAACAGTACTTGACCTTTCTCTAAAATACTCAATTTTCTCAGATACTTTCTTTCATGATGATAGTTAGAAAAAAATTAAAATTCATTGTCTTATATTGCATGTGTTAACTGGAAAGAAATTACTTTAGCAACAGATGCACATCGGTCCGTCACATATTGAGAAAACTCTACTCCCTGGGGCTACAATAACTAAGCTGTAGAGGTACAAAGAAATACCAATCTGTTTTGCTGAAGTGATATATAGTGAGAGACAATTACTTCTTACAAATGCACTGCTGATTAATTGGCCTTAGAGAGTTACGTCTCAGTCATATTAACTTCAGTGTTACTGCAGTGAAGAGCATTGGCACACAGGTATGGAGAGGGAACCTAGTTTTCAGATTATCATGACCTTACAGCTCAGCCTAATAGAAATATAATGCTTACTGGATTCAAAAGGACTTTTAGTAGCCACATGAAAATTAGACACGGGGAATACATTTTTATAATGTATTTTATTGGACTCAGTATATCCAAAATATTATCATTTTGACATTTGGCATTAGTCACTTTTCCAGTGCTCAGTAGCTGCCTGTGGCTAGTCATTATTCTATTGGCCAGCATAGCTCTCAGGATCTTCGAGCTATTTGAGTTGCCAAATGCAAAGCCTATTCTCTAACCCAAATCTTGTGTTCATGTGGAACATATTGAAATATTATTTAGGCATTGTAAATATCGTATTTTGCCTTTCATTGGTAGTTCTAGCTCTCTCTCTCTCTCTCTTTTTCATTAGCTGTGATCCGGATAGAAAGAAAGAGGTTTATCTGAATGCGATTGGTGTGGTGGAGACAATCCTGGGACAAGTGTTCAGACTACTGTAGTTTGTCAGGGTCATTTACTAGTGACAGGGACTATTTGAGCTAACCTCACTGCGTGTAATTTCCTTATCTAGAAAATAGAAATACTGTAATAAACTCCATCTAGTGTAGTACCATGTGTAAGTAGGCATATAAAAGTACTTAAAAAATAACTGTGAAGAGCTGATTAGTACAAGGTACTTTTTGGGCTAAAATTGTTTAAGACATGTTAAAATAGTTGGAGTAATTCTTTGGGGGAACCTTGACTGGAGGCTTTATGCTTGATCCTAAAGAATTCTTTCATATGAGGCTACTTTCTTCCTCTGGTTTCTGTGTCAATCTCTCCTTTAAACTTCTGGGTCAATTTTCATTCTTCTTCAAAACATCAATTTTAATTTTTTAAAAATTCACTGTCTGCTTGGTATAGGTATTGGGCTGAGTGCTTTGTATACATCATCTCATTTAATCCTTATGACAACTCTACAGGTTTTGCTTAATTGTATGGATGAAGATGAAGCACAGAGAGATTAAGTAACTTGCCCAACATCCCATAGATTATAAGCTGCCATTTAAGCCAGGTCATCTGAATCCAGAGACTGTGTCCTTGAGCTCTAGACTGACTACTGCCCATCTTAATTGCTGGTGTGCTGTGCTGCTGAACTACAGCAGGCAGGACAGGACAATATTAAATTGATAATAATAAACTTTTGAGTGAAATTTTGTTTTACCATACTATAGTGGTTTTTCAACGCGGGTGGGGGGGGAGCATAAATAACTGTAAATGACCAAAATATCATAAAAATGACTGGAGATTTCTATAAGTTTAGTGAAGACAATCCTACGGAGAGAAAAAAGAGAATTCTCTGTGTCATTGAAACATTTAAAAGGAGAGAAATTTTCTAAGTTTTCTTTAGAGACTGGTCAAGTTACAGTCAAATTTCAGTTTTTAGAGATATGGTGAAACTGAAATTTTGATTCTTGATATTTTCATGAAAAAATGTATTTGGAGAAAGACTATGAATGTGGATAACAGATGTGAGTTTAAGATAGAGTGGTGACAAAAAGTACAAAACTTCATTCTCTATTTTTGTCTGTATGGTGTCTCTAAAATGAGAAGTAAACAAATTAACAATAATTTATTGCACACACAATCTTTTTAGGGCATGGTTGGGTATAAAAATATGACAGCAATATTGTAGGTACTTGCTATCTTATTGGAGAGCTAAAGCACACCACATGGAAAGCCAGGCAATGCAAAAAGGAATAAAAGATGTGGGATGTGATTACTGGCTAACAGAAGGGTCAGGCGATACTTCCTACTGTGGTCAGGATAAGGTGAGAGCATTGAACTGGGAGTGCAATGGTAGAGCCTCTAGTGAGAGCTGGGACAGATAAGGGCCAGAGAGATGGTATAGGGTTTGGAAAGTCAACAAAGATGAGAGAGTAGATCAGATACTTAAGAAGGTATGTGATTGACTTAAAAAAATTTCCTGGTGGTAAAATACACAGGACATAAAATTTATCACCTTAACTGTTGTTGATCGTAGAGTTCAGTGGTATTAAATACATTCATAATGGTGGGCAACCATCAGCACAGCTCATTTCAGTTGGTAAAAATGAAGCTCTATACCCATTAAATAGTAAGATACAGTATTGTCCTTTTGTGATTGGCTTATTTCACTTAACATAATGTCCTCAAGTTTCATCTTGTGTTGTAGTATTACAAATGACTTATATGTCATGATTACAATATGGCAAGAAGGTGGGAGGAGACATAATTTATCTGTGTGTTCATGTAAACTTTCATAACAAAAATGACTCTCAAATGGCTCCAAAATGCAGGAGAGTGAGACCATTTGCCAGATGACTGACCTCATTGAGATGAAGCTTTGATCTATCAGGATTGAATAATTTATCCTTAAGAAAATATATGTTTTAGTTACATGGAAGTGAAACTTAATTATAAACAGGATGAAGCTAGATGATCAGGAGGAAGGTCAAAAAACATCTCTGCTTGGTAAACTAGACCCTCCATAGGGTTGTGGAGTTCTTCAAGGCCGTGCTGGGACATGATAAAGTCACCTACCTTACCAGTCTTCCAAACCCTCACTGCTACAAAGATTACACTTCCTGAGATCATGTGATCTCCGTTGCTGTCTTCACCTGGCACTCTTCCAATCACTGTTTTCTGGTTCGTTCCCATTGATATGTTGGTTTTAGGTGCATGTACTTGTCACAAATTGAAGGCTCAATAATATAAAAGAAATGATTGCTATTGCAGATTGTAGAGAGGTAAACTTTATTTCACAAACCCAAAGGGATAATTTACTTTTCATCTCATCCCTGTCTTTCAAAATAGAGAACCTCCAGCAAATGGTATATAAAGGAAAACAGAGCAAACAAAATAGAGAAACTTTGCAATTTATTAACTCAAGCATGAAAGCACAGAAAATAAGCAGGGCTCAACTTAGTTGGAAAAATAAGTCTGAACTTATTGCATTAAAACATGGTGTTGCACTAATCTAATGAGTTTTAGGGCAAATGAGGCATGAAACATTGCCAAAATATAAAGTCAGTAAAATATCCAAATTACTCTTTAATGTCATTATGTGTTTTATTTTACTGGGAACTGGTAAAGAATAGATTATTCCTAAATATGCGTTACTAGCAAAGTAAGTAGAATTATTTTATAAAGAATTTATTATTCTGATAAATTGTCAATAGTGACAAGTCAAAAGCAACTGAAACTCCAACAAAAGATACACATGTGCCTAATTTAGAAGAAGGCATTAATGTAAGAACCTGCTTTTACTTCATTCATTCATATCCTAGGAATTCAAAATAATGCTAAAAGAGATAAAACATGGTAGTACATAAGCAATTTTGAGACCAGCATTAAATGATTAATATACTTTTAAGAAAAGACATAATTATCAGACACATCCATAAGACTCATTTAGAAAGAATAAAGAAAATATCCTTATCCTAGAGTTAATTCTAGAGTTATTCTATTACATTCTGGATATGGTTGAATGCAGCATTTCCTATAGTTTGAGTGGGATTAGTGAAAAGGTTTGGGTTATGTCTTCAGTAGTGAAAAATGAAAATGATTTATTCTAGAAGACCTGATTGTATTATAGTACTGTCAAATTATTAAAATATTGCCAAATTATGTACAGTTTAGTAAGAGGTGGCAGCTCATGAATTTTTTAAATCCTTATTTATACGGTTGTTTGAATCTATTTGTGTGCTATTTGTAATTATTTCTGATGATTGGTACTACTGGCTATTACATGACAAAACCTTTTTGAGAGGAAAATTAATCTTTCATCCTCCACATTATCAAAGCAAACTCGTCACTTAAAGCCATCTTAAGTGACTTCTAGTGGATTTAATTTTGTATTTATTCTGCCTAGGTTAAGCAAGACTAACTTTACAATTTTTACCTGTCCTAGCTATCTCCAGTGTGTATTGACAGTTCATTTGCTTTCGAATGGCTCTGAATGATTCTTCACAGTTGGATAGATGTGCTTATCTAGGAACAAGCAGGTTTCTTGTGTGCACTTGTTTCTGTCACCTTGTGCTGATTTAAATGCCCTTGGTGCTCTAGAATCATATTGCAGGAGAAGGGCATTAGAAAAAGAAGCTGGTGCAACAAGAAGGTGAGGATCCTGAATTTCTTTCTGACACGAATGAGAAGTTGCTCATTTGGTCTCTAGTCTACCACACCTCCAGGGGCCCAGCCAGAAACTCCATCATCATCCACAGTTCTCCATTACTCCCTCCTACAACCAGCTGGTACTTACCTAATCTTTGGTGTTCATGCTTTATCTTCATCCTTATACCAAAAATTGAGACCCTCCTCCTCCTCACTCCCTGACCTAGCTCTGCACCTTACTTTCTTGTCAAATAGAGCTACTTGCGCTTCCCTGAATGAGTTGTATTATTTCCGTCTTCATTTCCAGAAAGAAAACTAATGCCAGTGCAACTCATGCATTCCATCTGATCACCTGGCCTTTAAAAAGTCTGGTGAGATAAAATTTCCAGTTGACCACTACCAATAAGTTATAATTAGCATACAAACAGCAATGTACTTGACCAGAAAAGAAATCTGTCTGGACTTCTTCAAAATATGCCTATGATTTTTATGGTAATGGAGCACATGATTTAATTTGCCATTGAGTCTCCATGACAAGAGATGAAATCTTTAGTCCATATCTACACTGTTTACAGCCCTTGCTGGTATCAAGGGCAAATTGCTTTGGTTTTTTATGAATAAGTGTGAGAGAAATAAAATAAATCTATTCCTATATAAGTAAATTTGTTTAGCTGTTAAACAAAATTAAGCAGATATATTTACTGACGCTTTTCTTATGTGTTAATATGCATTGTGAACCTCCAAGAGGAAGACTTCATCAGGCAGTGTTTCCTATGCTTATGAGAGCATGCCTATCTCTTCTCAGGACACAGTCTGTGAGAGGCTGCTCTACCAAATGACGTGTGGAGGAGTTCATAATTCTGCCTACTGTGCAGTGAAATTTAAGCCCTGCCTTCCCGATCTTTAATTGGCTTAAATGTTGAATAGCCAAATTATAAACGTCAGATCAAGTATCTGTGAGCATATAATCAATACTAAAATACATCATTGTGCTTATCGAAGTTTTCCTGGTATAATGTGGACTTTTCTGTTCCGCTAATAAAAAGCTCCTCCTGGCCCCGTGTGGTGGCACATGACTCTAATTCTAGTACTCTGGGAGGCCGAGGCAGGAGGATCGCTTGAGCCCAGGAATTTGAGACCAACTTGGACAACGTGGCGAAACCCCACCTCTACAAAAAATACAAAAATTAGCCAGGTGTGGTGGCCTGTGCTCGTAGTCCCAGCTACTTGGGAGGCTGAGGTGGGAGGATTGCTTGAGCCTGGGAGATCGAAGCTGCAGTGTGCTGTGATCATGGTCACTACACTCCAGCCTGGGAGAGAGCATGAGAGCCTGTCTCAAAAAAAAAAAAAAAAAAGAAAGAAAAAGTTCTCCCAAATTAACAATGTAAATCATCAGAGAAAACAAAGAAAAGCACACTCTGCCTGGATTATTGTAATGTGGCTTATTTTTTTCATTGTTTTAGGGAGAGGCAGAAATTGGGGGCCCTTCTTAGACATTTTATTAGTTAGGTCACTGCTCCTTGCCTTTGCAAATGTTCCCTTAGTCTTTAATGTTATGATTCAGGGTTCTTAGCAGAGACTCATATGTGAAAAAACCTAGGAAAAGAAAAGGAAGAGTTACTGGCTCACACAAACTGAGGAAACCAGGGAAGGGCAGGAATATAACTCGAACCAGCCCTTGAATAGAGAAAAGACTCTTCCCCCGAGTTGCTCCTTTTCTCTGCTTTTGTCTGCCTGTTGGCTGCATTTTTTTCTCTGCAGTTCTGCTTTTCCACATGGCCTTGAATATGGCTGCCAACAGCTTATTGCCTGACATTTTCCTTGCTTTACCACCAGAGAGCTGAAGGCTCTATTTTCTTTCTTCTAATTTAGAAAACCAAGAAGGAAGATGCTGACCAGCCCATCCTGGATCACTTGCCACCTGGATCAGTCACTGTGGCCCCAAGGGTAGCACCATTTAGGAAGATGGCAGTTTCTTGTTAGAGCATCCCTCACTACAGAGAGGAAAAAAGCAATGCTCTATAAGACACAGGGTATAGCTCTGGAATGTGAATAATTCCTCAAATATTAAACAGCCCCTTTGAATGTCCCTTTTTCTTTCCTGGTTAACTCCATCACTTTCCCAGATCTCACCTCAGGGTACTAGGGCCCTAGAAGCTTTTCCCAGCCTCTCACTACCCCCAGCCAAGCTGTCCGAGAACCTGAGAGCTTTTGGTGGGTGAAGGGGAAAGAAAGGACATAGGAAGGATAACAGAGCAAGCAATGTTTTCTTCATTAACATACTAAAAGTTAGTTATGTTTTGGGGAGTCTCTCCCATGGTGTTGGTGTATAAAACAGGAACATCTGTCCCTTAACTTTATTGCTTGTAAAGGAATCAGTTTATCAGGGGTGATTTGTGTCTGTCTGGGATGATTTCTTAAATCTCTTCCAGTCCAGTGATTCTGGTAATTGTCCTTATGTCTGAGTCCTAGTACTTGTGACATTTAAGCTAGTTCCAAATTAGTTTTTTCTGTCCTCTTCAGGGAGAATGAAGAGGAGATGGGGGAGGAGGAATGATGCTTCTGTGTCTTTTCCTCCATCTGATGAACATTGCCAATGTGTGTCTGTCATTTAACTGAAATTTTGAGCATACTGATTCTGCTACCACTAGCATTTTGTTAGCTTACCTGATATCTGTGAGTGGATTAGATTTGTATAATTATAATAGATTCAAAAATGGAGTTATGAACTTCATTTGGTAGGGTTTACTTCAAATACACATGTAAATCAAATAGTTTTTATGTTTTATTTCTGCTAATGTCTACAATATGAAGTGAATATTTCATAAAATTTCAGAGTGTTAGAGGTATGTAGACATTTAGAAATCACCTGAATCAATACTGTCTTTTTCTAGAGATGAGAATGCAAATGTCCAGCATGAAGACACAAGAGTTAGTTGAAAAAGTAGGTATCTTGACTCCCTCTATGCCAGAGATTTTTCTAGTTTATATCTATGGCTCTTAAGTCTTAAATCAAGTAATTGGAAAGTAATTAGAAAAGTTATATTTCATCAATTTTTAAATATTAGTCCATGTGGAGAAGTCTAGATCACTGGGTTCCAAATTTAGGGTGGTTAATATAGAAACAGTATTAAAGGAGGAGTTGCCCCAGGGTTTTTTCCTCTTGAAATTACTTGATTGCAAACACAGTTTTAAATCTTCTTCTTTCCCCCTTCTTCTCTCCCTTCCATTCTTCTTCTAGTGTAATGATCATTTTAAATGGTCAGTATGCATCTTGGTGTCCAGTTGCTTGGAATTAAACATATGTCCCCAAGAAATGTACTTTTATTTTCAAGAAGGATATTGTTTAATTTAGGAAGAACAAATAAACTCACACAGCAAGATTTGTCAATAATAGATGAAAATCACAGAAGCCTGACATGGAAACTTCTCATTATTTATTTCAAAGTTGTAATGGATTTTTAGAAAAACAGAGCTTACATTTGCTTACATTTTTTGTAGTCTTTTATAGATGGTAAAACACTTTCATACATATACGGTCTTGTTTAATCAGAGTTGTCAGATTTACAAAAAAACAATACCCAGTTGAATTTGAATTCTAGGTACACAATGAATAATTGTTTTAGTGTAAGTGTGTTTCAAATATTGCATAAGACATTGGAAAAAGTTTTCATTGTGTATTTGGCAGTCAAATTTAACTGGCCATCCTGTATTTTATTTGACCACCCTGTATTTGATCCTTCTGACAATGCTGTAAAGTTGGTAGGACAATGTCCCCATTATACAGATGAATCTGAGTATCCCCCTATGTGTCAGGTCCTGGGCTATTCTTGAATACAGCATGATGCATACATTATGCATATCTTAAGGATACTACAGCCCAGTCATCAGAAAACCACTTCAGTGTGTTCCATGTAGTAATAGGGGAAAGAATACGGTCCTATAGAATCTTATAGACAAGACACCTAATCCAATATTGGCAAATCAGAAGGCTTTGTAAGGGCGACATCTATGTTGAATCCGGAATACTGAATAAGACTTAAGTACAGACAAGACTGGGTAATGAAGAAAGAAATAGGAGAAAAGTTATTATGGTATTACTTAAGGAACTGTACATTGTTCAGTATGACAGGCTGGAGGATATACTTTGACAAGTGAGGTTGAAGAGGTGAGTGAGAAGGAACTCAAGAAATGACATGCATAATGCAATTGTTCATTTTCCTCAGGGCACCAAGTACGCTTCAAGATGAGATGAAACTATCTAATTTGAGTTTTAGTGTGACTATTGTGTTGCTGTTTGAAGAATGGACTGAAAGGGGAAAGGCTAAAGAAAGATCGTTTATTTATTCAACAAATTTTTATTTAGTGCTAACTGTGAACTAGGTACAATTTGGGAGACCTGTAGTAATTCCAGTGACAACTGAACGTATTGAAAACTAAGATAATGGCTGTAGGGATGGGGAGAAGTGGATCTCTGGAGAGATACTAGGAAGTGAATCAACAGAAATTGATTATTAACAGGGCTTGGCGTGTGAGGAGGAAGAAATAAGTGAAGCCACTGGAAGCTGAATGAATGAGTGACATTGTTTGCTGATATAGGAAAAAAATCCCACATGGGGAAGGGATGAAAATACTTTTCAATTTAGGATATACTGTTTGATGTGCCTGTGGGGCTTCCAAGGGGAGATATTAAGGAGGGCAGTTTTTATAAACATCAAACCTTGAAGGGAGATGTGGGCTGAAGATTCTTCATGATTTATGAATGATGAGTTTTTAGAGCTGGTTATTGAAATAATAGGTGAGAACAAGATCACCCAGGGAGTGTTTGGAGTCAGAAGACTGGCTGCCAGACAGAATCCCCAGGGGAAATCCACACTTAAGAAGCCAATCTAACAGAGGAAGTTAACAACAGTGCAAGAAAAGCTGCAAGAGAAACTAAACAACAATGCCTAGAAAATAGAGAAAAACCAATGAATAAGACCTGTTCAAAGATCCAGAGGTCCAGTTTGTCAAAAGCTGAGGACAGCTACAGTAAGATGAGAACTTAAAAAACAAGTTCCATCTTCAACTATACAACAAAAGTTGTTATTGATCTTTGGCTTAATGAGGACTGGCTCAGGAAATAAGGTGAAGTGTACCTACAGAAAATGAAGTGATCTGTACCTACAGGTGGGGCCCATTTGTAAACAGAGTTATGAGTTTAGGAAGATCAGAATAGACCACAACACTTGTCTAACTGTATTTCTTGGAGCATTAATACAGTGAGAAGCTTCCTTGAAAACATTTAGAGCAAAAGAAATTTGGGAAATAATACATATTGTGTTAGCATATTTAATATTCTGAGAAGTTTTGAAGCAATGAAATTCACCTAATCTTACTTATCCTAGTGTTGAGTGTAAATATAATGTATATGTATAGTTTATAAAGATACATTATACACACATACACACACACACACGTGCACACATAATGTCATGGAACACAGTTGGAGAAATTCTGGGCTAGAGCAAATAAGTCCGTTGATGCAAAAAAATTGAACATATTTGTTTTAAGAAATCCAGACAATACTAGGTCGGGCGCCATGGCTCCCACCTGTAATCCCAGCACTTTGGGAGGCTGAGATGGGCAGCTCACTTGAGCTCAGGGGTTCGAGACCCACCTAGGCAACATAGTGAGACTCCATCTCATTAAAAAAAAAAAATACAGGTAACACTGACGTAGCCTTTTAGCTTAAATAATATTGTGAATTATTTGAAGAGAAAATAAAAATTAACTATAATCCTACCACCCCGTTATAATAATTGCTAACACATTTCACATATATACACTTAAAAAATAAAAATGAGAACACACCATTCATTTTGTTTGGTGATCTGGATCCCTCACCCTTTTAACTCTGACCCCATGTGCCAGGGGACACTTGGAGATGCCAGACTTGCCTACTGGGGAGACTTCCGGGTTGTTAGCCATGCCATCATTACCCCTTTCTTTGGAAAGGTTTGGTTGATAACCTGATTCTTCGGTTTATAGAGCTTGGCCTTTACTGTTTTATTTTATGAGGTAATTTATACAAGTTACAACCAGGACGGATCAGAAGCATAACATATTCTGCAAAATATGAATGTCCTCTGTACTCTGTCCAGGACAATTGCGTTACAATACTTGCTATTTTGTAACATTTTTATTTAGAGAATGGCAGTGACCTGGCTGTTCATGGAGTTTGTCTATGGGATGAAACTCTGCTGGTGGAGAGAAGTGTATTCCCCCTACTAAGAATTTTGATTAAAAAAAATCTCCCCAACAGAAGAATGAGAAACACAATAAATATTTGCTCTGAATCTTGATCTTACTGTCGTGTATATTTGAAAACTAGTTTAGGCCGGCAAAGAAAAGGCCAGCATTACCTAAAACACATAAGCATCTTTTAAAGTGTCCACACAGAAACCATCATTTAAAATTTCTAGATCCATTTTAGAGAACAATTTTTAATTTAATCAATTCCTAGTTATGAGGCATTTAGGGTGTTATAATTTATCATTACTATTCATAGTACAACACCCAAATCTTTTCATACAACATACACTCAAACACATACACTCGCATGCACACCTACACACACTCACAATCTTTTCACATGGTTTATTATTATTTTTCCCCTTGGTGTTAAGTTTCAGAAGCAGGATTGATGGGTCAATGAAAATGTAAACTTAAAATTTAAAATCATACGTAATGTCAAATGGCTTCCTGAAAGCCTGTACTAATCTAACCGTCTAACAGCATGGATGTTATTAAGTGTTTTAATATTTGCCAATCTAAGTAAAATCAAATATTGTTTGATTTTTATTTATTTGATTAATAATAAATTTGAACATCTTTTCACATGTCAATAAACAATATTTTTTCATTTACTTCTTTTGAAATTACCTGTACATATTTCTTAATCAGCTTTCTATTACTGTATTTGTCTTTTTCTTATTGATTTGTAAAAGCTCTTCTTATATTAAAAATATTAATCCTCTTTCCATTGTATATGCTCCAAATATTTTTACAGTTTTCCTTTTTATTGTAACTTTTTTTGATTATTTTCATTGTGATAGTTGAATCTATTCATCTTTCCTTTATAATCTTTGGCATTAATATTTTGCCTTATATTGACATCCCAAGTTTATATTTATAGAAATATTTACACAAATTTCTTTCTAGATTTTCATCTCTCATATTTTGACCAATCAAAATAGATAGAATGTACATTCTCAGGTCATCCTTCAGCTTCACCAGGGCAAAGTTGGTAACTGAGACATTCATTTCACTTAATACTTGGTTAAAAGAAAAGCAAAATCACATTTTTACATCTCTTGGTCATCATTTTGGTGTAGCCAAGTCAAAGTACTCATGTTTAAAAGGATAGGTCAATTCAATTGCCAAGATGTATTGTTAGGTCAGAACGAATGGAGAAATACCTTCTTCCTAAGGGAATTTTATAATCTTTAGCATTGAGTTTGTGAAGCAATAAGTGTAATCTTCTGCCTGCCCCACCACCCCACATTTGAATTTTTCAAATGACTTTCTGTTTTCTTGAAAGCCCACAACAATAATATTTTGCACTGCTATTCTGAAGAACACTAGAAATATACATTCTATTTGCTAGGAAATGTCTGCTGAGTACATGGAATTAGCTCATACATGTGACGACAATAGTGGACATCTATTGCTTTCGCTTGATCACTATTTCTTTGTCTCTTAGAACCAACACACTGATTTTCTTCTGGGAAATATCCTCTCCTGAACTTCATGTAGTCCTGTGGGGCTATATGTTATTAGGCACTCTTTTCTCTGCTCCATGTTTTATGATCAGAATGGCCAATTCGATCACATCTTCCTCCTTTTGGTCTTTGTGATTTTTTCAAGGACAGTCCTGTGATCCAAAACTGGGTTGATGAGTTTCCTAAAATTTGGTACATCACTCCTTGGGGTAGAGGAAGAGAGAGTCACGTATTTTTTTGGATGACAAATTGTATTGAAATCATTAGTTGGAATTATGAAGTTGTGTTCCTTTTTTCTTTTATAAAAGAAATTGAGGTTAACATGGAAAGAAGCAGAGAAAGAGATGAGGAGTGGAGACCTGAACCTAGTCAGCCCTAAAATCAGCACTAAACTCTCAACTATTTGGTATTTATCTAATGAACTAACTCTTTCTCTTTCTTAAAAAGCTAGGTTGAATTATTATTTCTTGTAACTTGAAACTAAACGATTGTTGATTAATACCTCAATAGAGCCACAGCCTTAGAAATGGTAAGATTATTACTGTTGGGTAGAGATTGATTGCTAGATTTTACTCTTGCTATAAATCTGGAAACAGGTATGGAATGTGAAAGAACATAAGGTTGAACAGTAAGACAATCCTCTGGTTTCCTAGTAAATGGGTCCTGAGAATTATTTTTAGATTTGTCACTGGCTGACTACCTAATTCTGAAAATGACTGCATTATTAAAGAATGATATTGGAGTGATACTAGTTAATTTTGGTAAGTCACTAAACAGCACTCTCCCATAGTCCCTGCAAATGAACAGTGGCTATTTAAGCTGCACACTGTCAAACAAAGGTGTGTGATAGGGATTGATTAAATGGTTTCAAATGGCTGGAATTCCCCAGAGAATATGGCTATGTAATAGATGGTGTCATTGCCTGTGTTTAAACAGCGTGTTTAGAGGTGGGTTTTTACTGCTGTTATCATGATTGACTTGCTATTGCAGCATTCTATATAGGGCACAATAAACACAGGTGTCACTCCTCATTGCATTGCTGACTTGGGAATACCAGATAGGTGATAATATTCAAACAACAGTCTTTTAAGAACTAAGTAGGTGTTACCACTTTAAGATGTTAAATGTAGCTCTCAAAAAGAAAAATCCTTCCATTTTGTTATCTTAGTACATGATACATTGCACACTTTTAAAAAGTCATACAAAAATTTAAGTAATTGAATGGCTCGAATGACATTCATTCTTTCCTCCTTCTTTCCTTAAGAAACAGTTTGGTTGGGGTGCTGTCTGTATTCCTATTTTCAGTTTTATTCTAGTTTTTGGTACGGCTTTTTCTCCACATAAACCCATTTCCTCTTCTCACGAGATATCCATTATCATAGATATCCATTATATCCTTCAGAAATGTAGACAATAGAGAGGTAAGAAGATGAGTTTGATGTTTGATTTTTCATTTTCCCACAGCTTTTAACAAAATAACAGTATGACTTTAGTAACATTTTTCAGAAAATTCACACTCAACTTGGCAAGATGATGTTAGAAACAGAAGTGAAAGAGGAGGAGAAGAATGATGACATAAGCAAGGATATAAAGCAATCGATATAAGTGTGGCTTTATTTAAAAATTTTTATTGAACCATAAAATACAAAAATTTCAGCAGAACCAATTTATTAATTTTTACATGTGTATGTGTCCAAGTAAGCACCACACAGGTGAACATACAGAATATTTCTAGACCTTCAGAAGTCTACCTCTTTTCCCCTCTGGACGGTATCCACCGCAGTGATAACCACTGTTGTGATGTTTATCATAATGGATTCGTGTTGGCCTGTTCTTAAATTTCCATAAATGGAATCATATAGCCTATGCATTTTTTTGGCTTGGCTACTTATATTCAATATTTTGTCTGAGATATTCATCATTGTTATTGAATGTAGCTGTAATTTTTGCTTTATAAAAATATAACACAATTTACTTTTTGTAAGAATATAACACAATTAAGCAAATCTATAGAAACAGAAAATAAATTAGTTGTTGCCTGGGGCTCAGGGTGAGAAAAGGGATTAACTGTAAAGGAACATGAGGGATCTTATCAGGGTAATGAAAGTTTTCTGAAACTAGGCTACAGTGATGGTTGCACAACTTAGTAAATTTTCTAAAAATCATTGAGTTGCACATTTTAAACTGGGTGAATGGTATGGCATATAAATTATATTTCACTAAAGCTTTTTAAAAATGCCACAATTTATTTATCCATTCTACAGTTAAGGAACACTTGAATTGGTTCCGGCTTTGTGCTATTATGAATGAAGGTGCAATAAACGTACTTCAGTGTGTCTTTTGGTGAACATATGCACTCATTTAAGTTGGAGTAAGATTGTTTGCTCAAAGTTCATTACTTTTTATAAACTTATTGTAATGCAGTATTTTATTGATTACTAAAAGTTTTACATTTGTATTGTAGTATTCATCTTTAAAAGACAAAGACAAGAATCCAGGATGATCATACTTACCGTCCAGAATTGAAAAGTGACAGCACCCTGTCATTTGCTTTAGATATTTGTCTTTCCTTTTGAAAGAAAAGAAATGTAAGCCTTGTTCATTGACATCTGGCATATAGTCAGTATTCATGAAATATTAGTGAAATAAATGTATTTAAGGTAACAGTTTTTAGATTGCAAGAGGAATGCACACTCAATGTAAGAGTCTTTTATAAACGGTATATTGAATATGCTTTTTTACTGCCTACTTTAAAAAATAATACTTAATATTTATTTTTCGTTTTCTCTGTGTCAGAAAGTTCTACTAAGCACTTCATAGACCTTATTTCATGAAAAACATATATTGTGCACACAATTATTGTAACACAATTTATGATGATTGAATGTATTTCTTTGCGCAAATTTATCATAATTTATTTTAATAATCTTCTATTCTTGAACATTGGTTTGTTTCCAAATTTTCACTTTTCTAAGTGACAAATCAAATAAATTCTTTATACATAACTTTGATTATTTCCTTAGTATAGAGCTTTGGAACTAGAACTATAAGACCAAGGAATAGATACATTTTAGAGTTGTATGGTTTGTTTTGTCAGAATAAACTTCAGAAAAGTTGTACCCTTGTAGACTCTCACCAGTACTATAGGAGACCAGCTTAAGGCAAAGAAGTAGGTTTTGTTTTGATACAGGAAATAACGTTTTCACAAAATAGCTGTCCTGAAGATATTCAGGCAGGTGTTGAGTGAACATCTGTCAAGGATGCTGGAAAGGGGAACTCACACTGGGTGGCAGTTGGTTTATAAATTTTAATGACCTTTTCTACTCTCAAATTTGTAAAAATACTATTTCCTATTCCTCATTCCTCATTGCTTAATTCTCTTAGAACAACATTTTAATAAAGACTTGTTGATCTTAATGTCAAGATTACCTTCTGTTTGCTATTTACAATTCTCATTAGGTCCAATGTTTGCATTTCCAAGTAAATAAACTGACATCTCTTTATTATTTTATTCATGACTAAACTCTTTCTAAAAGGGCATCAGCACTGTACCCATAAGAATAGTCTCATGTGAGAAACTCATTTAAAAATCATATTTTGGATCCTTGGTAAAACCACTCTTTTCTTTTTGTATTGGGAAATGAAATATACAGTGTTAATACTTGATCCCTGTGAGATTAGAGTCTCCTTGAGAAAGCATTCTCAAATGTGCACTATGAGAATAAAAATATGGACATAAAAATTAGAAAAATAATGTACTTAAGTGAACTTTGGGAGGGTTTTCCCACTATACTTTTACACTAAAGTCTTTTGAGTATATTTTAGGTTTGTGTAAGATAAAGTATTTCATTGGAGGATTGACTATTTCATAATTAAATCACCACTGAGCACAGTGGTAGTGGGTTTCATTTGGTGAAAATTATCGACATGGTATTGTGCTGCAATATCACACATGTATAAAAAGTACAACAACATAAGTTCTTTGTCTTTGAACACTGTACAATCAATATTCTATTACTACAATGCTGGTTTTGTTGCATTGTAGCTAAATTAGTGTGTCAGGTATAGAGATGCTTAAACCAGACATTCACATAATGAGGATGATGCAAGAATTCTAATCATTTTGTCACCTAATACACACTTATCTTTTTCCCTCCAGAGGTTTCAGAAATACTTCTCAATTTAAAAGTCATTAAGATATTTATAAATATCTAAGGAAGTGTGTTAATTTGTATTATTGTAGATAAAATTGTATGATAAAACTGACATTTTAGTAATAATGATTATATTCATACAGGGCCCTATTGTTAGCGTCCAGTGGGTGTTATTTCTCAACTTGGTATAAATATAAATCCTTAAAAGTATGGAAATGCAAGCTACTTAAAAAATATAAGTGGAATATGGAAATGTTACTGAAATACTAATAATATTACATAGTGAGTCCTAAAGTGTGTCTAAAGTACAAGCTATCTGTATCCCTTTAACTGGGAACTCACTAGGAGAAAGAGAAAATATAGTGGCATATACATATGTTATGATAATATGTAACATACCACCCGAAAAATGCATAGAAGCTAACGGAAATACTTTGAGCTTAGCTTAAGCAATGCTATATCATCTTAATATTTTTATTAATATAAAATCCAAATTACTTAGAGCAAATACCATGTTGTATTGAAATATTTATTGCATTCATTTTTATTTACTAACAGGAATTAACAAGTTTAAGTGTATACGTTTCTTATAGTTTTTCCAGCATTTTCAAGCAGGTCTTGCAATTTTGCCTACATTTTTTACAAGATTTAAAACATTTATATATATATTTTTCCTGATTTTAGAATAACCTTAGGAATTAAGGTTTTTTCTGTGTGTGTGCATATGTGTTTCTCAAGGACAGGACTGAGGCAAAATGACAATAACAAATATATATGTAGTTGAACAATTGCAAAGTAAGGACCGCATTTTTCTTTTTATTATCAAGCATGATGGCTTAGTGAGGCTGAATAGTGAC
Organism: Homo sapiens; assembly: GCF_000001405.40. Lineage (NCBI taxonomy): Eukaryota > Metazoa > Chordata > Mammalia > Primates > Hominidae > Homo > Homo sapiens. The sequence continues at coordinate 119,525,528 of NC_000006.12, forward strand.
AAATTGGTTTTAAAAGTACCGCCAAAGATGAGAGGAATTTTATCTGAATTGGATAAGGGATATTTCTTGATTAGGACAAATATTTGAAATTTCTCCATAAATGATAGACTATACACACACATACACACATTTGTCTCGGTGAACCTGCAGGTTGTTCTTTGAGAATAATTTTGGCAGGTTATGTGGACAATGGCTTGCTTTTCTCTTTACCACCTGGTTTCTTAACCCCATATCCTATTATGATCTCTCCCTCCTGATTTCTATACCTGCGTAACATTGGTTTATACATGGAGGTGTCTACACAGCCTCACAGTTGTGTGAAAACAACCTGGCATATTGCAGCACTGAGGTGAGTGCAGATGTGACTGAGGGAGTGGGTGGACCAGAGCAGGGACACACAACTGGGATGAAGACAGAAGTGATAGAAGTAATAACTGGACAACTGAGGGCCAGAAATGACTGCAGTACCAAGGCTTGGGAAGAGGTAGCAAAAAAAGTTATGAGTTATGAAAAGCTTAATTGCAAAAATGCAAAGAAATTAACATTTTAGGCACATTTGATTTTTGTGACTGAGTAAAATTCAAACCTGCTACAAAAGCAAATCACATAAAATGGAAGTTTTGTGTCTGCCAAGCTTACTCATCTTAGGGTCATCTATCATCCTAAGCAAAATATTAAGTGCACTATTCACTTAATGTTGAGAATTCATGTGAATCTTGAATAGTCTGCATATAATATTAAGTTTCAATGGCCATATTCATTTACTTTCAATTAATAAATGGATTTGTCTGCTTCATGATGGGTCTTTGTTTTACATTTGAAAATCTCTAGCATGGACACCTTTTCTTTTGGCAGCTTTCCAAAATATGTTCTCTTATTAGCTCCAAAGCACCCAGGAAATCATCAATGATGTCTCCAACAATCCTCTCAGAACTAAGTAAAGGACATATATCATGGTTAATATTATAAAACTCTTTTATTATGATTGACAGATAGATGATATAACCTTTAGGGGCTAAATTGTTTCTCAGATTAAAATTAAAGCAACTGATGGTTTCTTCTAAGAATAAAATAAAGATGAGTTTTACAAACATAAATAATGAATACATGAGAAAGTGAAAACGCCCTGTAATCAGGGGAGGGGTTATGTGTAGAGGGACGGTCAGAGAGATAGGGCACATGAAATTACTTGACGACATAAGACAGTGATTTTACATTTTGACAGATTGTTTCACTGTGGCAGCATTAACATGACTGCATCAAAAATAAATGTCAGAATCTCAGCATCGGGAGATTGCTGTGGGAATGCAAAAGGGCTGAACCTGCCCCATCCGAAATGTGGGTCTGTTGTTCAATGGTGATCTCCTTTAATAAAACTGAATCAGATGAATAAACAAACCTGCTAATCAGATTATATATATTTGAGAATATGCAGTTCTGCTTTGTGGCAAAGGCATCAAAATACATAGCACAATGTATCAGCACCTTTTCACATTTTTTTTTTTTTGCCAGAGTGATGTCAACACAATCTCTCAAATTAACATTTTTATCTGTCAACCATTGTGGGTGAACATGGTTACCATGTCAGCATGAGTAGAGAGAGAGGGAAGAGTGAAAGAAGGGGAAAGGATAGAAGCATTTGCAGTTTGTAAGTAACTCGAGTTCAAGAAGTATTAAATCCTGGCCATTCGTGACAGCCTTATGACAACTAACATGTAATCCTACTCTGAAAAATTATTCCAACTTTCATTAACCGAGGAAGAAAGGAATAAAACCAATTAGCAAAACAGACTCCTCCACTCTAAGTGGCCTAGGCTTTATTATTTGAAACATTTAGAGCCAGACTCGTCAAAGTGCAAAACAATTCTCAGTATGAAGCAAACCTGTGCCAGTAGGGGGTGAGTAAGAAGATCAAATGGTTGGGCTTCCTCTCCTTCCTGATCTGGCTCTTGGGATCCCTGAAGCTGTTCTGCTGTAAAATTAAATTAGTACTTTTGGGTAGGAAAAAGGTTGGGTTAGAGTTTTTCTTTATGATAAATTACTTTAGGGGATTTGCTCTGTGAGAAAGCTTAATTATTTTTTCTGTAAAAAATTCTCTCTAGCATTCTGGCTCCAGGGAGACATCTTAAAAAAGGAGGGAGACTTTGTGGAAGATCATATAGAAGTTCCCTCAAATATATGTAATGAATATGGAATAGCTGAGCAAAGAACACCCTTTTCCCTCGCAGCTAAAAAGTAAAGATTTTCTTTTTACTTAAACGAACAACTAATGATATGCCATGGTTAAAATCCTTTATTGTGCTAACTCATCACCATACCCTGTCTTTCATAGGCATATATACACAATTCAGCAGTGTCTGCATCTTTTCTCATTCTTTAAAAACCACAGGTGACAATAGTGAGGCAACGTGGTGTTGAGGAAAGGACTGGGCGCAGGTCTAGATTTTGGCATTTATTGGCTGGTGAATTAACGCGAGGGAGCAAACCTCTTGAGTCTCAGTTCTGCACGTCTAAAAATGGAGATAACGATGTTTACTTCAGAGGTCTCTTTTGTGAGGAATAAATGAGATAACGTTATGTAAGAGAGGTTGATAAACTATAAATGCAAGTTAATTATTATTGCAGGGCAGGAAATCGAAATAATGATGTAAACTTAGTTCTTTTTAGGTGGGCAGAGTTAGAAACAGTTTACAAAATAAATCCTTGAATGGCATAGATTCCAGGGATGAAAAAACCATCTAAGAGTGCTTAAACACAATTCCAAATATTGTAAACGCCCCTCCCCACAGTGATAAATATCTACTTTGCTTTTAGGATAAAAGCTAAAAGCCATCTTTTTCATTAAAACTAAACTTTAGGTAGAGATGAAATTTCAAGATTCAGGCCCAGTTTTAAAAATTCTTTTAAAAATATATGTTTAGTCCTCTTCTTCCTCCTCTCCATCCACCAAATATTGTCAGCAGATCCTGTGCCAGATACTATGTTTAGAAAAGAGTATAGGAGAAAGTACATTGAATTGGCAGCAAAAGTACTTCAGTCTGAGTTTCAAATCCTTTGTTCTCCCTGTACCCTCCCTTTCCTGCCCACTTTTCCCACTCTCCCTGTCTCTTTATTGAACCAATTCTTTGCCTTCCAGGACCACCTCAAGCTCTTTGTCCTCCAGCGAAGTAATCAATGGTGACTCCAGCCCTTAGCAGTCTCTCCTTATTACACTTATAAAACCTCTCATTTTGCACTTATCAGGTGCTCCTTGAGTGATTAGTAACAATTTATTGTGTGCTTGAGTTTGCTCCATCCATCCACCCATGCATCCACAAATACATATTTAAGCACAATTATGTGCCAGATATCAAACTAGATGATAGATGTGCAATGCAGTCATGGTATATACCCATGTGGATCTTAGATTCTAACTTATAGTCTCCTAAATTAGAATATTGCTCTGTGAAAATAGGGGCTGTGTCTCATTACTGAATCATAGAATTTGGAATCAAGATAAACAAGAAATGTCATCTTCTTCATCTATGTGTACCCAATTTCTATTTCAAGCCTTATTCTGCCAGGGTGGCAGAAACTAAATGTCAGTGAATTAAGAGATTTCTCCTTCTCCCCCTTCCTCCATTCTGTGGGGTTGTGTCAAAGTTCCAAAGAGTTTAACTAGAGCTAAAACTGGGGAGTAGGGTGGGAAAGGGGTGTACTTCAGGTCCCTGCTGTCATCTGGCTGCATGGGCATCTGCTAAAATAGCCTTTTCCCAATCAGCTGCTTGGTCAGTTGACCTCATGCTGGGCTGGAAACATCTTTGTTCTTGGCCACATGACCCCAGAAAATCAGGTACCTTTCTTTGCTGCTTCTGCATCACTTCTGGATACAAAATGCTCATTCTGTGTCTCTTCTACTACCAAGAGAGATTTGAAACTCACAGGCTGCCTATGACCCTATCTGCCTAGACGCACCAGGCAGCCATTTTTTTTTCTCTGCATCCTCCCTGGGATTCTATCTGGAACTTGGTGAACAGATCTCACTTTCTCTCTTTCTTTTTGTCTCTCTATCTCTTTCTCTCTCATCAATGTTATTGAAGTATTATTGATAAGCAATAAACTATATATAGTGTATTTTTCAACTTTTATTTTAGATTCAGGGGGTACATAGGAAGTTTATTTACATGGGTGAATTGCGTGTCACTGAGGTTTGGGCTACGAATGATTCCATCACCCAGGTAGCGAGCATAGTATCCAAGAGGTATTTTTTCAACATTCTCCCCCTTCTCCCACCTCCTCGAGTAGTCCCAGTGTCTATTGTTCCCATCTTTATGTCCATGTGTACGCAATGTTTAGCAGCCACTTATAAGTGAGAATATGCAGTGTTTGGTTTTCTGTTCCTACATTAATTTGCTTAGGGTAATGGCCTCCAGCTGCATCGATGTTGCTGCAAAGGACATGATTTTCTCCTATCTTATGGCTGCATAGTATTCCATGATATATATGTACCACACTTTCTTTATCCAGTCCACCATTGATGGACATCTGCGTTGATTCCATGTCTTCGCTTTTGTGAATAATGCTGTGATGAGCATACGAGTGCAAGTGTGTTTTGGTAGAACAATTTATTTTTCTTTCGTTATATACATAATATTGAGATTATTGGGTTGAATGGTAGTTCTTCTTTAAGTTCTTTTAGACATCTCTAAACTGCTTCCCACAGTGGCTGAACTAATTTACATTCCTGAAAACAGTGTATAAATGTTGCCCTTTCTCTGCAACCTCACCAACATCTGTTATTTTCTGACTTTTTAGTAATAGTCACTCATACTCATGTGAGATGGTATCTCATTGTGTTTTGATTTGCATTTCTCTAGTGATTCGTGATGTTGAGCATTTAAATAATATATTTATTTGCCACATGTATGTCTTCTTTTGAGAAATGTCTAATAAACTACATATATTTAAAGGTACAATTTGATATTTTCTGATGTATGTCTATACCCTTGCAACCATCACTACAATAAGGAGAATGAACATATCCATCACCCACAAAGGTTTTCTTGTGCTCTTTTGTACTCCCTCAATATGTCCTCTTTTCCTTCCTTCCTTTGGATCTCAGAAATCTCCTTTATTTGAACTAGCCTGAAAAGCCTGTATGGGGCCCTCTCTTTGGGAAACACCATTTTTATCTCTCCTTGGTTTTCCTCTGACTATACCTCCTTGCTCAAGAGTAGGAAAACTTGAGGGGGGCATAAAAAGAGGAAGCCTTGGTTTTATTCATTATGTTTTCTCTCAACTCTGTGATGTATACTGTAAAAGCCTAGGTTATAGAAACACAGAAGTCAGAAAAATACTATTTATTTTTTTCCTTCTACTCTTAGATCATTTCTCTGAGGCAATCATACACCATGTTTCAGCTGCTTGCTTGACTGATTGAAGGGTGGATGATATGGTTTGGCTTTGTGTCCCAACCCAAATCTCATATTGAATTGTCATTCCCAGATGTTGAGGGAGGGACCTGATGGGAAGTGATTGAATCATGGGGGCAGTTTCCTCCATGCTATTCTCGTAATAGTGAGAGAGTTCTCATGAGAGCTGATGGTTTTAAAGTGTGACATATCTGCGCTCTCTCTTGCCTTCCACCATGCCTTGCTTCCCCTTCACCTTCTGCCAAAATTGTAAGTTTCCTGAGGTCTCCACAGCCATGCAAAACTGTGAGTCAATTAAACCTCTTTCCTTTATAAATTAACCAGTCTTAGGTAGTATCTTTATAGCAGTGTGAAAACAGACTAATACAGTGGGTGAGTTAAGGAGGATAAAGGGTGACGTGAAATATTGAGGAGAGGAGACATCAGTGAATGTTTCAAAAATGTTCTTACGATATATAGCCATGAAAGATATTTTATTCTATCACACTTAAGAAACTGTACACACTAGATAAACAATAAATGACTGTTCAGTGACTGATCCCAATGACCTAGACATCCATAGGAGCTCAGCTGTGTAGGTAGTATTGTGCCCAATAGACAGTGCCACTATTGAGGTGAGAAGAATAAAGCTGGGGAAAGAGGAAAATAGCTTTGAAAAATGTACAATTTGTGTGTTTGAATTTAAGAAACTCAGCTGTCTCATCATTCTTTAAGGAGGATGATCAAATACAGTAAAATGATTGGGTTGGATAGGAAGAACTCTCAGGTACTCTTTTCTAAAATCAAACGATCCTATTATGCTAAGCATAACTGGCAAGTTCGATTATATGATCCCTCAAATTGCTAATTTCTTTTGTTTTGTTGTTATACTGAATGGATAAAGCATGTGTACATTTTAATATTTGTTGCAAGGAAATATGTTCAATCTTTCTAGAAAGTAATTTATAGTAAATATTTATTGTAGTAGTGGAGAGCTTACCACTTGAGAGGACTGGACAGAATCCTCTCTTTAGCAACAGCAGCAGTAATATTTATCAAGGGCTTTCTATCTGCCAGGCTCTGTCTTAGTTTACATTTATTAACTTATTTTTGCCTTGCAATAATCCTGGGAATTAGGCAGTATTTCTTCTATTCTAGAGATGAGGAAGCTGAAGCATAAAAAGATTAGCCCAGATTACACAACTAGTCTATGATCAGACTAGAATTCAAACCAGGTAGATTCAAGCTTTTAAACACTATGCCAAATGCACATTATTATATCATTTAATACTCCTAGGACTGTGCCACATGAATTATTATTCCCTGATTTGCAGATGAAGAAATAGAGCCTCAGAGAGGATAAGTAATATACCTAAAAGCAGAAATCTCATAATTTTGGTGGATTCGGGATTCCATATAGGGTATATCTGACTTTAAAAATTCATGCACTTAATCATGAAGCTATAATATCAAGAATGGTAAAATGTTAAAGCACTTTGACCTAGCAATTTAACTTTTCTATACTGCGGGAGTAATCAGAAATTTTGGTAAATTTGAACATACAAAATATTACATACAAATTAAAATGTTTAAAGTATTCTAACTGATCATGGTTAAATAAACTATGTACATTCATATAATATTTTGGAATTATTGAAATGATATTTATAGAACGTTTTTAATAATATGAAGAGTGTTCAGATTATAATGATAAATTGGAAGAAATCCAGGATATAAAATTAAATGGTTATTTTGTTGCAAATGTTTTCAAAATTGAGCAGAGAAAAAAGGATGGAAGAAAATACATCAAAATGTTAATGAATAATAAAAATATTCGAATGGTTGGGTTATGGACAATTTTAATTTTATTCAGAATTTTCCATATCATTACATTTTGTCTTAATAATGTGAAGATCAGTGTTGAGTTTTCCGTTTTATATTTGCTTTGATATAAATTTCTCACAAAAATGCAGTTGTTGAGAACAAATTTTTAAAAATATTTACCGTTAATACTCTCCTAAGTATACCAAAAAAGCAAGTTATTTAAATTTGTCAGTACAGTATGTTTAGTAGTTAAGTATAATTCTTCCTGTGAGGATCTCCTTGTGGAAGCAAATTAAATTTGGTATGTAACCTCTCTGCACTTTAATAACATTTGATCTACAGCTGACCAAATAGAAAGTGCAATCTCTTGTTGAGAGACAAAAGCTGAATTCTACCCTGTATCAATTATACATGTAAATTTACCTCACCAAGTCCTGCAGATGATGGGTCTTGCTTTAAACCCTAGTGATTGATGAAAGCAGACAAAACTTTCAGATTTCCTGTGTGAGTTAGAAGCATTGCCACCCCTTGTCCTGGATCCCCAGCCTGAGTTACAGAACACAGTTATAGGGAAACATCCCAAATTCCCAAACCGGCTGAATTGACTGAATTTCTGCTTACATTTTACTTTCATTTAGTGATTTTGGGTAGGTCACTTGCTTTTGAGAGTTTAGCACAAACACAAGATTTGTTTGAAGAATACTACTATGGAAAACAATATATTAGCAGAATTGGGCACTTTGAGGTTGGAATTGGGAAGAAAGTCTTTAGCACAAAGGCCAAGACATAGAATAATTACTTTCTGTCCTGAATGGGCCTGGAGAGAAATATTGCTAGAGGAATGATCTGTAAGAAAGCAGATGAAGGAGGGAGAGGGAGGACAGAGGAAGGCCCAGTGGCACCTCTGCTATCTGTATAATTATGACATTAAATTTCAGTCAGTCTACAGCACATTTCCTAAAATTAAAACAAAGTTTTTGATGACTGTTTTCAGAAATGAATCATACGGCATCTGGGGAAGTGCCTCTAGGGGTTTTAAACAAATCCTCTATTAGTCATGAGCAATAGGCTGAGTTATAAAACCACATCTGGAGAATTACATTTCAAAAGACTCATCCTTTTACCTTTTATGTTACCAGGTGCTGAGCCAGGTGTTCTACATAAATTATCTCATTTGTTTTTTCTGACAACATAATAAGGTAAGTATTATAAATCCCATTTTATAGATGAGGGAATGAAAGCTCAAACAGTTCAACAGTTGCTCAGTGTCACTCAACTCACACTGGGATTTGACAGGTGATCTGCTCAACTCCAACGTCCTCCAATGTCCTTGCCATCCTCCTGTAGCCCTTGCAGGAAGGCAGGCATGGTATTTAAAGGTGCACAGAACACGAAAGGCACGTGGCCATGAGCTCACAGAAGGTAGTGATTATATGGCCAGGAAATAGAAGACATGAAGTAAATATATGCAGTAGGATCTATTTTTAGTACTATTACATAACAAATAGGTGAAAATATTTGATAGACGTGTATGGGGACGAAGCTATCTGGAAATAATAACACAGAAGAATTTAGTAGGTTGGAAAGAAGTCCAGATTCTACCAGGTAAATAGGCAGATCTAGGAAAATTACAGACGTGGCTTAAGGACCTTATTACAGGCGTAATACCTTCTGATGGATGTAGTTTCAAGTGCATGCAGGTTTAAAATAATTTACATTTGATTACTTATGGATGGAATTGAGTTTTGGGGAGGCAAAATGTATTTTGTTTCCTCTTGGGAGCCTTGTGCACTGTATCAAACAGCCTAAATTAAAATAATTTTAGTGGCCTGTGTGTGTTGATAAAATTACTATTTAAAGCAAACAGGCACCTTCAGTTTTTCAGAAGAGGAGGGAATTAGAGATAGAAAATCGGTAAGCTGTGACACCTGCGCAGAATCCTTGTTTGAAATTCAGAAAGGGAATGAGCTACGTAAAAACTTGGTTTTTAAATTTTTTTAAAAAAGAGATGTGAGATGTTACTGCTGTAGTCTAAATGAACAGAACAGGAAATGTAATGAATTAACTAAATAATTTCCGTATAGTCTAGTTTCCAGGAATAAAAGAGACATTTAATTGGGATGTGCATAGCAAGGTGATTCAGACAGATGGGTATAGGAATGTAAGACAATGTAGACCAAAGATGACTCCTGTTTGGAGCTCCAAACTAGCTTGGCAGAGTCAGACAGGAACATTAGGGGGCTCTGAGTTAGCACCAGGTATAAATGGGAAAGTCAGTTACTTGCTACTCTTGAGAAAAGAATGCTGAGGTCCTTGGGCTGTTTATGAGAAAGGCTGAGGCTGAGTATGTAGAGTTCAGATGCAGCCTACACTATTAACCTACCTTCTGGAGAATGGAATCTGGAAAGTACTTTGTGATTAGCAGCTTGTGCCAGGTGGTCCAGGCCAACAGAGGTGTATCAGTCAGAAACCACTCCAGCTAGTTAAGAGAAAGGATTAATTACAGTAATTATAATCACTAAATTGATTATAGAATCAGTGAGAAAATAGTGGAAACAGAAAATTAAGCTTTCAGAGACCACTTTGAATTCATATCATGGAACTAGGTTATCAAAAGAGCTATTGCCTTTCCTATGATCAGTAAAGTTGTCATGATCAGGGAACAGCCATGATCTGGAAGACCAAGAGAAGCCATGGAGGTACAGCCTCATTTTCAGTTCCACCTTTCAGTTATTGTACAAGTGTTGGGGGAACTTAATCATATCTGGAGTCCTAGCCCAAGGCATGTACTCTGACTGCAGAAAAGTGCACCAAAAGGAGGTTGCATGGGTCATGTGCCTGTTCACCACACCCAGCACAAGAAGCATTGTGTGTTTGGAGGGACATGCCTGCTGTGGGCCAGATAACTACCGGAGATGATGTTCCTTGTCTGTCACTTTTTGTTGTATTTTTTCTTGAAGGAAAATTCTCCATGCAAAACATAGACAAAAAACAAAAATAACTAAATTTTATGTTTTACAGTGTATGCAGCTAAATGATTAATTACATTTTCCTCATTTTTCTGGAAGAAAATATTTTGATATTGTGTTACTTTTAGGGAGAGTTATAGAAAGTGTAGGGCCAAGTGTATATTTTTCCTTTATAGGAATTAGTCTTCTACCCCAAATGCTATACTCCTCTTGAATAATACTGTAGATGCTGTTGTCCAAAGAGAATGTGTTCTGACCCAGGTCATGGAAACAGAGCCACTCACGAGCTGTTATTTCACTATTTTTAGTATTATTTTTTAAGACAGAGTCTCACTCTGTCACACAGGCGGGAGTGCAGTGGCGCGATCTCGGCTCGCTGCAACCTCCGCTCCCGGGTTCAAGTGATTCTGCTGCCTCAGCCTCCTATGTAGCTGGGATTACAGGCGTGTACCACCATGCCCGGCTAATTTTTGCATTTTTAGTAGAGACAGGGTTCCGCCATCTTGGCCAGGCTGGTCTGGAAGTCCTGACCTCAGATGATCCACCAGCCTTGGTCTCCCAAAGTGCTGGGATTACAGGCGTGAGCCACTGCGCCCAGCCAGCTGTGATGTTTTAGTAAAGGGAGGGGTGTTTCTGATGTAACCAGTCAGTTTCTCATTTTATATAGTTTCTACTTCTTTTCTTCCTGGAAAATTCTTAGGTACTAAGGTTGCAGGTGTTACCTGAAATATGTTTAAATGTGCAGAAAAACATGTATATTCTTTGTTTTGTTTTCTGAACCCTTGCCCATGGGGAGAAATCTTAAGTACTCCCTCATACATTTTGATGTTAATATCTACATTTTTAAAAATCATAATTATATATTGTTGCAAAAGATGTACTTTTGGTTATAATTACTGATATTTTAAAAGAAAACGGTTACATCACTCAAATATATCCAAAAGAATCAAAAGTAGAAAAAAGGTATAAATTTAGAACAATTCTATGGAATTATCAAATGGTTTCAGATAATACTCAAAATCTCGGGTTTATCAAATTTCTGTGCTCCTCTGCCCACGCCCTTGCTGAGATGTTGCTGGGTGGGTTATGTGTGTGTAGGAGGGAGAGGATTCACTCAACCTCCTGGCAGAGGGGAGGAGTCACTTCCCAGAGGACCAGTTGGTGAGAGGAGAAGAGAGAGCCCGACCCACTGCAGATATCTAACCTACTTTCCTCTGAATAGTACCAACAGTGCCAGAGACAGGGAAGTCGGGATATGGCTGGCTGTTTCACATTCTTTGCATGTTCAAAAGAGGAAGACTTCTTTTTTTCCTCCTATCGTATCCTTCTACCACAGAGCTCTATGCTTCATAGCTTAGCTGTCATAATCTTCTCTCTTCTGGTAGTCTTCAACTTCTTTTATTTGAATAACCTCAAAATGATTTTCAAAATCTGTAAACCTCATCATACATTTTCAAGTTATTGTCTAAAATTTATCACTTTAACTTTAATAGTTACAAAGAATGTAATTTCTGGAGCATGGTAAGTATTGATATTTTTAAAGAAACCGTTAAAACGCTTTTTAAAATGTGTCCAATAGAATCTAAATATGATTGTAATTTGACCTGCTATTATCCAATTATAAAATATGAGCAAGTTCTTCCTTAACAATAATTTTACATTGTTTCTTTTTCTTCTAAAATTTTTATTTTCATTTAGTTTCTCTCCTAAGATTCTACCATACTCTTTAGGATAAAAATGCCTAATGTTTAGGGTAAAACATCCTATTGTTATAATATTATTAATATATGTTATTATGGGCATATACTTCTATGATAACATATTTTATTTCTAATCAAATATGTAAATTGAAATTTATTTTATTTCCTGTAGCTTTAAGTCTCATTTCACTGTCTGGTTTTGGTATCGGTGTAATACTGCCCTCATAGAATGAGTTGGGAAGTGATTCCTCCTATGCTATTTTTTGGAAGTAGACCATTAGCTTTTAATAAAATTATTGAAATGACTGGATTTAAGTCTACCATTTTATTATTTGTTCTCTATCCCCTGAATTTTCTGTTTCTCAGCTATTTTCCCCCACTCCACTTCTTTCTACCATCTTTTGCATTATTTGAACCTTGAATTTTTGGCTATACATCTTTGTATTATTTCTCAGTAATTGCTTTAGGTATTACAACATAAATACCTAACTTTTCATTGTCTAATATGGCTAATATTATACCACTTTATGTTAAATGTAGAAAACTTGCAACCATATAGCTCTTTAACCTGTTTGTCCTTCATGGTAAAATATCATATAACATCTCCATACATTGAAAATCCAGAGTAGAATGTTATAATTTTTGCTTTCAGCAGAACTTAAAAGAGAAAAATAGTGTTTTAAATTATACATATATTTATCATTTCTGTTGTTCTTTATTTCTAAAGAGTCCAATAATCTTGTGGTATTATTCCCCTTCAATTTGAAGAATCTTGTTCTATCATTTCTTGTAGATAATATCTGCTGTGGATAGATTTTGTTAGATTTTTTTTTTTCATTTGAGAATGTCATCCTTTCTCCATTTTTGATGGACATTTTTGCAGAATATGGAATTCTGGGTTGACTTTTATTCAGCAGTTTAAAGATGTTTTCCCACTGCATTCTGGCCCCCAATTATTTCTGATGGGAAACCCAGGGTAATTAAAATCATTGTTCCACTGTGTGTCATCGTTTTTTTTCTCTAGCTACTTTCAAGGTTTTTTCTTTATGTTTGGTTTCAAAATTTAGATTATAATGAATCCAGGAATGATTTTTATTTTTGAGGTTATCTTGTTTCGCAGTAGTTAATAACTGTGAAGGGTCTGAGATTTTTACCTTACCTGCAAGCTAACAATTTCATGGATGCTGGTAGAAGATACAATACTCCTGGGTAAGAGACAAAGGACTTTATTATTCATGGCACTGCAGGCAGCATGAGCTTCATATACTCATTGGTTTACCTGCCTCCAAAGTCCCATAGTGTGATATGGAGTAGCCCAGGAAAATGCTGTATGCGTAATAGAGTTGAATTATAGCTGAGGAAAGCCTGAAATTTGAGAGGGTACTGATAACAGATATACCCAACTTTTGCCTGAAAAAAGACATTATCTTTTATTATAATGGTCATGAAACAAATCTACCCTGTGCCTCAGAGGGAGATACTGTCTCTATTACTCAAGGTTATTTGCTATACAGACATGCTTGAAAATATAATCTGAAATGAAAGCTGATATAAAATGTGCATAAATGCCATAGAGAATTGTTTTCCAATAAGGACATGCTGGACTTCTTGAATCTGTTAACATATATCTTTTTCCAATACTTACTAAATTTTTGACCATGAGTGTTTTCAAGTAATCTACCTGAATCTTTTTCTCCTTTCCTTTTGGGATTCTAATGTCCTGTATGGAGACCTTTTGATAATGTCTCATGGGTCTCTAAGGCCTGCTAATTAAAAAATATAGTTTTATCTCTTTTCTTCAGATTAGATAATGATGGCAGCTGCAGCTCCAGATGGCCTGCTGCTGCCATCATGCGAGCTGCGGCAGGGAAGCACCACCAGGGTTGAGGAATCCATGGAGCTGGAAGGGAAAAGCAACATCCCTGCCTCTTCTGAATTGGGGTGGGAGCTCCCCAGGTGCCACAGCAGCCACCCAAATTGTGGCTACAGACTTAGGCCTCCCACTACATGGAGCAGGAAGAAGCTCCACCCACCAGAGCACAACTGCAGCCTCCCAAATTGCTCTTGGGGGCCGGGGAAGGCACCCCTGACCTTGCAGGCTTGGAAATGCCTGCTCCCACTGCCTGGCTTCTCCCTGCTGTCATCCCTGGCTCTGATCTTGGAGCAAAGTTGGGGCCAGGCCAGGGCACCATGAATGGCAGCAGGAGGAGATAGATTCCTGAGCAGAAGGGGGCAGGTCCCTGTTGAGGACCCACCTTCAGGCCAGGGGGAGCCTGAAGGCTGGGAGCTGGGCTACCTGTCCTACAGACCAGAGTGGGAATTTGTAGTGTCTTTTCTGGGCTTCCCATGGCTGTCAATGGACCAATCAGTGTGTACTTCCTCGCCACTGATGTCCATAAAAGCCTAAGTCTCAGCCAGAGCTGAATGGACAACAGGAGGACCAGTGGCAGAGAGGAGCTACTCTCTCTGCTGATAGCAGGAAATGTTGGGATGACCAACTACAGAGAGGAACTACCCACACTAGGGCCTCCTCTCTGCTGAGGTCTTCAGAGACTTGCAGAGATGTCTGGACTACCAACTGCAGAGAGGAGCAACTCACTACAGGGCGTCCTCTCTGCTAGGAGCTAGGAAGACAATGGGATCACCTGCCTGCAGAGAGGAGCAACCCATTCCAGGGCCTCCTCTTAGCTAGGAGCTGGGAAGACAATAGGATGACCTGCCTGCAGAGAGGAGCAACCCACTCCAGGGCCTCCTCTCTGCTAGGAGTTGAACACTTGTCAGGACACCTGGCTGTGGAAAGGAGCTACACGCTGTGGACCTCCTTTGAGCTATTCTGTTGCTCAATGAAGCTCTTCTTCAATTTGCTCACCCCCCACTTGTCGGCATACTTCATTCTTCCCGGTTGCAGGACAAGAACTCAGGACCTGCTGAATGGTGGAGCTAAAAGAGCTATAACACAAACAGAGCTGACACATGCCCCTTGCTTGCCACATTGTAGGTGAAGAGAAGAAGAGAAGAGCTGTGGCCCCTCATGGATACCAGACCTAGGAGCTTTCCAAGCCAGGGCTGTGACTCCCTCTTTGGGATCCTGTGGTACCTGGCATGTACAAGCTTCCAGGCACCACTGCATTCCCCGGTGCCAGCTGGGAAGCTGCTTGCAGTGTACCTGGTCCAGCCACAGCCTCGCAGAGAGCTGGTGTCCATGCTGGCACCTGGGGCACCTGACCAGCTGCAGCAGCCAGTGTGTCTGTGCAGTGGCTGGACCCTGCGCTTGCTCACACACCCCTCGCTGCTGCACACCTCACTCACCCTTGGCAGGTGTGGAAGCCAGACCGGTAGTGTGAGCTGAGCACAATCTGCCAGGCTGAATGGGTGGAATGCGCCCAGTGGACCCTAGCAAAGCTTGTGCTAAGGTGCCACTGGCCAGAGGTTTCAGGCCAGAAAAGTGACACCCCAAAGATCCTTTAACAATAACTTCTATTGATTCATCTTTGAATGCACTGATTTCTTTCCTCTCTTGTTTCCAAACTTCTGCTGAGCCCATCTGGTAATTTTTTAAATTTCAGATATTGTTTTTTCAGTTCCAAAATGTCCATTCGGTTATTTTTTGTAGTATGCACTCCTCTAAGAACTCTTACCTTTCGTTCTTTTTAAATGTGTTATTCTTTAACTCACAGAGCATAACTATCACAGCTGCTTTAAAGCCTTTGCCTAATAGTTCCAACATCGAGTCATCTTGGGAATGGCATCTGTTTATTGTATCTTCCCTTGAGAATTGGTCAGACTTTCCTGGTTCTTGCCATGTTGAGTAATCTTGGCTTTTATCCTGGATGATGTGAATGTTATAATGTACAGTCTCTGGATCTGGTTATAATCCTCTGGGGAATGTTGATGAATAATCCTCTGGAGAAGGCAAACAACTTGCGTTGGTTAAGATCAAGTGTTCTGTCCGATCTTTTATGGCTGTGGTTTATATCTCAGTTCAGTTCTCAAAGCATTTTCAATGCTAGTTTGAGTGTGTGCCTGACATGAAAAACTCAGATGCTAGTCTGAGATATGGGCAGTGGTTTAAATCTCAGTTTATTTCTCAAAGCCTTACTGTGCTGGTTTGGGTCTGCCCCACACATGCACAGATGAGGAGTAAGCCTGAGCCTTATATAGATTTACAGATTTAGTAGATCTCCTTTTCTAGGTCTCAATATCCTGGGATTCCCTTACACTCTCCAGCATGCAGGACCTACTTCCAGGCAGAAATATGGGGTTCCCCTAGAAGTTTTGTGGCTGCTGCCACTGCCAAACCACTCTATGACTGGAGTTCACCCTGGATACAAAGTTGTGAGAATGAACAACAACAAAAGAAAATATTGCCCAGTTTTCTTTTATCTCTGGCATCTGCCTGATTTGTTTGCTTTTCAGAACCTTCAGTAGTTTTTTTCAGCATTCTCAGTTAATTGACAACAAATTTCTAGTTCTAGTTCACTAGAGGAGTGAACTTTGGTGTTTATATCTGGTGCTGGTTCTGAAACAACTCCCACCCCTTAACTATTTTAATGTGCATAATAATTTTCTCTGTAAGCTTCATCCTGAGAAGAGTTTTTGGT
This sequence comes from Homo sapiens, assembly GCF_000001405.40. Lineage (NCBI taxonomy): Eukaryota > Metazoa > Chordata > Mammalia > Primates > Hominidae > Homo > Homo sapiens. Next base: position 119,542,012 of record NC_000006.12, read on the forward strand.
CAGTTATAGAAAAAATGGTGATTATATCTTTGCTTTTCTTCTCTTTTCTGATTTCTTGTCTTATCTTATATTATCCCATCTTTCCCTAAAACACACAATACCCTTATGTTTTATGCTTTCTAGTGCCTGTGATTAAAAATCTTACCTAGGCCAGTTCTCATCTCTTTCTTAGTATTTTCACCACTCTGTTAAGAATCCCATTTTCTGAGTAATCTACTTGAACTTAGTTATCAGGTGAAGCACATTTGGTAATCTAATTCTCTTGAAGGTGCTGTTGTCTGATAATGGTTATCGCTGCAGTCAGTGTTCCACTGAAATACTTTAGGGTATTTTTGGAAAATGACTTTGTATCAAATCTAAAGCCTCATCTCTGATACTAGAATTTTAAATTTCAGTATCAGATAATTATAGACATACCTTCATACAAAGTAAATCAGTAGTAAAATTTTACCCATATATAAGGGCAATCATGGTTGATTATTTATATGTGACAATTCTTATATTTATATTTTATAATAAAAACATGTATGATAATTTTTAAAAACCATGTTAGTAATAAAAGTGAATATATATTTTAGTAATGGTTTAAACTTTTAACTAATAATTTTTTGGTAATTTAGTTATATTTAGTAATTTTTAAAATTCAGCAATAAAATATAGAAATTCTCTCAGGAACATCTGGGATTATTGTTTTGTTATTACTATCATGACACCCTTTAAGACATCATTAAATACTTTTACTAAATAAAAGGAAAATGGTAAATATAATGAACTGTGAAAAACAGATAAAAGGCTTAATTATGTTTTAAAAATTCTAAAAACAACAGATTTTTCTACCTTCTCCTCAAGTCACCCAAACCTACCTGAGTGAAATTTCTAGGATGTAAATCTAATGTTACAAGTTCTCTTTTTCATATTGCCTGGAAGTAATGTATGAAAACATTGGCCAATAGCATAGCATTTAGGCAAAATAATTGATAGTCCTTAAAATTTAGGTCAGACATCATCATCTGCTTTGTAGCTTTTTCCCTGCCTTTGCTCAGAAGAATGAAGCAATTCACTGTGTATATATCAAGAAAATATTTATCATATTGTGTGCTAACAGCTTGTTTAATTGGCAGTTTCTTTCATTGGATTATGACTTCTTTGAAGTAAAAAACTCTGTCTTCCTCAATTTTGCTTCTTTAGAGTAACAGTAAATCCTCATTTAATGTCTGTCCAAAAGGAGAATGAAAAGTAGAGAAGGAAGGATGAAAAGAAGGAAAGATCATGGATAGCACCAGGGTTATTATGGTCCAAAGGAGCCAGGCATGGAACAGCCAAATATAATTCAAGTGAGTGGTAAAAAGTACAATTTGGAAATCTAGAGCCCAGGGTCCTATGACATGGCAAGAGGAAGCCAGTTTGTGTTTGCTCTGGGTTAGGAGGTAAAGCATTCATCCAATCAACAAGAGAGGCAAGGCAAGCAAAGAGAGAATCCACCATGACATGCCATGAGGTCCAGGTGGTTAGAGTTCAAGGCGAGCCAGATACTTACCACAGGAAACCATAAATGTGAAGAAACTCTGCTTTCAGGGGCATATTCTGACACAGTGGTTGAGGAGAAGGTGCGATGGCTGTTGGCATCCCTTCTTTGATACCTTCTTTAAAAACAGCTTTGGAGATTTTATTTCATCCCTAGACTTGGGTTATTTGAAAGAGTCTCTCAGGAGTCTGCTTAAAACAGCAAAGTATGTATTAAATGTCCAATGTGAGCAGACAGCTATGCAAGATGCTAGGAGCTGTGCTAAGCAAAAGCTCAACAGACAAAGCATGTGCTTTAGGGAAAAATAATATGAGGTGTGTGTGTGTGAATTCAGCTAGGCTGAAATAATGTGTTTCAAGCTTGGCCTGGTAGAAATTCATGTTGTGAAAAAGTCTTAAATTATATTGGGAGAGAAAATGCAACAAAGACTTGAAAATCAATGAAGGTTTAGAGGTTAGCGTAGGTGAAGCATTTTTCCCTTGTGCTTTACACTGTTTTCTTTTATCCATCAAGACATTGGGCTAGATTCTACCATATGATAAATAGAAATTTACTAACCCCATTTGGGAAACTAGTCATTCAATCAATTCAGTTAAATAAATATTTTCAAATACCTTCATGTGTCCAGTGTTGTGGCAAATGTGGAGGAGAAAAGAGAATTATTGGCATCATCTTGCTTTTGAAAATTTATTGGCAGAGGACAAATGAAGCAGTATGAAATAACAAGAAGGCTTATCACAAAGATCTTGAATGAATTTAATGAAAAGCCATGAAGAGCACCAGTATACAAAGCTACTTCTTGCTTTCTCAGATTATCTGTTGCAGGGTTAGTCAAGGACTTGGATGACCATTGCGATGACTTTTGAATTGAGTTCCCTGCTTGATTTTGCTTCTGTTCTCCAGCTTCCTTTCTTTCTCTTGAGTTCCTGGACAGTGCTGGGTAATTTGATATCATTGTCATGGCTTCTGTGCTGGTAATCTGGCTATGTCTCCCCCATTGCTGGGCCTGTGAGACAGTCCTAGGGATGGCTGGGCTTCCTACCTTCTAACTGGCAGTAGGAAAGTAACAGAGCAGTCTGTAAGCACTGGGTGGATGCCTTTGAAACAGCTGTAATGGGCACCATTAAGAAGCAAATGTTTTTTTCAGCTTATATTAGGTGGTTATAATTGACTCTGTTTCTTTGGAGGTTGAGAAAACACATCTTTTTCTGCTCTGACGTCAGCTCTTATGGCCAACCCCAGATGATCTTATCTTGGGTGATCCCAGCTGTTGGTGTTTTAATTTCTCAGTAAATGTCATCGAAGAACTTAGAATACACTTTTTAGGAATGGTGTACTAGACCTTTGATTGCAAGAAACAAAGCTAGCTGAGTGAAAAGATATTTACTTAATATATAAACATGGAAATAAGCTGGGTCTTGTGAGAATGAAGTTGGAAACTGGAAAGCTTTAGGAATGGAGACAGATAATCCCTCTGCTTCTCTCTGCGTTTCTGGCTTTTGCTTCTCTCAGCACATCTGCTTTAATCCCTTGTTTCACTGTGCACTTTGGCTTTTTCTAACTTAAACATTAGTTCATACAATGGTCAGGCAGGTCACCCCAGCTCCACCTCTATGTGACCTGTCAGTGGAAGTTCCTGCTATCTGACTCTAGCTTTGTAAGTCTTAGTTCAAAATGTCAGAGAAGGAGCTTTCCTGGAGACATGTGCCCACATACTGCTCAATCACTGTGGCCATAGGAGCAGAGTCATATGGTAAATATGTGGCCACCAAGCTCATCCCTACAGCCGATGTTGTGCTATAACAAATAATATGATACCAGCTGTGCAAGAATCCCCAGACCTACCTACAGAAGTGCATAGGAGTGAGATCCAGCCTTGGAGCAATCCTTCTTGCCCAAGTCAAGTCACCTTGCTAGCTCTTCCTGAAACAGGATGACTCACTGCCTTTCTAGATCCAGAGTTTGAGAGTTCTCTCTTTGTTCAAGGGGTTCAGGGGTCTAACTGCCAAATTTCCAAGTTACCTTTTTTTATTTTCTTAAAGAATATTTATGGATATGGGTCCTCATGTATAAGGAGTTCTGGTGGCCTGCCACCTGGATATCCCAAGGTTCTCTGGATGTGCTCAGCCTGCATTGGATATCAGCGTAACCCTGGTCACATACAGTTTAATAAATTGCATGTTGTTAAAAAAGGGGAAGAGATTAATATGGCTAAGTTGATATGGGAAAATATTTTCAGTGGCAGAAAATTCCCTTCTTTGATTGTTTCTTCCCCCATAGGCTTGAAAGAAAGTCAACTCTTTGGAGCAGACCAAAATCTGTCTTGAAAATTAGGGAGTAAATTTTATTTAATTCATTCAATGAACATTTGCCGTTCCATGCATCAGACACTGTGTGAAGTCCTATGCCAATAGAGATGATGTTCCTTGATTTGTAATGGGCCTCTCTGTATGCAGGATGGGCTACACAATTTGAGGGGCCCAGAATTAAATGAAAATGCAAGGTTCCTCCTTCGAAAATTATGAAGACTCTTCAAGTTGGTGATAGAGCATTAGATTAAGGGCAGGGCCTTTCTGAGTGTGAGACCCTGTGCGTTGTGCAACTTGCATGTGCACAAAACCATCCCTGGCTGTATGAGCATGGGCGTACTTTAACTATGTTCCTCACCATGCCATGAAGAAAATAGGGGACACTTTATTTCCTTCCTATGGAGTAGATATATGAGGTAGCCCCAATTATTCCTCTCCTTCTTCAGACTGTTTGCACCATAGGCAAAGAACAACAACAACAACAGTAACTTCACAGTTTGTAATTATTTTAAACAGTAAAACTCATTGCTTTTAATTATAATCTATCATAATTTAGTTACAATATGGAATAATGAGTAGTCATTAGTTAATTATAAATATGTATTCCCTATAGCAGTTTTCATGTTAAATCTCCCTTTTTCTTGTTATTGTGTAAAACTTTCAGGTGGTATGTTTATAAGCTCCTCTGTAATAGATTTTACATACAGTTAATTTTGGTTTAGTTTGTATCCTGGATTATAATAGTCTACAAAATAGCAACTCAATACATTTTAGCTGAGAAAGACAATTGACCAGTTGTGTTTCAAAGGGATACAGTGATTTATAATGCCTGAATGTGTGAATTTCAAGTCTTTATTATGCTAAACCAGAGGGAAGTGGTTTATTCTGAGGGGAAAATGGCAGATTTCTACAAGCTATATAATGTACCTTAAAATAATTTAAGTAATAAGTTTCATCTCAGGATTTTCATTAACTCAAGCAGCATGTATTATAAAACACATCAGGTTGATGTATTATAAAAATTCTGAATTTTTTTAAGAAAGAAGGGCTTATGTAAAATATTTAGATGAAAAAGTTTCTAAAGCGAGAATAAAGTGTCTTGGGAATTATTCATAAAAATTACAATAAAATTATCCTTTGTAGCATCAATATTTGGCCTGAAATTTAATACATAATCATATTGTGAAGGTCATTTTATTTTTCAAGGCTGGACTTCTGAACTGATCTATCTTCCCTTATGTATTCTTTATCCTGCTGTGATGCTCCTGTGGACCTGGGCTCTGCTCTCTGCAGGACTGTCTCATTCTCCCATTTGCAGATGCCATCGTTTCAGGGGCAAGGAAAGGCTCCACATTAGATGCAGGCAGAAACTGAAACTCTGGATATTCCAGCCTGCCATCCACAGGCTTGTTTCACCCTGCTTGGTTCCCGAAGTGGTGGGAACTTGAGAAACAATACACTGAGAGTCCCTTTCCTACCATTGAGAACGATCTGTAAATAGTCTGTTAATTTGAGCTCATTGTCTGGTACATGAGAAAGATTCAGCTCTGGCTAAGCAGAGGTCTGCATCTTCCCTTATTCTTGCAATCCCATTGGAAGTATGGCCAATCTGCTGTATAGATCTGCTTGATGGGCTCCTGCCTTCTGGTTCCTACTCTAGTTTTTTCCTGGGACTGGATCCTAGGCCATGGGGTTGCCTGGTACTCAACCTATTTCCAAGTTCCTGTCAGGTTCTTCTCTCTGCTTCAAGCATTTATTAGAGAGACTTGAATATCTATCAAGTCTAATCTGACTCTGCCTGCCAGTTGACTGGACAACTCTTCCATTGACTGGACATTCTTCTGTGCTCGTTCCCCTGCCCCTTGGAATTAGATGTTGGTAATGTTGTAGCCTGACCAGACACATGCAAGCATTTGCAATGCTCCAGTGAGATTGCTGATCTCTTCCCATAGTGGCCTCACCTTATTTGTAGATTTCTCTCAGCTCCTACTCTATGCTGCTCTTAAAGGCTCCAGATTGTTACCAGGGCTTGGGCAACTATAACAGCAACCAGGAAATTGATTGAGATTAATCATTAGTTGCAGTGGCTTATCAAAGTGCCTTGGATGTGATCTGAGTTGAGTGGTTGTAACTGAATTGATCTCCTCTATTGACAAAATATAAAAAATATTCCATCTATTTGCAGAACAATTCTTGTGAAGTAACAAAGAAAAGAAAGTACCATTATATGAGCACTTAGCCTACCTTCACCCCTCCTGTGGGGTAAAAATCAAAGTGTGCCTGCTTTTCTTTTAGCCACAGAGGCTGATGATCCACGATCCTCTCTGGTTTAGTGGCTCCAAGAGACTAAGAAGTTCTAGAGTTGACATGGGCTTCTGTTCTTTTCTTTGGTGGCTCCCTGACTAAGAATTGGCTCCAGAGCTTGCTCCAGAACACTCAGGGGGAACTGAATTTCAACTCCCATTAGGCAATCCCCTGACTACTAAGGACCTACTACTCTCCTTTATCTCTCTCTTCTCCATTCTGAGCCTGCTCAGAAACAGAGATTTTCCCTGGACAAAGCTGCCTGGTAGTAAATGTAACAAAGAAGGGTCCTTTCAGCATCCACCATCTCCCCTCCGGGCCCTGGTTTTTTTGTTCCCTATACCCTCCAGGTTCCTTGTTTCATGTCAAGACCCATTTTCAGGTTCCATTTGGGAAAAAGTAGTACACTTTCATTGTAAAGTGTAAATAAATAATAGCTAGCTATTGTCTTATTTTTATTAGATATGTACATATGTATAAATGTGTATATCAAATATGATATTATCTATATGTATTGTACTTATGAACAAAAAAGACATGAATTATTTTTAATGCTAGGTGCATAAGTAAAACAATGATTTGAATGAAGTTAACAAATCAAAACCCAAATAGTGAGGATGAGGAAATTTGAAGTTGGGTGAGAAAATTTGACTGAAAACATAGTTTAAGAATACTAATGTAATTGAGAATTAATGTTCTCTCTGAGCTTTCTGATATCTGAGGGCAAAATTATGGTATGATTGGGTTCATAGATCTTATTTTGTCCTTGATCAAAGGAAACACATACGTTTAAAGGAGAGATAAAATGATAAAATATCTATAATCTCTATACTATGAGAAAAATTTAAACTCACAAATCCTCTTATGTAAGGGTTATGAATATATATTACACATTACTGAATGTTTATGAAATATATACATAGACTATACATAGTGTATATGTATGAATATACATATTTATAGAAGGTATATATATGACTATAATTTTTAAAATTTTATTAGGGAATAATTATCGAGCCCAAAAGGAGTGTGAAAGGATATTTAGGTGGTGTGCATTGTTCCTTATCTCCTCAGATCACACCACCAACACTACCCTTGGAGCCATGATTTTCTCTGCAGGAAGCAGAATGCTTCTCACCAAGTAGGAAGCACATTCCCATGATGCCCTTCTCCAGTACAGTGTCTAGGGGTTTCAGGACATGTCTAGTCCCGGAGCTGTACAAATAATTCAGTAACTTCTCAGGTTATGAGATTACCCTCTGGTGAAGTCACCTGGGCTTGAGGGTTGGTTTGGCACAGATCATTGTTAGTAGTTATTTGTCATTGGTCTTTTAGTGTATTACCTTTTTAGTGTAGATTTTATACTTCAGGTCAATCCTGGCAGCCAGACTGGCTGCTGTAATGAAGATGTGTGGATATATTTTCTATTCAGGGTTAGTGACATAACTGAATAGGCTTTCTTTGGGTTAAGAGTGACAAGTTAATCTTAGCAACTTTAAAATTATTTTCTGCTTGCTATATTAGAAGATATAAATACCTAAATGGGAATTTTTTTGTTTATTCTTATTTTTCTTCCAATAATTAAGTAAAAAGCCATTAGTAGGACTGATTTTCCGTTAGAAAACATTTTAATCTGTGCACGCATATATTCTTTCTAGAAAAAGAAAAACATCCATTCATGAGAGTTCAGGGATACGTGAAAATGAAGCAAATGAGGAAAGACCCATTCACATTCCTCCAAAAGGTAATAGAATATTAATACTGAAAGGAGTATCAGCTAATACATAGAGATAAAAATCAGTAGTATTCTGCCTACAGTTCTTTCATTTTAAAATAATATTTATGAAGAATTTGATAAAGATAATCAGCCATAAAGTAATGAATCAAAGTACTTAGACTTCTAGAAGTATTTGGCTTGGGGTAAATATGACTTAGCAATGGGTATTTCCTTGGTCCTGGAGAATGCCACTGTGCTCACAAATGGGAACACACAGCTCTGAAAAGCTAATCACACCTGCGATGTTGGTGGCTGTTTCTCTTAGAAATTCTTTCTGACGTCTATGTCATGTCCTCTTTCCAGATCTGTGGCTCACTGGAATCATGTTACTGGCTCCTGGTAGTCCCTGACTTTACCTGTTTGTTCCAGGAACTTGCTTTATGGCCATTTGTTCTAATGATCAGTTTGGACAACCAACCTTTATTCCTCCACCTCAGACAATATTCAACATCCTGTAATCATCATAGCGGTAAGTAAGTACTTATTTCTTCCCTCATAGACTGCCTTATTTTAAAACCATTTTTCAGATGGGGTCTTTCTTGGACAAGCAGAGGATGCTTGGAAGCATTCCTCGCATACATTGTGTTGGGTCATTCTTATCTTCATAACATATCTCAAATGTAGGCAAAATCTATAGGTGTCTAAACCTACCAGTGCTTCTTTTCATGTTTGATGCTCCCTTAAGAGGAGAATTAAATGGAGAACAGGAATATCTATCACATAATTAGGGACAAACTCTAAAGGGCAAATATTTCAGAGAGATACTAAATATGGGGTTGAATTCATCCTAGGTGTAAGTGACTGATACCTGATCTTTTCCCTAGTCATATGGGTGGTGATGAGTGGAGGCAGAAACAGACAGGTAACAAGGGAAATGAATGTGTTCAGAGGAAATCTGGGATAATGTGGAGAAAAAAATTTGGGATGGGTTGGGGAAGAGGCAAACCTGGAGACTGGGAAACTTCATAAATTTTACCTACCTCAAAATAGCCCCTGAAATCAGCTCTGCATAAAACTTACAATAAGTTTTGGATTGCCATTCTGGTTACATGCCTCCCCTGGCCAAAATATTAATAATTGGAAGTTGATGAGACATGAAAATTTAGGTGGAAATCCCTAAAGACAAAAGTGTGTAAATGCTAATCATCACTCTACAATGCGATACAGGTACCCACTGATTCTTAATTCACGTCTCCCTCTCAGTGCCAACTTGCTTTTCCCCTGGTTTTTCTCATGTCATTAAATGGCACTTCTTTTATTCCAAGACTCAGGCTGAAAACTTTGTAGTCATCGTGATTCCTCTCTTTCCTTCAGATTATGGGGTCAGCATAAAATGCAACTTTGTTTCCATAGCTGATGGGCCCTTCAGGGTCTGGCTCCTGGTTAATCCCTGACTTTGTCTCCTTCCATCCTCCCCTTGCTCACCACACTCCAATGCCATGGACTTTCTGCTGTTCTTGGCAGATATGTGCTCCACCTCAAGGCCTTTGCACATGCACTTCTCTCTGTGTTACTCTTTTCCTGGATATCCCTCTGGTTCACTCTAATCAGGTCTCTGCCCACATAGCATATTACAGAAGTCTTCCCTGGCTACTGTATCTTAATTAGCACTTCCCATTACTCTCTGTTTATTTTGCCTTTTTTTCATTATAGCATTTACTATTACCTGACATAACATAGTATTACATGCCATGATGTTATGTATTTATACATGTATTGATGTATTGATCAATTGTGTCTCTCCCACTAAAAGGTGTTATATCAGTTTTTCATATCTGTTATTTGTTTCTCTTTTGTAGTCTCAAGATTTGTTGAATGAATAAGTAAATGAACAAGAGGTGATGTTTTTGGAAAGTAGCCATAATCTAGAACTATGTACATTAAAATGACTTTATGGTTCAGGCAAGGGTAAATAGCAGGCAACTACATAATTTTCAGGGTGCTAGGTGTGGAAGCCACTTACTTTTTAACCCTAGGTGCTGCCTGCTTTCCTTGGCCACCAAGTGGAGGTGTTACCATCTGGTGGGTCAGAGGTAAGAAACTATATCCTGGTGCCTCCCTGGGGAAACCCGTCCCCATGCAGAAGGAGATGACAATAAATCTAGGGAAGGTCTTTTTCAACTTCTTGAACCACAGTTTTGTTTTTTTTTATGAACTAGATTACTGTCAGGTGCTTTTCTAAGGAAACTCACATCACAAACACTTAAAAATAACAGAAGTAAACCCAGCAGTGACAGTGACTATACATTCCTGAGGAACTTGGGGGAGGAAGGAGAAAAGTTTCAAGCCAGAGTTTTGTGGTGACTAAGTATCCCATAACTTTGTCTGACAACCCTCCCAAACTGTGGGGGTGGCCTATGGGGACTGCTTCCAGTCTTGGCTACTTGGTACAATGGTATGAATACATTAACAATAGACAATATAGACAAATTACGTACTTGTATAAGGTAAAACTATATGATCCTTGTAAACAGAGAAGTTTCTCTTCTTTCTCAAGTAAAAGACAGACTTGAAATAGACCAATAAGTTGATAAAATGAACCAACAAGGGTATGGTGTATAGAATTTGTGGGGCCATGACTGGCCAGACTCTTATTGTGAAAGCATGGAAGGTGTGAATTTCGGAGACATGGAAGGGCTCAGTGACAACAGCGAAAAAATAATTAAAAAAACACAATCCAGGAAGAATACAATTGAAATTTGAGCCAGTAGCTGTTTACTTATTTATAAAGGGGTCTTTTGCAGAAAATATGGAACTGCTGTTTTTACTGCCTTGTTTTTGAAGTCCCCATGACAATCTATTCCTGTGAAACTCATACCCAACTTTCAGAGCAGTTCCTCGACTATGTGATGGTTGAACTTTGCAGCCTGGAATGTCCTTCATCTCCTTTTGTTATCTGTTATTTAGATTTCAAGGTAGGCACCTCCCCAACCCTTCTATAAAAACAAATGCTCTGTGTTCTTTTCTTCCATGGCGTTGTAACTTGTTTACACCATCACTGTGCCACATTGGCCCACAGTAGTGCTTTCAAGACCTGCTCCCCGATAGCCTGTGATTTTTCATCAAGGCAGTATTGCCTTATTCATTTGTCTTAGTTTGGCACAGAGTAGAATTGTTAGTGGATTTCACCTTCTCTACCAGTATTTTCATTGCTTCAGTTTTCTCTTATTATTTATTTATATATTTATTTTTAAATTTTAGATTCAAGGGGTACATGTGCAGGTTTGTTATATGGGATATATTGTATAATGCTGAAGTTTAGACTTCTATTGATGCCATCACCCAAGTAGTGAATATAGTACCTGATAGATAGTTTTTCAACGCTTGCTGCCTCTCTCCATCCTCCTTTTTGGAGTCTCCAGTGTCTATCATTCCCATTTTTGTGTCCATGTGTACTCAATGTTTAGCTCCCACTTACAAGTGAGAACATGTGGTATTTGGTTTTCTGTTTCTGCCTGAATTCACTTAGAATGATGGCCTTCGGCTGCATCCATGTTGCTACAAAGGACATAATTTTGTTCTTTTTTATGCCTGTGTAGTAGTCCCTGGTGTATATATACCACATTTTCTTTCCAATCCATCATTGATGGGCACCATTCTGTTGCGGGAAGTCAGAGACCCTGAACGGAGGGACCAGCTGAAGCCATGGCAGAAGAACATAAATTGTGAGGATTTCATGGACATTTATTAGTTCCCCAAATTAATAGTTTTATAATTTCTTTTGCCTGTCTTTACTGTAATCTCTGAACATAAATTGTGAAGATTTCATGGACACTTATCACTTCCCCAATCAATACCCTTGTGATTTCCTATGCCTGTCTTTACTTTAATCTCTTAATCCCATCATCTTTGTAAGCTGAGGAGGATGTATGTCACCTCAAGACCCTCTGATGTTTGCATTAACTGCACAAATTGTTTGTAGAGCATGTGTGTTTGAACAATATGAAATCTGGGCACCTTGAAAAAAGAACAGGATAACAGCAATGTTCAGGGAACGAGGGAGATAACCTTAAACTCTGACTGCCGGTGAGCCGGGCGGAACAGAGCCATATTTCTCTTCTTTCAAAAGCAAATGGGAGAAATATTGCTGAATTCTTTTTCGCAGTGAGGAACATCCCTGAGAAAGAGAATGCGTCCCTGTGGGGAGGCCTCTGAAATGGCCGCTTCGGGGACAGCTGTCTTTTACGGTTGTAGCGGAGGGATGAAATAAGCCCTGGTCTCCCGTAGCGCTCCCAGGCTTATTAGGACTAGGAAATTCTCGCCTAATAAATTTTGGTCAGACCAGTTGTCTGCTCTCAAGCCCTGTCTCCTGATAAGATGTTATCAATGACAATGCATGCCTGAAACTTCATTAGCAATTTTAATTTCACCCCAGTCCTGTGGTCCTGTCATTTCGCCCTGCCTCCATTTACCTTGTGATATCTTATTACTTTGTGAACCATGTGATCTCTGTGACCCACACCCTATTCGTACACTCCCTCCCCTTTTGAAAATCACTAATAAAAACTTGCTGGTTTTACGGCTTAGGGGGCATCACAGAAACTGCCAACATGTGATGTCTCCCCTGGACACCCAGCTTTAAAATTTCTCTCTTTTGTATTCTGTCCCTTTATTTCTCAGACTGGCCGACACTTAGGGAAACTAGAAAAGAACCGACGTGAAATATCGGGGGTGAATTTCGCCCTATAGATTCCATGTCTTTGCTATTATGAATAATGCTGTGATAAATATACAAGAGCATGTGTCTTTTTGGTAAAATGTTTTATTTTCCTTTAGGTATATGCCCAATAGTGGATTTCTTGGTGGTAAGGTAGTTCTATTTTCAGTTCTTTAAGAAATCTCCAAACTGCTTTCTACAGGTCACTCTCCCAATTTTAAAGTAATCCATGTCTCCACTAACATTGTGTTTGTATTTCTCCTGCTGCATTTGTCATAGTCTGTGCTGCCTTGGAACTACCTGAATTTATGTGGGACCCTCTTGAGGGCAAGAGCCAAGTCTGATCTTGTATTCTCTAACAGGCCTAGTGCAGTAGCTGGTCCTTAGTGAAGGCTCAAAAACAATTTCTACATTGTACTGAAGGAGCTATTGATGTAGTTGAAAACTTTTTTTTTTACTTAGGTAAGACATTGCCTGACTGTGATGGTTGTTAATCATTGGTTTAGGTAATATGATGTGTAATTTATTTTTTGAAGAGTATGTAATTAAAAATGGAATAAGTTCATATCTTTGAAGGGGGAAGAATGGATATCATGACCTTACAACTTACTTCATTTTACATCCAAAATTTAGTAAATGTCTAATTTTAAAATGATATTTGTACTCTGCCTTAATAATTTCAAGCATGCTAACCTAAACATGCATGTGAAGTTCTATAGCAAATGGAAATTCAGAAATACCAAAGGCTATTACAACTACAAGAAGCTTGGCCACAAGAGACCATAGTACATTTAAAATAAAAATCCTATAAGATCCAAAAGATTGAATTGCTAATAGTGGAATTTCAGGCACAGAGGAGAAAAAGGGTGGATTTCATGATAAGATTTGTTCAGCCTTTCAAATCATACCATGAATGATAAGTGTCTACTCATATTCTAGGCTGGTAAGAAGACAACCAATTATGCCATCATTTCCTTACATGATTGGAAGTAATTTCTTCAGATAAAGGGACTTATGATTAAACTATAAAAATGTAGAGCAATCTATGGAGTCTTTTCTGTATCCTTGCTTGCTCTATTGTTTTACTCACAGTAAGTCACTCAGCCAACCTTATTAGATGGTTGTGTGATGGATTTTGCTCCTCTATATAAGCAAATTTAATATTTTACTCTTTCCTTCATTCAAATGTTAGATATAATATTATAGCAGAGCAGCTTTTTCTCATTGGAAGAATGTGAAATACAGGTTCTATGTGTTTGGGGCCAGTGGAGAATACTCTCCTATTTCTAATAAGATAAATCGTTCATTGAAGTAAAAGAAAAGTCGAGGAAAATCTCCCTTTAGGTATTCATTTTGAAAATCTTACTGAATCAATGTGGTTAAAATTTTTCACTTTATTTTATAGATCACATAAACATACTTCCCTCTTTTCTCCAAGCCCCATTTGTCACGTACCCGTTAAGATACTATATGCATTGTTAGTGATATCTAATAGGCAATATCTAATATTTCTGTTAGTGATATCTAAGGCAATCTCTAATATTTCTGTTAGTGATATCTAAGGCAATATCTAGTATTTCTGCAGAGGAGAAACAACATTGACATTTTTTGTTAGTCCCTTCAAGTAGAAGCTTAAGAAATTTCAGTATTTGGGAATTTAATCAACCCTAAAACAGATATTCCTTGAGGCCTGTTTTATTTTAAGGGTAGTATTTTTGTTTTTGCACATAGTATATTCTAAATTAGCTGGCAGAGAAGATATTATAAAAATGGATTCATTTTGGAGTTGCACTGTGAGCTTCTTATTCTGTAGATGGCTCTCTTTATTAATCAATCCAAGTTCCATATTTTTACTATAAAAAGGATTGTGTTTCTTCAGAATTATGCTAACTTGTAACATAAATGCCTTTCTATGAGGCACCTGCCATAAAATAAAACTCCTCCAGAAAGAGCATAAGGATGGTGATGCTGAGTTATTCTGTATCTTCCAGGAAATCTCAAGAAGTATATGTTTCTCTGAAGGTCACATGCCTCATTGCTCTTGGAGAATAGGTTGACTTCAAGTTCATGTTCTTCTCTTTTACTGAAGTTGCATTTATTGGTCTTAGATTATCTGTCAAGAAGGATGGGAAGGAAAATTAAAATGCAAGCTCCAAGAGGGTACACGCTGTTTTGTTCATCATTTTCCAAGTGTCTAGCATAGCTTGAAGCATAAATAGGAATTTAATAAATGCTTATTGAATGAACGAAGATCAGTGGTTTTCAGGTTCATAATTTCATTCTTTATACAGGAGATTCTTTATGTTCATAATCTCATTCTTAATTACTTCACTAAATCACAGAGATTAAGAATAAGAGTTTTGGCATCAAGCAGGCCTGGATTAATTGTTGACTTTGGTTAAGTTACTAAATATTCCTTTAAACCTCAATCTCTTCTTCTGAAAAGGTGAAAAATGGGGTTGTGTATGTGAAGTGCTCCGAAGTATTTGGCACACAATAAATTCATGATAGATGGGCTTTATTATGAGTAGTAGATTTTACAGGACATTTGCTTGTATTTATGCATATGAAAATCTACTTCAACTAAATAAAAAGTATCTAAATAAAGTGAGAGTTTTTTTCTTTTTTTCTTACTTATTCTGTTACATAAAAATCGGCAGTCCCCGCCTGAGCTTAAACTGTATTTTATTCTTGAATTAATACTTCTCCGTGTATGTCTGGAGAACTGAGTCAGGGTCTTGTCTGGGGATTATGTATACTGTACAAAGCACAGAAGTGCTTCTTGGAAAAGGCCATTATAGCGGAAGTGAAATTTGAGGCATATTGCCTTGGTCAAAGTCAAAGGCAAAAGATTAGAGTATGGTTTTCCAGTTGCTCAGCCAGCTCAAGATTGAGTGCTAGATTAAAACTCTTAAATAAGAGTGAGCAAATACTACTAAAAGCCAAAAGCAAACATTAAAAACGCTATCGATTTCTCAGCAAAATCTCCATTAGTCTTTTAAAACATAAGACACCTTCAGCATCATTGGTCCTAGCAGTGTCTGCAGCTGCAGAGAAGGGTATGACTTGGGGAAATGGTACCATCAGAACACAGGATGCCTGGCCAGTCTGAAATAGCAACCTCAGTGGAGATATCTTCAGCCTCCCCAGCAGCACCGTCAGCATGGCCACTCTTATTTGTGTATCACCAGTGGCACTGATGACCCAAGTATTATCATGACAGTGATATGGTGCAACAAAAGTAGGAAATGTGGGTTGCCAGCCACATGGTAACCAAGAACACTAGTTCAGATGTATTAATACTAGGAACTTGTTAGGAATGGCACCTAACAAGTTTTGTGAAATTTGTGAAAAAGTTGAGGAAAAATTAAAGTTCCTGCATGATTGTAAGTAAATTCAAATAAAATAGAGTTTTGAGATTTTTAGTGTGCCCTTAGATTTTGCCTGTAGACTGTGACGTATGGTCCACTTTGAGAGGAAATAAGTCAATGTAAATTGTGGTTAAGAAAACCTTTAGATGATCTTGACTTGTTAAATATTCAGTGTTATATAAATTTCTGTGGGTACAAAGAAAGTGCATGATTATCATCCCTGAACAAAAATTGCTTTGGAAGAAAACAAGATTAATATTTCAGAGTTTTTAAAAACTAAATTTCTCATTTTGTTCTGTGGAATCAATTATAAAATTCCTACTAGAATTACTGAATAAAAATCTGATTGTCATAATCCCTAGTTTTAGAGGGAGAAAGGGAATTATAAGTCACCTACAATTAGTGTTGCTCTATATTCTCTTTGGGATCACCTTTATTAGATGATGCTCATGAAGTACGAGTGGACTAAAATTTGTTGGTTCTGCAGGAAGTGAAAAAAGTATGACATTATGCTGCATATTCCAAAGATGAAGAAATTAGTTTATAAATTAGTAGTTTAGGAGTTTGGATACAAACAACAGAAACTGACTATGGTTAGTAGATATAAATTTTGTTTTTCTAAAGGTATAATGTAGGTCACAGAATTGATAGAAAAATCTTGATATTACTCCTATGATCCTCTTGATAGAGCATTATCCTGTATCAGTTAACTATTGCTGTGCAAAAGCCATCTAAAACTTAATGATTTAAAAAATAGGAGTTTTGCAATTGATCATGAGTTTATAAGTCAGATGGATGACTTTCTGATCTGCTCCAAACTTGGCTGACCTTGGCTAGGCTCACTCATGCATCTTTTGTCAGCAGGGGCATCTGACATGTTTAGGGGCTAACCGGCTAATGTCTGTAGTGATGGTGATAACTCAGCCATATGTCTTTCCAGTTAGCTAACTTAAGCTTTTTCTTATAGTAGCCATATACATATGTAGTTCTTATGGTAGGTGTATACATCTATATGTATGTAGCTACTGTAAGACTAGTGTGTATACACACACACATACACAGTCACACACATACACATGTATATTAACTCTTGAGATCGAGGTTCAAGATTGGCATACCATCACTTCCGCCACTTGGCCAAATTAAGTCAATGGAGAAAATAAAGTCTACCTCTTGCTGGGAGGGGCTCAAAGCTACATTGAGAATTGAATGGATAAAGATGAGGGCGACAGGGAAAGAACTGGGAACATTCTATTTAAGCCCACCTTTAGTTCCCTAATTCCAGGATCCCCAGAAGCTTCCATCAGTCATGACATCAAACTTGAATTCCAGAGATGAATGATCTTAATCAGGTTCAGATATGGCTCCTTAGATATAGCTCCTTTTGATTCAGAGATGTATGAACTAAAAAGCAAGTTAGCTCTCTTTCCCTCAGCCAACATACAGTTGTGAGATAGGGACAGATAACTGCAAATGACACTTCCATCAAAAACAGGAAGCATGGGAGTCACTGGTTTGTAGCAGCTATGAAATCGAGCTGGAAACTTTTGCAGGTCCTCCTGTACTAGGAGCTGAGAATGCCCCTTAATTGGACGTGGGTTTTTTTCCCTGGGAATATCTTCTCAGCCCACTTGTCTCTACTGCTTCTTAGAAGTGGTGGGTTGCAGTCCACTGGTTTTTCTCACTCTTTACCCTGTCATCCTTCCTTGTCCATCACCTCTTTGGCTGCTTCTGAAGAAACAGTTCACCTTTGCCAGCTAATATGATTTTTGAAACTGATTCTTTCCCATAGAAAGTTGAAGGCTAAAACCCTTTTGCAATTTGAACAATTTCAGTTCCTTTTAGTCCAAGCTGGTGGTATTTCCACATGTGTACTTCCTAAAAAATCTTCCTATGAATTGAATCAAAATCCATTCCTTCTGACAAAAGATAAGCATGCCTCTTTTGAGTTACTGCTACTTTGGGATGACTTCTGTGGGACCACAGTCTTAAGATTCCTGATGTCCTTTTGCCTAAATGAGAAAACCTGTAAACCGCCTTCATTCTTTTTTAGGTTTTGACTCTTGGTTTAGTCTTTGTCCTCAGGCTGGGGACACTGGTAATGAGAAGTTCTATTTTCCAACTCGCCAAATTATGGCTCATTATATTCTCTCCAAATTCTGCTTTCAAATTTGTCAGTGATTTCTTTATGTTATCTTTTTTTTTCCACCTCTGTATAATATCACACACAGCTAGAACACTTTTAACATTTTTCCTGGAGATTTCTTTAGTCAAATCCAAAAGTTCACTGCATACACTTTTCATCTTTCAAGTAAGGCAGGCAACTGTTCTGTCACCTGCTTCACTACCCCATAATACAGGCCACCACATTTTCATCCTCTAGTATTATTTTCTCACCATTTTTCTGACTTTTGCTAACAGTCTGCCCACTATTTTCCAGCCTCTGCTTCTTACCCAGTCCCCAAACCAATGGTGTCTTATGTGTTTTTAAGGCAGCATCCCATTTCAGGTATCAATTTTCTGTATTCTTTAGATATTGCTGCATAATAAATCACTCCAAAAAATAGTATGAAAAGCCCTGGCATTTTATTATTGGTCACAAGTCTATGGGTCTGCTCGGCAGTTTTGATCTTGGCTGGCCTTGCTCACATGTGCATCATTCAGTGCAATGGCTGAGTGAAAAAGGATGTCTGGAGGTTGGTTGCTGTTGGCTGATAGGGGTGACTTATTATCCAGCAGATGAGTCTGGAATTATTCTCATGATGCTGGACAGAGTTTCAGGAGAGAGAAAGTAGAAACATGAAAGGCTTTTGGATGTCCAGGCTTGGAAGTGGCACACAGCCACTTTGGTCCATTCCAAGAGCCACATCGAATCATAGGGCCAAACTAGATTCAGGTGGGGAAATAGATTTTACTGCTTGATGAAAGAAACTTAAAAGTCACATTGCAGAGGCATGAATAAAGGAAAGGGTGAAGAATTTGGGCCGTTTTTGACATCAATTCTGGCTCTTGGGGATCTATGGAGTCAATTCTATAAGTTGTTGGCTGATTCCTGGCTCTTCCTATCTTCTCTTGGAGGGAGTACAGCAATGCTCAATGAATGCATTGGAGTGTGGCCGCATATGGGTTCCTTGCCTGCTACTGACAGTAGTGGATAACTCCTAAAATACAATTTATCTCCATTGTTATAGCTAACAGCTCAGATCTTTGGGATTGGAGGACATCTTTGAAGTGCTTTGCCAACCCTACAACTTACTCCAAAAAATTATGCACCTAGCAAATTTAACCCAAGATATGGTTAGGCACAACCCCTTCAGGTGTTTTAGGGAGAATGTGGGCCAGATTTCATAGGATTACTGTTTTAGTGGTACAGTACTACCTCCTTATCTGTGATTTCACTTTCTGTGATTTCACCCACCTATGGGCAACTGCTCTCTGAAAATAGGTATGGTACAATAATTGAGAGAGAGAGAAGGAGAGACTACATTTGTGTGACTTTTATTATAATATATTGTTATAATTTTTCTAGTTTATTATTTGTTATTGTTATTAATCTCTTACTATGCCTAATTTTAAATTAAAATGTATCATAGGCATGTATGGATATAGGAAAAAGCATAGTATATATGGAGTTTGGTACTATCTGTGGTTTTAGGCATCCACTGTGGGGGTCTTAGGAAGCATTCCCGTGGATAAAGGGTTACTATTACTGTATTGTATTTTGGCATGTTAACTTAAGACTTTTTTCTCTTGTTTCTACTACTCACCTTTCTTATTCCTTTCTCCTCAGCTTTCTGTATGAGCTGGCTTCAGGGTGAGTGATTATTCAGAGCAAGAAAAGGATAAAATCGTTAGCATTTGAATTTCTGGGGAGACATTTGTACATCATCAAAAGCCATGATTCTGGCATAAACAAGAGGTTAGTCTGAATAGTTAGGCAGATTGTTGTGCCTTTGGGAATAAAGATAAATCAGTTGACCTAGGGTGGGAGTGAAGTTGAGAGAAGAGAAGAATAAAATTGGTTATTGTGAGTTCCTGGGAAAGGAAAATACACCTGGCTTGTCTTTGGGGTTGAAGCCCTTTGTGTTAGCGGGGCAATAGAAATGTGAAACAAGTTTGGGGTTCTCCAAGAAGAGGGATCTATACCTTCCTCTCCAGGTTGCAATCAGGAGAAATTACAGGTCTCTCTGAAAAACCCTCGGTGTAGCATGGGGTCAGGACAGGAGTATGGCCCTAGTTGACAGAGATGTGTAATCTGATGGGTCCTATATCTCACTGTAGGGTGGGAAAGGCAGCTGGGAGTGTCTGAGGTTCCCTAGTGATGGACAAAAAAGCTGACTGACTTGCAGGCATCTTGCAGTGTTGCTCATGCCAGACACAGAACACCTGGACTGGGAGAATAGAGACCTTGAAAGGGTTCCAGATGACCACAGCAGATTGCATTACATGTCAGCTGAGATCCTGTGGTCTGAGCAGAACTATGGCACTCTCCCTTGTGAAATTAAGAAAACAGCCCCTCTCTCTGAACTATCTCTAGGAGAATTCTGTTTACCCAGATGAGACTGAGTAAAATCCAGAAAAGACAGAGTTTACTTTGAACTGGAAAGATGAATGTGTCTGTTATCATCAGTAAAAAAGGAGTTTGAGAGTTAAGTATACTTATAGAAATACTTTAGTTCACTGATTCCAAGATGCACGTTTTTTCACATCTTAACATATCTGAAATTGAGATACGGCTCAAAAATCCATGGTGTATCATAGTTTAGTTGGCAGTGATTTCTCTTTCTTAATAGTACACAAAATAACACTGCATCTTACAAATGATGGTGTCTTAAATTCTATGAAATACAGTATAATGGAATTTGTATCTTTGCATACTTGGGATTTGTAAATCTCACTTTTTGCCAGTGAAAATGCTAGTAATTCAAGACCTGTAGCTCAGCTATTCTTGGCATTCCTAACTCTTCTTTTATTCACAGTGACACCTTTACTTTTAGTCCCACAAGCCTAGGGAATGACAGCTTAAGGTTGTGGGGGCACCTAAGATCGAAGGAGCTGGTCACAGCTGCTTGGAGCTGAATGCCACTTGGGGCTAGGGCAGCAATGGCATAGGGGTCACAGGCCTACTTCTGATCTATCTTTAACATTTTTGCATGTTGTCAAACTTTATTGAGGGACCCTCTGAGATTCACCTGCACATGCAGTTCTTCCCCACATTGGTAATTGCCATGGAGCCTCCCCTTCACCACTATGAGGAATCCCAGGATGCTCAGATCCTTGAACAATCCCGTGAAAATCTGCCTGAAAGCCAGCATCCTGTGGGGTGTGGGAGTGGAATGAAATCTTCTTAACTTTCACCATGCACCATCTTTAAAGACAGGGCCCTCCAAGACTAAATAATCTGACAGCCTTTTCATTCTTTAGAATGAATGGACTATTCTCTGGCATAGACCACTGCTGTAACAATTCCATTGTAAAGTAAACATACAATTCATTTTTTTTCATGGCATTTACTCTACATACATATTTCAGAACTTTGGCACCTAGTGTCATGATCTTAACATGGGCAGTGCCTGATTAACACTGGCTTGGATTCTCTTCTTAATTCCATCATTTCTCTCTGGTAATATCCCTAGAAATAATCTTTTCCAATAACACCAGAAATAAGCTTTTCCAGAAATAATCTATCTTTCTCCACAGTTCTGCATTCAAGGATGCAAAAGTGTAGGTAATTCTCCATGAGTCCATTTTCTCATACCCTCTGCATGAAATTTCCTTTAGAGATTAACCTCATAAATCCATTCCATATTGCAAAGCTCAGCTTTCTGGTTCTGAACTTTATTCTCCTAGAGTGTCCATGGTGCTTTGATCATATTTTTCTCCACTACATTATTCTCCCATTGAAGAAGCATTCCTATTCCCATGACTACCCAAGCTGAATCTACCCCATTCCTTGACACCACCTTCTAATAGTGCAACTTCTATAGTGAAGTGTTCCTGGATCTGTTCTATGCTGTCACTTTATTTGGGCCTGGTCAGACACTGCTTGTATCTCAATAATCCAAGATATTGGTTCTCCCAAATATAACCCCTTTATCATACCCACAACATCTCAAAGAGAATGCAGGTATATCCATTGGCAGAAAAATAAAATTATACCATTAGGTAATTATAAATACACAGGAAGCCTGAGTATGATGCAAGACATTACTTTTCCCATCAAGTCATCTTCAAATCCAGAGACTCTACCTCAGATAGATGCCTAAGCTTCCTTTGTTTGTGGGAGCATGGCACCAGGTTCTTGAACTTCTCAGGGTTTCTCTCAGTGCCACTCTAGAAAGTTAATATAAGAGCCTTACCATGAAGAGCTGGAAGAAGATTTTCTTTTCTTTTCTTTCCCTTTTTTTTTTTTTTGTGATAGAGTCTCACTCTGTTACCCAGGCTGGAGTGCAATGTGCGATCTCGGCTCACTGCAAGCTCTGCCTCCTGGGTTCAAGCGATTCTCCTGCCCCAGCCTCCTGAGTAGCTGGGATTACAGGCATACACCATCACGCCCGGCTAATTTTTGTATTTTTAATGGAGATGGGGTTTCACCATGTTGGTCAGGCTGGTCTCGAACCCCTGACCCATGATCAGCCCACCTTGGCCTCCCAAAGTGCCGGGATTACAGGTGTGAGCCACCATGCCCAGCCAGAAGTTTTAAACCCTTCAAGTTTAAGTGAAGAATATGCAAAAAAAAAAAAAATCTGTATTGGAAAATGTTGACTTTATCTTCACATAACTCAATGGGCTCTTAGGCTAGCAGTCTCAGTATCTTTACTATGTTTTACCAAAGAGCTTCCCAAACCTCCTCAACATGACAAGAAGGATGTGTTCAGAAAAGGGTGATGAGAAAAGAAAATTCTATTCTAGAAAAATTAGTTTCATTTTCTTTATGATAATTATAGTTTCCCCCTTCCTCAGAAAAAAAGTTTCCAAGTCTTATAAGTTACCTTTCCTTTGTAACTTGTACTTTTTCTTCATTGATGTCTCCAAAGTAAATATGTTTGATTAGGTCATTGGGATTATATCATAAATTATCCAAGCTATAGAAAATTAGCTATGGCATTTTCCTATTACAAGAGTGCAAAAAAATTTAGTGAGTTTGAAAATAATGCTGTTTCTCCACATAGTTGAATTTTGCATAAATGTATTTTATTTTGGACCTCATAAAAGAGACTTAGCTACTGAGAAACCCAAAGTATCTTGTTCTTATAAAACTACTTCACCTATAAAGTGTGGTCTTGTAGCATGGACTTCAAGGATAATATTACAGTAAAATTTATTTCTTCTTATTTTTTTAAGACAGAGTTTCACTCTGGCACCAGGCTGGAGTGCAGTGGTGCAATCTTGGCTCACTGCAACCTTTGCCTCCTGGATTCAAGTGATTCTTGTGTCTCCGCCTCCTGAGTAGCTGGGACTACAGGAGTGGACCACCATGCCTAGCTTAATTTTATATTTTTGGTAGAGGCAGGGTTTAACCATGTTGACCAGGCTAGTCTCGAACTCCTGACCTCAAGTGATCTGCCTGCCTTGGCCTCCCAAAGTGCTGGGATGACAGGCATGAACCACCACTCCTGGCCATATTACAGTAAAATTTAGAGGCTATGTTAGCTGAAAGTAAGCAATATTTGTCTCAAATAAAATGGAAGAAAAAAGTTCTGGGATGCATATTGCTGGTGAAAGGGGATTGCTATAGTATTTCTACCAAATTTGGCAATGCATATTAAATCCTTAAATATAGCCATAGCTCTTGACACAGCAATTCTTACCTTATGAGAATTTATCCTAAAGAAACCATTAAAAGTACACACAAAGTTTTACATATAAGGATATTCCTCACTGTATTATTTATAGCAGCTAAAATCTAGAAACAACATACATGTTTGACAAGAGGTATGGTAGATTGCAGATGGTCACAAATTCTTTGCAGTTGTCTCCCATAAAGAAGTGGAATCCATTTCCTCACCCCCTTGAATCTTAACTGACCTTGTGACTTGGTTTGACCAATAGAATGAGGCAAGAATGACATATAAATTCCAAGCACAGGCCTGAAGAGACTTTGCAGCTTCTGCTCTGTCTCTCAGAACCCTGCTACGACATGAACAAGCCAGGGCTAGCCTCCTTGAGGGTGAGAGACTTCAGGGCAAGTGAGGCCCAGCCATTTGAGCTGGCTCAGCAGGGCCCTGGCATGGGAGTAAGCCCAGCTAACATTACACGGAGCTACTGAGACATCTCAGGTGTGCTCAGCCCAAATCGCTGATCCACAGAATTGTGAGCAAATAAATAATTATCATTTTAAAGCTACTAAGTCTTAGGGTAGGTTGTTGCGCAGCAAAGACTAACTGATATGCAGAAGAATATTTTAGTTCAGTGTTTCCCACATTATGTTGTATAGTCCACTAGTATCTTATAAGATATTAATAGAAATCTTAAAATGGATTATATAAGACTAATATAATAGATATGCATTATCTAATGTAGAGATATAATAATGTGTAAGAATAGATTATATAATAATAATAAAATCATGAAAAAGGATACCATTGGTAGTCAAATAAGCATGGGAAAACTTTAAATTTACTACTGATATAGGGGTTAAGGAGAAATTATTTAGGCAGACAGTGAGGATAAATAAGTCCTTGGTAAGGTTTTCCTTTTTATGAAAAGCAGCCCCCAAGTCATTTTCTTTTATAACAAGGAGTAGCTTGTAAAATCGAGCTGCAGACATAGACAAACAAGTTCAAAGCTTGCGTGGGTGAATGCTGGCAGTTGTACCAATAGGAAAAAGCCACTTGGGACTAGGCATGTTCACAATGGTGGCTCCATTTTCCCTTCTTTTTGCAGGCCACATGTACAGTAAGGAACAGAAAACGTAGTGCTGCCAAGTGGAAAGTCCATTTGCATAATAAGATTAGGGTGGGGTGTCCAGCCTTCCCCACACGCTATGTAAACGTCACACCTGGTCCAGCCAATCTCTGGGCCCTATGTAACTCAGACACCGCCTCCTCAAGCCTGTCTATAAAATCCGGTGCACTCTGCTGCAGGCCGGAATTCCCAGTCCGGCGTCCCTCTCTCTCGCAAGAGAGAGAGTCGTTCTCCTTTCTCTTTCTTTTGACTATTATATATCTGCTCTGAAACTCACTACCTGCGTGTGCTCCTTCCCTAATTTTCTTGGCGCGAGATAACGAACCTCGGGTATTTACCCCAGACAAAGATGCGGCTGCACTACTCTCTTTCAGTCTGGTCATGCACATTAACGTATTATAACTCTGAGAATTTCTTCGTAAAACACTTATTAACAGTGTTTGTCAGATTTATTAAGACTGCTCTCTTTTTTTGTGTAATATCCTCTAACATCACACCAGATGGTACTGTTTCAAGGAACACTGTATGGGTGAAGCAGTTTTTGTAAACTATTATTATTTACATAATAAAATACTTGGCACCATTAACAACATTATTTTGCAGCGTTTTTAATAAAGGTAAATATTCTTACAGTATATATAACGTGACTAAATTTTGTGAAATATATTTTGCACTATATATTATATGTATTCTATACACTGAAAACAGTTTGCAAATATATTTTGATAGTAATGTATGCTGGATAGTAGAGTTATGAGTAATTTTAATTTTCATTTTAATAATCCTATCATTTCAAAATTTTCATAATTGCTATGTTCTTTAAAAAATTGTAAAAGATGATTTTTTTAAAATTACAATGGACCTTATGGACAATTTCCCAGCCACTACTGC
This sequence comes from Homo sapiens, assembly GCF_000001405.40. Taxonomy (NCBI): domain Eukaryota; kingdom Metazoa; phylum Chordata; class Mammalia; order Primates; family Hominidae; genus Homo; species Homo sapiens. Next base: position 119,567,753 of record NC_000006.12, read on the forward strand.
TCCCTTCATCTCTTTACTTCATAGGCCACAAACAAAGGAGTGCACACCCTCTGCAATGTACATACCCTTAGCATTCCATGAACTATTGGTTTTAATGAGGCTGACATGCCAACAACACTTCTTATTTTCTTCTTCTTTAATAACGCTAAAGTAGTTAGTAATGCTAGTTAATTGGTCAGCTAAACATTGTATGTGGGAATTTTGAAGAAATTGCAAATCATACCCTCTAGAAAATATACTGGTCATCGAAATATTTTTACATAATTTGCTCTGTAATATTTAGTAATTGCAATCTCAGAATACTAAGCATATTGCACCTCTAATAGGATTTACTTTCTTTCAGCTCAGTTAATTACTTTGTTTTGTAGTTTGTTTAATCCCTGATTAATAAATTTCAAAACGCTAGATAAGCCATTCTAAAATAATGTCTGATTAACTATGCTTGTAAAATATCAGGGTGAGGGACTCCACGCACCTTCAAATCTGTGTTTCACAATGTTCACCCTTTTATTATTGTCTTCTCACATACTATATATTCAATAAGCTATTACTGAACAAAGTGTAATGTCTAAACTAATACTCTACACTATAAAATAGTATTACATATTATGCTATAATGCTGGAATTTTATGCTCCCATAAAATTGTTTTAGGAAATGATTTTTGGGTCCAAGCTTCAGGCCCTTTTTCTTCCAGCACATCTCATTTGAAAAGCAGTTTAGTTGGCATTTATTTTTCTTAAAGATCAAACACCATGAAACATGATAGAATATTGATCACCTCCATTTACTATTTTCAGAATCCATTGTCTCCGTTGTGACAGGGAACTGTTAACACTGCATGGTTTGGTAGCTCACCAAGATTCATAGAAAGATTTTAGCAGAGGCCTCATGCAATGCACAGGATGGCATCCAGGGCACTTACAGGGAACTTCTTGGACTCCTCTCTGAACCCCAGTTCGAGCTCAGATAGAGTATGACTTTTGTCAAAATTTTTATTCATTCCTAAATACAAACAATTTTGATGACTATACAAGTTTCTCAACCTTTATTCTGCATACATGTCTATTGAATTTTACATTCATGGTCCAATTAAAAAATATTTGTAGAGCAAGTAAAACCATTCTAAAACAGTTGAGAGGAAGTAAAAACGACAAATAAAATAATAAAAAAAATCACACAGATCACATATTGGTATAATGTTTATACAAATTTTGTCTGAAACAGGACCTCAAAAGATGGCATAGAACAAGGAAAAATGGTTACTCTCTTTATTAGAAAAATTCTAAAGGATATTTTATCTTTTTCTAGATGCCTACTCAACAAATAACATAAATTTAGACCAGAACATATTTCTACATACACTATTGAAGAAAAATCACGAATGCACATTATGTTACTTGTTTCTTAGAAATTAAAGAGATGTTGAACTTTATTAAAATTAAAACTTTTGTAATTCAAAGGAGTTTATTAACAAGGGGAAAAGAACTTACAAAATTGGAGGAAATATTTGCAAATCATATATCTGATAAGTTACTGGTATGTGGAATATATAAAGAATTTCACAACTCAATTATAAAAGGACAAACAACCCAATTACAAAATGGGCAAAGGATCCGAATGGACATTTCTCCAAAAAGATATACAAATTACCAATAAACACATGGAAAGATGTTCAGTGTTATTAGTCACCAAATAAATGAAAATCAAAACAACATGCACTACAATGGCTGTAATCGAAACGACATAATAACAAGTGATGGCAAGGATGTGAAGAAATTGGAACCTTCATACACCACTGGTGGGAATGTAAAATGGTATAGGCACTTTGGAAAACAGTCTGGCAGCTCTTCAAAAGAAGAAAAAGAGTTGTTATAAGACCCACTAATTCTTCCCTTAGGTATGTACTCAAAGAAATAAAAAAGTCTACAAAGAAAACCTGTACACAATTGTTTATAGCGCCTTATTCATTATGGCCCCAAAATGGAAGCAGCCCAAGTGTCCTTCAACTGATGAATGGATAAATAGAATTAGTATCTCTATACAATGGAATATTATTTAGCCATAAAAGGGAATGAAGTATTGATAAATGCTACACTGTGGATGAACCTTGAAAACATTATGCTAAGTGAAGAAGCCATTCATTAAATACTGGCTTTATATAATCCCATTTATATGAAATGACTAAAATAGACAAATCTATTGAGTTAGAAAGTAGATTAGTGATTGCCTAGGGCTAGGGAGTTCAAGGGAAACAGAGAGTGACTGCTAATCTATATGGAGTTTTTTGGGGGGCATGATGAAATGTTTTAAGACTGATTGTGGTGTGCCTACTTCTGTGAATATACTAAAACCATAGAATTATGCTTTTTTTTTTTTTTTTTTTTGACAGAGTCTCACTCTGTCACCCAGGCTGGAGTGCAGTGGCGCGATCTCAGCTCACTGCAACCTCCACCTCCCAGGTTCAACCGATTCTCTGCCTAAGCCTCCCAGGTAGCTGGGATTACAGGTGCATGCCACCATGCCAGGCTTATTTTTGTATTTTTAGTAGAGACGGGGTTTTACCATGTTGGCCAGGCTGGTCTTGAATTCCTGGCCTCAAGTGATCCATCCACCTTGGATTCCCAAAGTGCTGGGATTATAGGTGTGAGCCATCGTGCCCTGCCAAATTATACACTTTTAGTAAGTAAATTGCATGGTATGTGAACTATATCTCAAGAAAATTATTAAATTGTATCTCTATTAAAAATTGAAGCAAATACTTCTGGTTCTGCTGAAAAGGAGGATTTCTAGTTCCACCAAAAATTGATAGGTCCATTATTCCTCTCTTGTTCTCCTTACAACTAAATGTACTCTAGACATAATTCAAAAAGCATAGAAATACTCTGAAGAGTGGAAATAAGAAGGTGAGCAACTGAGGTACCTCAGGACTTTAGGAATGACATGGCAGTGATATAGCTGGGTTTACTTATTGCCTCCCATACATCACAGACAGAGCATCACGGAAGCCTCCAATCCAGAAATGGCAGGAGACAAAATTGGCTCCAAAAACAGCTTTTCCTTTTAGGTAAGGGATAGAAAAAAGTGGTCTAACAGCAGAAAACCAATTCGGCAATTCCCACCCTACTCCAGCCAAACATCAGTGGAAAAAACATCCTGTGCCTTCTACAGTTTCAACTTTGCCATATTGGGAGTTGATTTTCCACCATCCCTTCCGCCCCTCCACCCTGAAGAAGAAGGCAGCAATTCTGATTCCCCCATGGTGTGGTGTTAGTGGGACCAAGCTGGGAGCTGTTTTTCCATCTTCTGCCCAGCAGAAGCAGTCAGCAGTTATCTGATTCCCCTACTGATGGATTATTGGCAGAATGAAGGGGGGCAGCTGATCTTCTATCCTCCACCAGGCAGAAGCAGGCAGCCCTCTGATTCTCCTGCCGGGGTAGCATTGGTGAGGCTGTGGGAAGTGGATCTTGTATTCTCACCTGGTAGAAGCACATGATGCTAAGATTCACCTTGTCAGGGTAGTGTCAACAGGGTCCAGTGGCATGCTGAACATATACTCCCACTCAGCAGTGACAAGACTTAAGGCAGTGTAAGGCAAGGCTAGTGAGGCAAGGCTAGTTGACAACACTAGGCTTTAAACACCTACTATCCCATGTTAACAGAACCCGGTGGGGAACTGATCCTACATCCATGAGGTGGAAGGAGGTGGAGGCAAGTAAGGTTAGTTGGCACCTTGATTTTCCATCATCTCCTTTGATTCAGTGGAGAGCTGCTTCTGACTCCATAATGTAGGAACAAAGAGGTGTGAGTCAGTCCTCTATTCTAGTGGCAGTGGAACTCAGATTAGAGGTGATCTTACAAATCCACTCAGAGACAACAAGGCAGTGCAAGTCAGCGGTACACTTTTGCTGTCAGGGCCCAGAGGGAAGCTGATCATACACACCTACCCATCCATTATGTTACACCTAAAAAGAGGGACTGCCTGCTGAAAAAAATGATTCAATAGCATCCAGAGTGTCATAACATAATATACAGAAAGTCCAGAGTATTATAGAAAATTGTTATCATACCAAGAACTAGAAAAATAACAACATGAATGAAAGAAAAATCTATAGACACCAACACTGAGATTAATCATATATTAAAATTATCCAGCAAGGATTTTAAGTGGTTCATAATAAAAATATTTAAACAACCAGTTATTAATTTTTGAAACAAATGAAAAGATAGAAAATCTCAGCATAGAAATAGAAATTGTAAGAAAGAACCAAACAGAAATTTTAGAACTGACAAATATAAGAACTAGCGTAAAAGCTCTCTTGATAGCCACAGTAATACAGTGGAGATGAAAAGGACAGAATCAGTAAAATACAGATCAATAGAAATTACTCAATCTAAAAAACAGAAAGAAAACAGAATAACAACTCACTCCCCCAACCCCCCCAAAGCCCCCAGAATTTCGGAAGCTAGTGGGACAATAGCAATAAAGCAAGCATTCATTCTAAGCACATTTCCAGAAGGAGATGAGAGAGTGAACCTGAAAAATTTATTGAAGAAATAAAGGCTGGAAATCCCCCAAATTTGGCAAAAGACATAAACCTATGAAAAAAGAAGCTAAGAAAATACCAAATTAGATAAATCCCAAGAAATCTATGCCAAGCTACATCATATTTGTACTTCTGAAAACTGAAGACAAAAAGAAAAAGAAACTTGAAAACAGCCTGAGACAAGCAACACACTACTTATATGGGAGTATCAATTTGAATGACAGTGGATTTTTCATCTGATACCATGGAGGCCAGAAGTAAGTGGCATAATTTTTTTCAAGTACTAAAAGAAAATAAATATAATCCATGAATCCCATATTCAGGAAAAATATTGTCAGAAATGGAGGAGAAGCAAAGACATTCTCAGTTGAAGGCAACCTAAGAAAATTTGTTGCCAACAAATCTAACTTAAAAAATGACTGAATAAAGTTCTTTAAATAGAAAGAAGATGGTAACAGAGTAAGATTTGAAGGTTTTAAAAGGAAGGAAGAGTATCAGAATGTGTAAAAATAGAGATGAATATAATGCAGTGATCCCCAACCTTTTTGGCACCAGGGACCGGTTTTGTGGAAGACAAATTTTCCATAGACTGGGTTAGTGGGGGATGGTTTCAGGATGAAACTGTTCTGCCTCAGCTCATCAGGCATTTGATTCTCATAAGGAGTGCACAGCCTACATCCCTTGCATGTGCAGTTCACAGTAGACTTCATGCTCCTGTGAGAACCTAATGCTGCCGCTGATCTGACATGAGGCAGAGCTCAGGAGGTAAAGCTTTCTCGCTTGCCACTCACCTCCTGCTGTGAGGCCTGGTTCCTAACAGGTGATGGAACTGGTACTGGTCTGCAGCCTGGGGGTTAGGGACCCCTGATATAATGGACTGTCCTACTTCTCATAAGTTTTTAAAATTATATTTGATAGTTGAAGAAAAAGTTATAACAGCAACTGATCTGGTATTCAATATATGTAAAGGGAACTACTTAGGACAATCATATTTGAAAAATAGAGAGGAAAAAGGACCTAAATAGAAGTTTTCTACACTTCACTTGAAATGGTAAAATGTGAAAATTTATGTATGTGTATTGTAATACCTAGAGCAACTACTGAGAAAGCTCTACAAAGTGATATTCTCAAAAACTATAAATAAATCAGGATGAAATCTTAAAATATATTCAAATAATTCACTGGAAGGTAAGAGAAGAGAAACAGAGGAAACAAACAGAAAACAAATGATATAATGGTAGAATGTAAGCCCTAACATGTTAATAATGACAAATATTGACTGAGGTTGTGTCCCCTGCACATTCATATGTTGAAGCTTTAATGTTATGGTATTTGGAGGTGAAGATGTTGGGAGGTGATGAGGTCATGAATATAGAGCCCTCTGATGGGATTAATGTCCTCATAAGAAAAGGAAGGGAGCTAGTTCTTTCTCTCTCTCTGTCAAGTGAAAATACAAAATAATCGGGAACTTCAAGACTTTACTCAGCAATTGATAGAAATACTACACAGAAACTCAGCAAGGATATAGAATTGTACAATAAAATCAACCAAAAGGATTTATTTAACTTATATAGAATACATCATGCAATAATAGCACAATAAACATTTTCTTCAAATGCTCTTGGAACATTTACTAAGATAGACCATATACTATGCCATAAAACAAAATTTCACATATTTAAAAGAAATGAAATTATACAGTTTGTTCTCTGGTTATAGTAAAAGCAAACTAGAAATCAGTAACAGATAACAGGAAAGTCTCTACACGTGAATAAATTAAACAACAGAATTCTAAATAATCCATGAATCAAAGAGGAAATTGCAAAGTAAATAGAAAAATAGGTAAAATTGAATGAAAGTAAAATAAAATATATCAAAATATGTGGGATGTAACTAAGGCAGTGCTGATGAAAAAATTTATAGTTCTAAATGCTTACATTAGAAAAAAGGAAGGTCTGAAATGAATAATCTAAGTAGATAAATCTGAAAATTAGAAAAAGAAGAGCAAAATAAACCCAAAGCAAACAGAAAGATGAAATAACAAAGAGAAGAAATCAGTGAAATAAAAAACAGGAAAACCATAGAGAAAACCAATGAAGATATTTCTAAATGACAAGAAAGACTCCAATAAAGTCAATAATTTCTAGCAAGACTGACAAAAATCCATATCAGGAATGAATAGGTGATATAATGACATGTCACACAGACACTAAAAGGATAACAAAATATTATGAATAATGTAATACTCATAACTTTGACAACATGGAAGAAATGGATGAAAAAAATCTCAAAAACACAAACTATGAAACTTCAACCAAGATGAAATAAGCAACCTAAATGATACTATCACCATCAAAGAAATTAAATTTGTAACTAAGAACTCCTGAAAAATAATTCACCAAAAATAGTTTCACTGGTGAATTCTATCTGGCTTTTAAAAATTAACACTAATTTGGCCAGGTGTGGTGGCTCACGGCTGTAATCCCAGCACTTTGGGAGGCTGAGGTGAGTGGATCACGAGGTCAGGAGTTAAAGACCAGCCTGGCCAAAATGGTGAAACCCCGTCTCTACTAAAACTACAAAAATTAGCTGGGCGTGGTGGCAAGTGCCTGTAGTCTCAGCTACTCGGGAGACTGAGGCAGGAGAATTGCTTGAACCCAGGTGGCAGAGGTTGCAGTGAGCCAAGATCGTGCCACTGCACTCCAGCTTGGGCGACAGAGTGAGACTCCGTCTCAGACAAAACAAAACAAAACAAAACACTAATTTTTTACACAATTTATTTCAGAAGATGAAATGAAAGAAAAATCTTCTCACTCATTTTATGAGGCTACTATTACCTGAATATTAAAAGCAGATAAAGAAAGTATCAACCCCACCCTTCAAAAAGAAAGAAAAAAACTACAGACACAATATCTTCCATGAACTTAGACACAAAATCTTCAACAAAGTATTAGCAAATTAAATCATGTAATGTATAGGAGTAATGTCATTAAGGTCATCAAATGTTGCAGAGTGGGAAGTCCTAGACTCTCTTTTCCTCCACAAACACATCAATTCAACAACAATTCATGGACAAATTCCCTGTATAGGCAATTCAGAAAGTAATTGAAAGTCTCCTGCACCCTTGTCAAATGTGAAACTATACTCACCAAAGCTGATAGGGAAATTTGGGACACCCTCTTACCGGAATCCTTACCCCAGGCACAACACCATATGATTAGAAAGAGACTGCCAAACCCTCAGCTTTTCCGCGGAGAAAGAATTGGTTCATGCCTCTAGCACATTCAGGAGCTCAGAGTAGCTTGTCTTGCCAGCCACATGGGGGGAGAATAGAGATGGCTGTTTGGCCTTGTAGATTCTACAGTTCCTCCTTTCCCATCAGCACAGAGAGATCAGATGAAAAATCTCAGCTCTCAACTCCCTCCTGGGAGAGAAAGAGTTGATCCTTGTGTCCAGCGTTCTAACTTCTCTGGGGCTGCCCCAGAGAACTGGTATCTGTTTTGTCAGCCTTAGACCTCTAACGGGTGTTGTGCAGTCTAACTGCCTGGGGGAGAACAGAGACAGTGGCTTGGGTTGGTAGATGCCATAGTGCCTTCCCCTGACTCAGCACAGAGTGAGCAGACAAAAACCACAGTTATCTGCCTCTCTCTGTGGAGGAAAATAATTGGTCTCAGTGAATGATGACACAACATTTCCAAGGGCTTCTCAAAGGATTGGCCTCTGACTTGCCTGACTTGAAGTGTTGCAGGGACCTGAAGTAGTCTAGCCATGCAGGGGAAAGTTAGAGGAGAAATGGAGATTTGTGCTGGCAGTCACCATAGACCCACTTCCTGGCTTAGCACATAGCAAGTGGGCAAAAATCCCCAGCATATAGCTTCTCCCTGGGGAGGAAAAGAGTTAGGCATAGCATCCAATGATCCAACTTTTCTGGGGGCTGCCAAAAGAACTAGCTTTAGTCTCACTTGGCCTGGTGCACTGTGAGGACCCAGAATACCCTAGACACCTGGGGTGTTAGGAGAACAATGAAGCGGGTCAGACCAGCATGAAGGATTGAGAGGCTCCCAGAATCTCTGACTGGTGGGGGTCTTGTTCTCTATGAGGCCAATCTGTACAGTTTAGGAGAAAAGGTTGCTTTACCTAATGTACAGACACCAACACAGAGTGTTAAAGAAAATAAAAGTCAGGCAAAGATGTATCCAACAAAGTAACATGATAGAACTCCAGAAACAGACACTAACAAAACAGAGGTATATGATTTGCTTGTCAGAGAATTCAAAATAACAGTCATAAAGGTGCTCATGGAGGTCAAGAGAACAATGCATGACAAAGCAAGCATTTCAACAAAGAGATAGGAAATATAAAAAAGTACTAACAAGAAATCATAGAGCTGAAGAACATATAACTGAACTAAAAAATTCACTATAAGTGTTCAACAGCAGACTATATGAAGCAAGAGAATCAGGGAACTCAAAAAACAGGCCACTGTAAATAATTCAATCAAAGGAGCAAAAAGAAAAAAGCAATGAAAAATTGTGAAGAAAACCTAAGGGAATATGGGACACCATCAAGTGGACCAATATACATATTATAGAAGTATCAGGAGAAGAGATAAAGGACCAGAAAGCTTATCCAAAAAAAATAATGTCTTAAGTTCTACAGATAAGCTTCCAAATCTGGGGAAAATACACAGACATCCAGATCCAAGAATTCTAAAGGACACTAAATAAAATAAATCTATACCAGGACACATAATCAAATTGTTAAAGTCAGACAAAGACAGAATTTTGAAAACAATTTTGTACCTTTATAAAGGTACAAAAGAACCTTTAAAAAACTATCAGTGGGTTTTCCAGCAGAAACCTTGTAGTCTGGAAGTAAGAAGGATGATATATTCAAAGCACAGAAAGAACAAACTGCCAACCAAGAATACTGTATCCTACAAAACTGTCTTAAAAAATAAAGGAGAGTTAAATACTTTCCCAGGCAAAGAAAAGCTGAGGGATTTCATCATTATTAGAACTGCTTTACAAGAAATGCTACAGAGAGTTCTTAAAGTTGAAAGACAAAAACACTAAGTGGTAACACAATATCATAAGCATAAAAATTGTAAAGGTAAACAATTGTAAGTATTAGACAAATACAGGACACTGTATTACTGTAATGGTGTTGAGGAAATCACTTTTAATTCTAACATAAAAGTTAAAAGACAAAAGTATTAAAATACCTATAACTAAAATTTGTTAAAGATATACAATATAAATAGATGTGAATTATGACAACTATAGCATAAAGTATATGTGTGGAGGGGGACAAGCTAAAGTGTAGTGTTATTGTGTGTGCCATAAATCAAGTCGTTATCAGCTTTAAATGGATTTATGTCTAAGATATTTTATGTAAACCTCAAGGTAACCACATACATACACAAAAACCCATGCACACAGTTACACACACAGAAAACATAAAAGAACCAAAACATACCAATAGAAAAAACTCAACAAAATACAAAGAGAGACAGCAAGAGAGGAAAAGACAAAAGAATTACAAGAAATTGTCAATTAAGAATGCTATATCCCACAAAACTGTCTTAAAAAATAAAAGAGAGTTAAACACTTTCCCAGGCAAAGAAAAGCTGAGGGAGTTCATCACTATTAGACCTCCCTCACAAGAAATCCTACAGAGAGTGCTAACAGAAAACAACAATATGACAATAGTACATTCTTCCATATAAATAATTACTTTTAATAAAAATGAATTAAACTCTATAATAACAAGACATAGAATGGCTGAATGGATGAAAAAACAAGGCCTAACTATGTGCTGTTTATAAGAAACGCACCTTAGATTTAAGGACATACATAGGCTGAAAGTAAAGAGATGGAAAAGGATATTTCATAGAAATGGTAACCAAAAGAGAGCAGGGGTGGCTATATTGACATCAGATGAAATGGACTTTAAGACAAAAACTGCCACAAGAGATTAAAAAATGACATTATATAATGATAAAAGGGCCAATCTGCCAGGAAGATATAACAATTATATATGCACCCAATATCAGAACATCTAAATATATAAAGCAGACATTGACAGCACTCAATGGAAAATAGACATCAATATAATAATAGTAGACTTCAATAACCTACCTTCCGTAATTGATAGAACATTCAGACAGAAGATCAATAAGGAAACAGTGTAACTGAACACTATAAAACAAATAGACCTAACAGATTATACAGAACATTCTACCCAAAAGCTGAAGAATACACATTCTTCTCGAATGCACAGAGAACTTTTCCCAGGATAAATCACACATTAGGTCACAAAACAAAGCATAACAAATTTAAGAAGACTGAGATCAGATCAAGTATCTTTTCTGACCACAATAGAATGTAATAAGAAATCAATAGCAGAAAGAAAATTGGAAAATTCACAAATATGTGAAAATTAAACAACACACTCTTGTACAATCATTGGGTCAAAGAAGAAATAAAAAAAGAGTTTAGAAAATACCATAAGACAAATGAAAACAAAAACACAAAATACTAAAACTTAAGGAATACAACAAAGGCAGCACTAAGAGGAAAATTTATAGTGATAAAAGCCTGCATTAAACAGGAAGGAAGATCTCAAACAACCAACCTAACTTTATGCCTCAAGAAGGTACAAACAGAAAAATAAACTAAGCCCAAAGTTAGCAGAAGGAAAAAAATAACAAAAATTACAGCAGATATTAATAAAATAGAAAATAGAGAATAATAGAAAAACAACAAATAAGTGTTGATTTTTCAAAAAATTAAACAAAACTGACAAACTTTTATTAATAGCTAGAATAACTGAAAAAGGTAAAAGACTCACATAAATAAAAAATAAAAAATGAAAGAAAAAACATTACAATTGATGCCACAAAAATAAAAAAGACCATAGAGAAAATTAAGAAAAATTGCATACTAACAAATTGGATAAATTGGAAAAAATGGATACATTTGAAAAAACATACAACCTGCCAAAACTGAATCATGAATACATAGAAAGTGTGACCAACCTGTAACTAATATGGAGATTGAATCAGTAATTAAAAACCTCCCAACAAAGAAAATCTTCAGACCAGGTAGCTTTAATGGTAAATTCTACCAAATGTTTAAAGAATTAATTCTCAAACTCTTCTAAAATTCAAGTAAAGGGAATCTCATTTTATGAAGCCAGTGTTATCCAGATACCAAAGTAAGACAAAGATACCACAAGAAAAGAAGCAATAAGCCATATTCTTGATGAGTATAGATACAAAAATTCTCAACAAAATACTAGCAAATAAAATCTAACAGCACATTAAAAGGCTCATACACCAGGACCAAGTGGAATTTACCCCTGGGATGCAAGGATTGTTCAACATGTAAAAATCAATTAATATAATATACCATGTTAATAGAATGTTGTATAAAAAATCACATGACTGTCTTAGATGCAGAAAAAAACACTCCACAAAGTTCAACATCCTTTCAGGATGAAAAACTCTAAACAAACTAGGAATCAAAGGGAAGTTTCTAGACATTACAAGGCTATGTAAGAAAAAGTCAAAGATAACATCATACTCAGTTGTGACAAACTGAAAGCTTTTCCCCCCAAGATAAATAACAAGACAAATATGGCCAATCTCACTCCTTCTATTCAACATGGTACTGGAAGTCTTAGCCAGAGAAAATAGGCAAGAAAAAGAAAGAAAGGGCATCCAAATTGGAGAGGAAAAAGTAAAATTGTCCCTGTCTTGTTTGCAGATGACATAATGTTATATGTAGAAAACTTTAAAGCTTCCACCAAAAGAACTGTTAGAACTAATAAATTTAGTAAATTGCAGGATACAAAGTCACTCACCATCAAAAATCAGTTGTGTTTCTGTACACTAAGGATGAGTGATCGGAAAAGAAAATTAGAATAAGACTTTCATTTACAATAGCACCAAAAATAATAAATTACATAGTAATAAACTAAACTAAGTAGGCAGAAGACTTTTGTACTGAAAACTACAAAACATTGGTGAAAAAATTAAAGAAGACACAAAGAGAAAGGCATCTTGTATTCATAGATTGGAAGACTTGGTGTGGTTAAAACGTTCACACTACTAAAAGTGATCTACAGATGCAATGCAATCCCTATCAAAATCCCAAAGGCATTTTATACAGAAATAGAGACAAAGTTCTGAAATTCATATGGAATTACAAAAGATTACAAAAAGCCAAATTACTCTGTAGAAAGAAGGACAAAACTGGAGGCATCACATTTCTTGGTTTCAAACTATATTATGAAGCTCCAATAATCAAAACAGGATAATATGGGCATAAGACAGACTTCTGGACCAAAGGAACAGAATAGAGAGCGTAGAAATACATAAATGCATATAAGACCAAGTGATCTTTGACAAGGATGTCAAGAATACATTATGAGGGTCAGGCATGGTGGCTCATGCCTAGAATTCCAGCACTTTGGGAGACTGAGGTGAGAGGACTGCTTGAGCCCAGGAGTTTGAGACCAACCTGGGAAACATAGTGAAACCTTTCTACAAAAAAATAAAAATAATTAGCCAGGTGTGGTTGAATGTGTCTGTGGTCCCAGCTACTGGGGAAGCTGAGGTGGGATGATCACTTGAGCCCAGGAGGTTGAGGCTTCAGTGAGCTGAGTTCATGACACTGCACTCCAGCCTAAGCAACAGAGCGAGACCCTGCCTCAAAATAACTAACTAAATAAAATAAAATAAAAAAAAATAAAAACAAACAATAAAAAAACACAACAAGGAAAAGAGAGTCTATTCAAAAAACGGTTTTGGGAAAACTGAATATCCACTTGCAAAAGAATGAAATTAGACCTTTATTTTACACCATAAACAAAAATCAACTCAAACTAAAGACTTAAAAGTAAGGTCTGAAATTGTAAAAGACATAGAACAAAACAGGGGAAAAGCTTTATGCATTGGTCTTGGCACTGATTTCATGAATATGACATCAAAAGCATAGGCAACAAAAGTAAAAATTGACGAGTGGGATTACATCAAACTAAAAAACCTTTTGCAGAACAAAGGAAATAATCAACAGAATGAAATAGTAATGTATGGAATGGGAGAAAATATTTGCTGACTATACCCGATTAACAAGTAATATCCAAAATATATGAGAAACTCCTAGAACTCGACAGCCAAAAAAAAACCCCTGGTAACTTGATTTAAAAATGGGCTAAGGACTTAAAAAGACATTTCTCCAAAGAAGACATGCAAACAGTCAGCAGGTATATGAAAAAAAATACTGTCACTAATTATCAGTGAAGGCAAATCAAAACCACAATGAGATATTACCTCATACCTCTCAAGACGTATATCATCAAAAAGAAAAAGATAAGTGTTAACAAAGGTGTGAAAATTGAAACTCTTTTACGTTTGGGAATGCAAAATGGTGCAGCCAATATGAAAAACAGTAGTGATTCCTAAAATATTAGAAATAGAACTACTATATAATCCAGTGATTCCACTTCTGGGCAAAAACCACTTGTACCCCCAAGGCTATTGAAATAAAAATTTGAAATATAAAAATAAAAGAGTTGAAATCAAGATCTTGAAGAGACAGTAGCATACTTCCATGCTTATGGCAGCATTATTCACAACTGCCAAGATGTGGAAACGACCTACGTGTTCATGAATGGATTAATGGATAAAGAAAATGTGGTATCTGTACATATAATAAAGTATTATTCAATCTTTAGAAAGAATAGAAATTCTGCAATATGACACTATATGAATAAATTTTGAGGTTACTATGCTAAGTGAAATAAGCCAGTCACAGAAAGACAAATAATGCATGATTCCTCTTATATGTGAGTAGAGTGGTAGTTGTCAGGGTCTGGGCAGTTACTAATCAAGGAGCATAAAATTTCAGTTAATCAAGATGAATAAGTTCTAGAGCTCTTCTATACAACATTATACCTATAGTCAATAATACTGCATTGCACACTTAAAAATTGAAGAGGGTTGATTTCATGTTAAATGCTCTTTCCACAATAAACTGAAATTAATAAGGTAAAACCAAAATGACAAAAAATAAAAAACTCCAATCTAATAATGGATAAAACTGACTATGTATTATGAACAAGTGGGATGTATTCCAGCAGTACAAGGCTAGGTGAATATTTGAAAATCAATCAGTATAATCTACCCTATCAATAAGCTAAAAAAAGAAAAATCACATGAATACATTAGTTAATGCAGAAAATGTACTTGACAATATTTGATAAGCCCTCATATTAAAAACTTTCAGCATACAAGGAATGGATGGGGAACTTCCTTGTATTCATAAATGGTTTCTACAAAACACTTATAACTAACATCATACTTAATGATGAATAATGGAATGATTTCCTTCTAAGATCAAGATGAAAGCAAGGAAGCCCACCTTCACTTCAATAAAAGCCCACCTTCACCTCAATATGACAAGAAGAAGAAATGAAAGGCATACAGATTGGAAATGAACAAATAAATTAGTTTATATTTGTAAATGATATGATTATGTATGTAGCGATGGAATCAACATAAAATCTCCTGTTAGTAAGTTTGTTCAGTAAGTTCACTGGATACAAGAGATCAACTATATTTATACATACTAATAATGGTCACGTGAAACCAAAATTAAAAATATAATACCATTTATAATCACCCAAGAGAATATGACATATTAGGTATAAACTTAACAAAGCATGTATAATATCTGTATACTGAAAATTACAAAATGCTGATGAAAGAATAAAAGGACACCTAAATAAAGGTAGAGATTATATATATCATGTTCATGGATTGGAAGACTTCACGTAGTAAAGATGTTAATTTTTCCCAAATTTATCATAGGATTAATGAGATTCCTATCAAAATCCAAGCAAGTCTTTCTGTAGATACAGATAAGATTTTTCCAAAAGTTACGTGGAAAAGTACAGTCCCTAGTATAGCTAAATCAATCTTGAAATAGAAGAATAAATGGGAGAAATTATTCTACCCAATATTAAGGCCTACTATATAGCTACTGCAATCAAGACCACATGGTTTTTGTGAAGGGATAGACATCATTGGAAAATATGGGAAAAAATAGAGAATCCAGAACTGGATCTACACAAATACACCCAGCTGATTTTTTGATAAAGGTACAAAGCAATTAAACGGAGAAAAGATTTTTCAACAAATGGTGCCGCAGTAAGTGGACACCCACAAAAATAAACACAAAAGAAAACAAAATAAATAACAAACCCTTAACATGAACCTCACACTTTCATGGATTTTTTTTTTTCAATTTTTGTATCAAGATTGGCCTAGTCTCGCAAAATGATTTGATTTCTTCCCTTCCCTTTCCTTCTCTTTTTAGAAATTATGTAAGGCTCTTGTTGTTTCTTCCTTAAAAATTTAATATAGTTCATCAAGAATGGTGGAAGCTTGGTTTTAGGCATTGTTAGATAGGTCTTTATTTGATTTGCTCTTGATTCTTAAGACATGCTTCATTTTTGTTTCAATGGAAAGTCACTCTAACTTGGCAAAATATGAACTCTAAAGTGTATCTCTCTCTTTCGTGGGAAGCTGCAGAAATTTCTGCTCAGCTTTTTAAAACTCTCAGCTGTTGATAACCTCCCTGGGCTCTTTGGAGTCTTGTCTCACCATGTGTTCTGGAGTCAACCAAGTATTTGAGAGAAGTTTCTACACGGTTTTTGGTATTCACTGCCATGGGTCCCTCAATTTCCAGTCTCTATCTTCCCCTAAATGTGTCTTCTGACTTCCCAGGGCAGCTTTATTTTTTTATTTATATTTCTGTCTTGGGCTGGGAAATGCCCCTAGGAAAAGCTGAACAAATATTATCTTACCTAACCTGTCCCTTTCTCTCAAGAATTGAATCCCTTCCAGTCTTAATCTGCTGTTGGCTGCTGCCTTTAATTACAGCAGATTAATCTACTGTAATCTGCTGATGTGCTGCCTTTACACAGTTGTACTTTGTCCTTCTTTTATAGCTTATGATTTTCTGGGCAAGAGGATCACTCTGATAACAAGCTGTTCCACCATTACCCTTAGTGAGGACATAGTAAACTTCATTTATGGTTAAAATTACACTAGAGAATTTACTGATTTTTATCTTATTATTATTGTAAACATTATTATCAACAATTTCACTTCCATTTCTTCATTTTAATTTTGTCTTTAGAAAATGGAATTGTTGTGCTTTTATTAATAGAAGTGTTTTGGCATCATTCTTACATGGTTGCAAACTGGATGCAGATTTATTAGAGGTATTTTATCCATTCATTTTTTTCCTTACTAAAAGTTAATCCATGGGTAAGATAAAAAAAGAAACCACCAAAAATAAGAATCCCAGAACTCACAAGCATTTAATTCCTATGTCTATTAATTCACACCAGTAACTTGATGACTGTTAAATACTATTAACAGTACTTATAAATATTGCCCACCATGATCAAGAAGCTGGACATGAAGATGTCAGCATGACAGATGATATGGGCTTTCATTTTTTTTTTTTTTGCCTTCTCACTTTGGCTTCATAATCCCATTGCTAGTCATGATTAGGGCCTTTTTGTCTTCAAGCTTCAATGAGCTGTGTTCATAAAGAAGCAGAACAATGGCAGAAGAATGAGGGGATAAATGAAGAGGCCATGGAGGAGGGAGTCTATTCTTGAACAATTATGAACTGTTCATGGGGAATGGTTGGATATATATATCAGTACTCTTGACTTTTGGCAACACATTTACTGAGAAAATAGCTCCTATTACTCTACAATGAGAGTGTCCAACATATTAACTGCTCACAGCTCCACTTCATGTTCTTTTCAAATTAATCTCCTCAAAGTCTTTCTTCAAGAATCCATTAGCAGGTCAGAAGGCCTAACATCAGTTTCATTCTCTATTATTCTTTTTCCTCCCATGGCTTTTTTTCCTCCCTTGCTTTGATTCTGTTTTTCTTCCTCCTTTTAGAGACTGTAAAATATCTCCAGGATATAATTTTTTCCTTGAAGTTAGAATCCAGAGTATTAGTAATTAGGTGCTTATGGTACTTAGTAATGACATTATTATCATTTAGTAAAATGGTTGTTTGTAAGGTAAAAAGAACATTGTTAATAACTAACATATAGATTTTTCTAAGTAATCTGGGGCATTGCTAGTATAAATCTAAATATAAATATTTTAGGTGGAGGAAAATATTTGCAGGAAATTCAAATTTTCAAACCACCACTCTTTCATCAGGCTTGTAATTTTCAGTAGGTGTGTTGAAAAGTTAATGTATGTAAGACTGGCCATTATAACTTATTCAGTTTAATACTAATGAGCAGTGTTTTTATTTACTTGAAAAACGGAACAGTATTTAAGTGTTCTTAAGGAGAAACGCTGCATTTCATTGTTTGTAAAACTTATAAGGCAGATCCTTTATTAATCTCCTTACAAAGTTTCCTATCTAATATTTCTCATCTTTTAATAAATATAAATAGGACTTTGAAAACTTTGTTAGGATAAAAGAAAGCTAGATAGTCACATGGACCTGGCCAAAAGTTTTAAACCATGAATTTTGGCCTAAAGAGAGAGTATAAGTGGAAGACAAAACTCTAACCCAAACCTAGAATTATAGACTCAATAATAGACATGAATATCTATATATCCAAATAAAAAGAGTACCACCAAAGAGTCTATAGGATAGATCCTTCACCTGTTTCTCTGTATCTTATCCTCTAGCTGCCTGGCAATGAAATAAACTTAAGTTAGATTTGGACTAAAAGACAAAATGCTTCCTCAGATAATTTTATTTGTATCTGAATATATTTGATTTCTTATCATTGCTTTATCTATTGTGAATTACTATTATACTTTTTTATATTGATGTGTACATATAAAATTGTGGTATGTATCATTTTTAGAGTACTATAAATAACATAAGGACCAAGATGTTGGAATGATGTAGCTGCAGCAGTGCTAAACCCATTAATTTACAATTTGATCCATTTACCTAAGTGGTTGCCTTCCTGCCTCAAAAGTCCTTGTGGATTTCTTTCAAAGCAGTACATTTGTGTGAAGAGGGCTACCCTTTCAGAGATTTTCTTTCATGAATGGTATGTGGGTAATTGCACTCTATTGCTACACTCTCAAAGACAGCACAAAATGTTTGGTTTTCTAGCTACTAAATTTGAAGTGGTTTTTTTTTAGATACATAGGTGAAACTTCTAGTTTTATGTAACAGTTAAAATTTGAAATTGTAATGAGGTGAAGAATTCTCCAGAAAGTCCTCACAAGAATGTCTCATGAGATAGGAGTGATACTAAGGGGAAGTGAGAAGGGATGATGTATCGGAAGAGCACAAAGTAAAGGGCACATCTAGCGGCCCTGCAGCAGCTGGCAGGTGGAGAGTGGGTGGGAGCTGAAATCATCTTGGTCTCTTCCTGTTCTGGAAGTGATGCGCAGTGAATTAGGGAAAATGAGGAAGTGAGATGGAGAGGTAAAACACAGAAGGGCAGAGTGCTGGAAAATCTTGGTAATAACATTAAAAATTTTTCTGGATTGGTGGATGAGGCAATAGAGAATAATTGCAGTGCAAGAGAATGGAAGAGAAAAAAATGATTTTTATAACATTGCTGTGGGTTGTAAATTAAGTCTCAAATTTTATTTGATATGCAAGGAAAGACTGTGATTATTTCAAAATTACTTTTCGTTGCTGTGCTGTGCTGCTTTGAATGTGACTTTGAGTTAAGCCTGAGCCACGTGGGGTCCTAGATTTATTTTATTCACAAAATTCCTGGTTTCTAAGTGTGAAAAAGATACATTAAAAGCTGACTTATCTTTTAGAATAAGAGGTTCAAAACTGAGAATAGAAAGAACAACAGACTCCTTGAGTTCTAGCTCTGAGTCTTCCACCACATGCCTGTAGGACTTACTTTGGGGAGTTTTAAACAGTTCTGGACCACGTTTTCTTAATTTGTAAAAGAAAAGATCACATGAGGTAATTGAAAGGTTAACTCTCAGCTCTGAAAGCTTGTGCTCCTTAAGTTAAAAATGTCAGCATGAGCAAATGCAATTATTGTATTGTTAATGGCTGTTAGCATGCTTATAAAACAATAATTTCAATAATAAAACATTATCCCTCAATGAGTCCTTTTTTCTAATCAGAAATTATCTATGTATTATTTAAGTATGTCTCATTTAATTTTGACAATAGTCTTACAAGGTGGAGGTTGTTATCCTCATTTTATAGTTGAGGAATGGAGACTTAGGAAATTTAAATTAGCTGAGACCAGAAGGTTTTAGCTAATTGGTACAAGAAGTGAGATTTGAAACAGGTCTGCCTGAGTCAGAGGTCAGGCTGACCAGCATCATGGGAATTTCCCAGCAATTCCCAGAACAGGGTTTCTCATGGAACTGTTACTGAGTCACCTGGAGCCCCATTGTGGCATCCAGGTTAACCTTCTCTAGCACTGTAGCATTCGCTGAGTCAAGACCGGCTGCTGTTTCCTTCCTCCTCGAAAAAATCACTATCCATATTCAAGGTGTGCCTACAGCTTCCAGTGTTCTGTGCAAGGTTAGCACCCAGCAACTCCTGGGTTCTATGTACAGAGGTGCAGAAGGGCATTCTTAAAAATGTCAGACTTTTTTTTTTTAAACTTCAGGGTTAAAGCATTTTGCTTGTGTCCATTACTACTCTTGAAAGATATTATTAGGGTTTCCCTATTATGATTTGCCCAGAATCACAGTACGTATCAGGAAAAACAGTTCTGAGGGTCTGAGGGTGTGAAATATATACATATATATATGTAGGTATATATTTTATATATGTATGTATATATATGCATGTACGTGTGTGTGTTTGTGTATATATATATACACACACATATGTGTATATATGTGTGTGTGTGTATGTGTATATATATATAAACAGAATCCTGCCCTGTCACCAGGCTGGCGTGCAGTGACGTGATCTCGGCTCACTGCAACCTCTGCGTCCTGAGTGGCTGGGATTACAGGTGTGCGTCACCATGTGCAGCTAATTTTTGTGTTTTTAGTAGAGAGAGGGTTTTGCCATCTTTACCAGGCTGGGCTTTAACTGCTGACTTCAAGTGATCTGCCTGCCTTGGCCTCCCAAACTGCTGGGACCACAGGCATGAGGAACCGCACCTGGCCATTTTTTTTGTTTTTTTTTTTTTTTGCCAAATACGATTTAAAACCAGTCCACAGGCCAGACAGGTTGTAAATAAACTATGATGGTCATCCTTCTCTCATCTGCCCCTTCTACCCTAAGGCAAACACATTCCTCCATTCTCTAGTTACAAAACCCAAGCTCCCATGCATTTCTAGGTCCTTCCCTGATGGGAAAGGGAGAATGGTGTGTGAAGCTGTCTGCATTTATTTTAGCCAGCCAAAATGCCACCTTCCACCCAAATCAAATTTATGGAGGAAATATCTCAGCTGAGTCCTGGACACAAAGAGTTTGTTGTTTTGACATCTAAATCAGGCCATGAAAGTTTAGGGAATACATCACGGTCTTCTCCCACATAAATTTTTATGCATAATTATGATCTTTCCACATAGGATTAATTGCTTTCTCTTCTGTAGTCTTATACTATATTTATTTATAACTCTATTATAATATGGATCCTACTTTTTTCTTGCATGACCATGATTTATGTATTTGCCTTATCTCTCCTTCTGGACTGTAAATTTCTTAAGGCCAGGTACCATATTTATAAACCTAAACTGAATATTTAAATCTTTAGAAAGATAGCTTAAATATTTATGATATGCTTCTATCATATATCTGTGAAACATCTAAAGTTAAGTTTTAAAGTTCAGAATAATGACTTTAACTTAGAATTCAAGGTTGGCTAAGATACTTTGAATTATTTCTTTATAGTAAACAGAATTTTAGGAAAGAAGATTATTAAGATATATAACATGTTCTTACCACTCAGCCAGGTCAGATCCTAACAGCAGGAGCAATTCTGTGAAATAGAAAAGAAAGGCATATTTCTTTTTCTACTGACAGATAATCTCACTCCACAAAGCCAGGATACTTTCTTATTCTGGTGCACAGAATGGTGTACCTACAGCCATTCTAGGCTTATGAAAGATGCAGTTATCATTTCTGTCTCAAATTCAGTCCCTAAAAGGATAAAGACATACAGGATAAATAACATACTTCAAGCAAAGTGAGACCATCACTTTATTAGAATATATATGTTGTTTAAAATTTTAAACTTTATTTACTTTGACTCAATCAGAGATGATTAGTCTTATTGTCATTCCAAAGCACTTTGGAGTTATTTATCCTGTTATTTGTTGTTTGGAATATGTCCTTTTCCTCTCGCTCCAGAAAAGATCAATGTATGAAGTTTTAGAAGTTTTGGCTGATAAATTCTGAAAGGTCAATAAAGTGACACTTACATTAGAGATCCTGACAATTAAGTTGTATCAGGAGTTCTCTCTCTCTCTCATCAATCATCTGTCTATCCATCCATCCATCCATCCATCCATCCATCAATCCATCTACCTACGTATCTATCCATCCTTCAATTTTTGTGCATTCTTAGTCCAAGAAGCTGCCTTAGATAACCAAATAATCCTCAAATTTTGCAAGCATAGTCTTCCTCCTTTCCTTCCTTGTTCCTCCTTCCTCGCCTCTCTTCCTTCTTTCATTCAATTTTTCTGTCCTTGAGTTCCTACTTTTGGCCAGGTACTGTATACAAAGGAAATAAAAACCTTAATAATATCAAGTTTGGAGGACTTTACAGCATAGCCATGATGCAAACTGGAAAACAAGCCATTTTACAAAACAATAAGATAAGCAGCTCTCATGGTTATCTTCAAGGTAAAATGAGAACAGAGGAAAAAAAGCAGGCACGAAAAAGAGATAACATTTGAGTTGAAATTTGAAAGATGAGTGAGTAGGAGTTTTTATACAGACATTTCAGGCAGAGTGAATTATATATGCCAAGATATAGAGGAGGGGTGTGAGTCAACAGGGCATGTTCGAAGTATTAGAGACATTCAGTATTGCCTATGAGGCAAATTGTGTAGGAGGCATGGGGGATGGGATGTGGAGATGGTGACCTTGGATGTCATGCTAAGCAGTTTGTTCTTTATCCCAAAGGCTCAGGGAGCCCTTGGAAGATTTTAAGCAGGGAATGATAAACTCAGATTAGCATTTTAGATGGATGGCAGGGCAAGACTGGAGGAAAGGTACAGGAAAGTAAAGTTGGCCTTTCTCCTTATATCCTTATACATCATTATATTATCTCACTCCAGGTAAGACATGTTTGAGGGACTGAATAAGGGCAGTGGTAATGAGATGGAAAGCAGGGAAAGTTAAAGAGTTGCTTAGGAAATAAAGTTAACCTAAGTCAGTGATTGGATAAGGGGGAAAGCAAGAGAGACTGTATAGTTCTTTTTAGCCCTTACTGCATTCTGTATATTTCTCATTTGAATTGTTTTATTAAACATTGAACTTTGGCATTTCATATGCTCTCAAATAATCTATTGACCAGAATAACCTATGTGCATTAGTTGAAAAAGTTTTATTTTGAGCTCTACCATCAAATCATACATGGACTTCCACTAAATTTCCAATAGTTTAGATTTGGAGTGAGAGATTTTCTTTCAGAGGTCTCTGGAGTACCTCATAGGTCTGTATTCCTGGTAGACTGCGCTGAGATGACTTGCTTTTTACAAGTTTTGCCCATCAGGTGGGTGGTCTCCAGCTAGCACTCTTAAACCTTTTGAGGTAGTCTTATTTATAAGCATGTAAACTCTTTTAAAAATATCTGATTTGTCAGAGCAAACACTCCAGGAAGCCTCTGAGTTCTTGTGGTCTTTTCAGCATACCATAAAGATGTATGTTACCTCTGGCAAGATTAGAAAACATATTGGTTAATTGTCAGATATTCCGATTTGAAACAATTAGATCTATGAGATTCCTGTAATTATTAACACAAAACTTTTTGGCAGTTTTAAAATAATTTTTTTTTGAGAAAATGCTGTAGTTGGCGTGATTCCTGTTTTTAACTTGTGTTTAACATTCTCCTTTTGTTCCATCCTGAATAGTTGGAGGAGTGCATGATTGAGCCTGTCAATTTGAAATATGGTTTTTAGATTTCAGGATATGGTAGAGATATTTTTTCCTCTTTTCTTCACATGACTGCAAGAGTTAAGTAGCTATTTTGGATGATATTTTTGTTCCCATTTTGTGAGACATTCCACTCAGAATATTCAACTCTTACTCATTCCAATAATAATAATAATAACAATAATAATGCTAGCTAAAGTTTATTGAAATATAGGTATATTTTGGTGCTACATAAATTTATGTTTTATATGATTTATCTCATATAAGCTTCACAATAAGACTATGAGTTAATGTTATTATAGTCATTTACAGATGAAGAAACTGAGGCATAGAAAGTTTGAGAAATTTCTTTAATGCTAAATAGCTAATACAAACAGAGCTGGGATTTGAAACCAGTCTGTCCGACTCTAGGATCTTAATCACTTTACTGTATCAGACTCTCTATATTTTTTCTTAAATGTGGGTATATATATACATAATCTTAGAAATAAACATATTCAAGACTGGCCATCAGATAACTTCATCTTGCACTTTGTTTCTCGTGTTTCTAGCTAGGTGTGTAATTTTATAGCATCATTGATTTGCTTAAGGTAAAATTCTATTGGTTGAAAACAGTAACAAATGAATATACATGTGACAAACAGGTAGGGTTTTCCTTAGATAAATAGATTAAAGTTTTAACTTTTACAGGGTTTGGGCAGAAGAGTTCTAAAATGTGCATTCAACTTAGTGAGAACCTTTTAACAGTGACAAGTCTGATGTTTTCAACCTATAACCACAGCTCTGTTGAAAACCTCAGGCACTTTTTCACTTCAATTGGTAGTGCATAAAATTGTTTTAAAAGTAGGTGTCTTCTGACTGGGGGAATTGCAAATATCCATTTTTATTCAAAAACTTGAATTGTAGGTTATATCTTACACATGTGAGAAATATGGCTTAATTCAAAAAATTTCCTGAAGTATTCAAACTCAGAAAGTAGAGAATATCACTAAAATTCAGGGACATTAGGGATGGAAACTAGTTGGAAGGAAAATTGTGAAGTAGGCAGCTTGCTCTCTTGGTTGTCAGCTTTCCCAGTGCGCACTCTCTCCTTTTTGTCTGGGACAGCAAGTGTCTTTGGGCCTCACATCCACTAAGATTGTCTTCCTGATTCTTTGTAGATCTGGCTTCCAAATGATTGAAAATAAGGGTATTGAAAGGGTAAGATACCCTTCCAATGATATTTTTGTTTTAAAGAAATAGAGATTTTACCTAAAAGGATGAATATATAACAAATTTTAGGCAGGAACCAGGAAATAAAGGTAGTTATTTATGCTCATGGGGCCTTCTGGTCCTTCTAAAAAGCACAGCAATATTTGTCTATATGTGGAGCTGGCCCCGTCTCTTTAGCTAATTCTTCACTAGTCAAATTAGTCAACCACATTCAAATGTCCAGTGTATACAAAGGAGATCATAGCAATGGTTCATGTCCTTTAATTTCAAACTAATGTGAGATAAAGGAACTAAAGATAATAAAAATTACAATTAACACTTGTTTAATGTGTCACAGTTTGCAGAAAACACTTTTTATATGCATCATCTGATTTCATTATTTCCACTTTATAGACAATGACACTAAGCTTTAGAAAGAATCTGAGCCAGTCTCAAGTCATCTGCAAACTGAGAGCTTGAACCATTGTCACAGCCTCTTACGGTTCTTGGGACACGGTAGCTAAGTAAATATTGATTTTCTTTCTTATTTCTCACTTGCTTTCTGCCTTCTTGCCCCCATTCATTGTTCCCTTCCTTTCTTCTTTGAACCGTCAACTCATCAATTCTCCCTCCCTATGATTTATATGAAATAAAAACCATATAAATGTGTAATATCGGTAGTATCACATAAATTTTTAATAATAATTTGTCAATAAAACTGTGTGTGAAAAAATAAGTGTGTGTGTGTACATATATATACATAGATATATATACATACATACATATATGTATATATGTATGTATACATACATATATACATATATGTATGTATGTATATATACGTATATACATATGTACATATATGTATGTATATATGTGTATATATACACATATACATAGTTATATATATGTGTATATATACACATATATACATAGTTATATATATGTGTATATATACTATATATGTATATACACACACATATATATATAATCCTTAGCAAATATAAGTTTGTGATGAAAATTAATGAGGGAATGTATGGTGAATGAATGAGTACATCAACCAATTAGAGCAGTGGAGAAATCTAGGCAAATTGAGAGCTTGTCAGCTCAAGAGAAGTAATAGTGTGGGCATCTGGAAGACTTTCTGGCCTCCTCCCGTCTCTTAATGCATGCCTAGTCACTGTCTAGTGAAGATCTCATTTACTTTGTCCCTTAATGAGCCATTTACTCAAAGACAGCTTTCACAAAGCCTCTAATTTAGAACTGAGTTTCTTATATGTTTTAGTTGTGGGAAGTCATAAAATTAGGGCAACATCTGTATAATCAGAAAATTGTCATTTTTGATCTTGCTCCTTCCCTCTGCCATATGC
The DNA here is from genome assembly GCF_000001405.40 of Homo sapiens. NCBI lineage: Eukaryota > Metazoa > Chordata > Mammalia > Primates > Hominidae > Homo > Homo sapiens. Next base: position 119,593,977 of record NC_000006.12, read on the forward strand.
TTCATTGTGTTGTGGAGTCTGGAAGGCAGAGGCTGATGCTGTACATGTGTTGGATGGTAGGATGGTCTCATAGCTCATGGCCTGGTAAAAGTGACCTTGTAGGTTGGTCCTTCAGCATCATCATGTTGTCTCCATGTGAGGCACGGGGAGGGAGGAAGTGATGATAGGGGGGACTGGAAGGCCCAACGCTATGGCTGGGAGTTGGACAGGAGACAGGTGAGAGTGTTGTATAGAGCAGAAAGCACAAAGAGGTGTGTCAAAGTTAGGCAGGCAGGACAATCAGACGTGTCACATGAAAGCCAAGAGGACACAGCAACAGAGACAGATAAAAGTTAGAACACCTGGGTTCAAGGCTCAGCCCCCACAGCTCGTTTCCCATATGGACTCAAGCAAGTCCTTTTGTGTGTAATAAACCTCAATTTCCTTGAAAAGAAATACAAAAGGATATCGGTATCTTTGCTTCTTATCATGAAGATGGTCTCAAAATCAGAAGAAATAATGCAATCCACACTTGTTTACCAAGACCACTTGAAATATAAAATGGGATAGATCCCAAAGGAAAACGAGGGCGTCTTACCAGTAGAATTGGGAAAAGATACTGTGCAAGCAAAAACAAAAGGTGTTCACTAGTGGAGAGGACAGTAGGGATCTCTTTGTTAGATTTTCCTTATTAATAAAATAATAATGAAAGCAGTGGGTTAGCAAGTGTTCAAAAACTGGTTCCCCTCCTCCCTAAATACATACACTCACATACAATTATATAATTATATATTTATAATATAAAGGATATGTAGCCCCAAATTTACAAATAATAATACAAAATATAATACTCTTTATTGGAAATCTCAAGTGGCCAAGTGATTCCCATAAAATGCTTTCATTGATTTTTGTCAAATTTTTTATCCGTAGCCAACTTATGACTGCAATTGATGAATGAATGTAGTTCCAACAGGTATGTTGGTTCACATTTATATTTATGTTAATGATTAAGATGAAAGCAAAACAAAAAGCTTGTATGCTTGAACTTCATTTGTCTTTTAAAGATATGAGTGAGTTCTTTGCCAAATTAGCCTTCAAATAAAGATAACAGCCTTCAAATACAGGTATACCTCAGAGATATTATGGGCTCTGTTCCAGACCACTACAATAAAGTGAGTCACACAAATTTCTGGTTTCCCAGAGAACATAAAAGTTGTGTTTATACTAGTAGCCTATTAAGGATGCATTAGCATTATGTATAATTAACAATGTCTGTACCCTAATTTAAAAATACTTTATTGCTAAAAAATGCTAGTGATTATCTGAGACTTCAGCTAGTCATAATTTTTTTTTGTTTTTTGAGATGGAGTCTCACTTTGTTGCCCAGGCTGGAGTGCAGTGGCGCAATCTCGGCTCACTGCAACCTCTGCCTCCTGGGTTCAAGCGATTCTCCTGCCTCAGCCTCCTGAGTAGCTGGGATTACAGGCGTTTGCCACCACATCTGTCTAATTTTGTATTTGTAGTAGAGACAGTGTTTCACCATGTTGGCAGGCTGGTCTTGAACTCCTGACCTCAAGTGATCCACCCACCTTGGCCTCCCAAAGTGCTGGTATTACAGGTGTGAGCCACCGCACTCAGCCTAGTCATAATCTTTTTTGCTGGGGGAGGGTCTTGCCTTGATGCTGAAGGGCGCTGACTGATCAGGGCGATGGTTGAAGTCATTGTGGCAATTTCTTAAGATAACAATGAAGTTTGCCACATTGACTGACTTTTCCTTTCACAGAATATTTCTCTGTAGTATGCGATGCTGTTCCATAGCATTTCACCCACAGTATAACTTCTTTCAAAATTGGAGTCTATCCTGTCATACCCTGCTACTGCTCTCCATCAACTAAGTTTATGTAATATTCTAAATCCTTTGTTGTCATTTCAATGATATTCATAGCATCTGCACCAGGAGTATATTCCATCTCAAGAAACCACTTTCTTTGCTCATCCACAAGAAGAAACTTATCTGTTCAAGTTTTTTATCATGAGATTGTAGCAATTCAGTCACATATTCAGGCCTCACTCCTAACTCTAGTTCTGTTGTTAATTCACCACATTTGCAATTACTTCCTCCTCTGAAGCCTTCAACTACTCAAAGTCATCCAGGAGGATTAAAATCAACTTCTTTCTGCGTCCTATTAATGTTGATATTTTAACTTCCTTCCATGAATCATGAATGTTCTTAATCTAGAATGATTAATCCTTTCTAGAAGGTTTTCAATTTACTTTACCCAGATCCATTGGAGGAATCACCACCTCTGGCAGCTATAGTATAATGAAATGTATTTTTAAATAATAAAATTTAAAAGTTAAAATGACTCCTTGATCCATTGGCTGCAGAATGGATGTTGTTTTAGCAGGCATGAAAACAATTGTCTTATACATCTGCATCAGAGCTCTTGGGTGACTATGTGCATTGTCAATGAGCAGTAATATTTTGAAAGGAATGTTTTTTCTGAGCAGTAGTTCTCAACAGTGGGCTTAAAAGATTCAGTAAGTTATGCTGTCAACAAATTGTTATCCAGGCTTCGTTGTTCCATTTACAGAACACAAGCAGAGTATAATAGATTTAGCATAATTCTTAAAGACCTACGATTTTCAGAATGGTAAAAGAACATTAGCTTTAACTTAAAGTCACCAGTTGCACTATCCCCTAACAAGAAAGTCAGCCTTTTCTTTGAAGCTTTGAAGCCAGCCATTTTCTCTCTAGCTATGCAAGTCCTAGATAACTTCTTCTTCCAATAGAAGGCTTTGTCTGTGTTGAAAATCTATTGTTGAGTATAGCTACCTTCATCAATCATCTTACCTAGATCTTCTGGATGACTTGCTGCAGCTTCTACACTAGCACTTGCTGCTTCACCTTGTGCTTTTAAGTTATGGAGACAGCTTCTTTCCTTCAACTTTATGAACCATCCTCTGCTAGCTTCATACTTTTCTTCTGCCACTTCCTCACTTCTCTCAGCCTTCATAAAATTAAAGAGATCTAGGACTTTGCTCTGAATTAGACTTTGGCATAAGAAACTGTTGTAGCTGGTTTAATCTTCTTTCCAGACCATTAAAACTTTCTCCGTATCATCAGTAAGGCTGTTTTGTTTTCTTATCATTCACATATTCACTAGAGTAGCAGTTTTTTTCCATTAAAAAATGTTATGGATACATAATAGTTGTACTTATGGGATACATGTGATATTTTGCTACAAGCATACATTGTGTAGTAATCAAATCTGGGTAATTGGGACATCCATTATCTTAAACATTTGTGATGAGAACATCCCAAATCTACTTTTCTAGCTATTCTAAAATATACAATACATTTATTTCTAGTTATAGTCACTCTATTGTTCATTGGAGCACTAGGTCAATTTTTTTCTAACTGTATTTTTTAATCCATTAACCAGCCCCTCTTAAATCCCCTCTCCTTACTACCCTTCCCAATGTCTCATAACCACCATCCTATTCACTACCTCCATGAGATCAATTTTTTTTGGCTCCCACATATGAGTGGGAACATGTGACATTTGTCTCTCTCTGCCTGGCTTATTTCATTTAACATAATGTTCTCATTCTCCATTTACATCCATGTTGTTGAAATGACAAGATTTTATTCTTTTAATGGCAGAGTAATATTCCATTGTGTGTATATATCATTCATTCATTCATTGATGGGTACTTAGGTTGATTCCATTTCTTGACTATTATGAATAGTGCTGCAATAAACCTGGGAGTGCATATATCTCTTTGATATAATGATTTCTTTTCTTTTGGGTATATACTCAGTAGGGGGATTGCTGGATCATGTGATAGCTCTATTTTTAGTTTTTTTGAGGAACTTCCATACTGTTCTCCACAGCGGTTATACTAATTTACCTTTTCACTGGCAGCGTGTGTGCATTCCCCTTTCTCTGCATCCTCACCAACGTTTGTCATTTTTCTGTCTTTTTGATAATAGCCATTTCAACTGGGGTGAGATGATAGCTCATTGTGATTTCAATTCATATTTCCCTGATGGTTAGTAACATTGAACATTTTTTAATATACCTGTTGGCCATTCATAAGTCTTCTTTTGAGAAATTCTATTCAGATCTTTTGCCCATTTTTAATGAGATTATTTAATTTTTTTGCGATTGAGTTGTTTAAGTCCCTTATACATTCACACTGTTAATACCCTTCAAGAAATTTGTATTTGCAGTCACAATTTGGCTAACAGTTTGGCACAAGAAGTCTAGCTTTCAGTCTGTCTCAGTTTTTGATATGCATTTCTCACTGAGCTCAATGATTTCCAGCTTTTAATATAAATTGAGAGATGCACAACTCTTCCTTTCACTCAAACGCTTAGAGGCCATTATAGGGTTATCAACTGGCATAATTTCAGTATTGTCGTGTCTAAGGGAGTAAGGAGGCACAAGGAGAAGGAGAAGGGGAATGGCCCATTGGTGGGCCAGTCAGAACACACACAACATTTATCAATTAAGTTCACCATCTAATATGGGTGTGGTTCATGGTGCCCCCAAACAATTACAACAGCAACATCAAAGATCACTGATCACAGATCATTATAACAAAGATCACTGATTACAGATTACCATTGTTATTGTTTAATAACAATTAAAATTTTGAAATAGTGCAAGAATTACCAAAATGTGATACAGAGACACAAAATGAGTACATTTTGGAGAAATGGTGCTCATAGATGCTTGATGCAGTGTTGCTACAAACCTTTAATTTGTAAAAAATCCAATATCTATGAAGCACAATAAAGTGTAGTACAATAAAATTAATCATGCTTGTACTGGAAAAATGTATTCTTATAATGTGATGGCTACAGAATGACATACTTTAAAGTTTAATCTGCTTTAGTAACATTTTCTGTATCACTTTGTGCTGTAGACTGAATTGTTCCCCCTGAATATTTATATGTTGAAGCCCTAACCCCTGATGTAAATGCATTTGGAGATAGGGGCTATACAGAGGTAACTGAGATTAAGTTATGAGTGGGGCTGTATTACAAGACACATGAGAGCTTGCTCTCTCTCTCTCTGTGTCTCTCTCTCTCTATCATACAAGACTACCGTGAGAACGTGCCATCTGCAAGCCAGGAAGAGAGCCCTTACCAGAAACCAAACCCTCCTGGACTTTGATCTTGGGTTTTCTAGCCTCTGGAAATGTGAGAAAATAAATTTCTGTTTTTTAAGCCACCCAGTCTATGGTCCTTTCTTTATCATTACTTTATGTAAGTAGATTAATTAATACACATTCTTAAGTCTAGTTCAGGTTTTGGCAAATTATGATCCTCAGGACAAACCTGGCTCACCAAGGGTGAAATTCTGCCATACTAATTTATTTACATATATATGATATGTACATATATATGATATTTGATATATATATTTGATATATGGGATATATTTGATATATATTACATATATGTGATATTTACATATATATCTGATAACTTTTGTGAAACAATGGCAGAATTGACGAGTTGTGACAGATATTACATGGCCTTAAACACCTAAAGTATTTGCTATGTGGCCTTTTACAGAAAACATTTGCCAACCCTGGTGTAGGCAATCAAGACTTGTAAGTAGCATTTGCTGATTTCCTTGGTGTAAATATTCACTCTATGGCAGATTTCAAGCTGTCCATGTAATATCACTGAACAGAGTTGGGATGAGATGTGCAGTAGTAGTGTTTCCACCATAGTTAAAATAGATATAAATAACTTCAAAAGCACGTAATACTAATGTGTTCTAAAATAATTGGAAATTGATAACTTTAAGTATTTACCTTTGTTTTTAACATTATTAACTTGCAAGTTTGTATAATTTTTAATAATAGCTGTGTTTAACAAGTGGTTTGCAAAATTCCTACATAACTAACAATTGACTCTCATGAGCCAATGTGAGCCAGTTTCAGCTCATCACAGCTCCCTTTAAATTCCAGGTAGTATTTAAGTTTTCTTTTAGAGCTACATTGCAGTAGCCTTAAATCTTTATGTTTAGCATAGTCCATAACGTGGATTTTCTAAAACAGAAGAAAAAATATTAATTTAGAAATTTACTTTTGAGTGTTTTTTTAAAGGCACAAATTAGTTTCATATCTTTCTTCTAATTGTTTTCCAAACTTTCCTGATCATAAGTATCACTTGGAGTGCTTGTTAAAAAGATAAAGATGCCTGCCTGTGGAAAAGAAGGGATACAGGAAAAAAAAAAAATTTCTCTCACCAGGTTACCGAAGATAAAAATAATGGCAAAACTTTAAATCAATAAAAGTATGGGAAAAACTTTGAGACTATGTACTGTTAGTGGTAAATTGGAAAAACTCTTCGAAGGAGTGCTTCAAAATGTGAAATATTCATGGATTTGATTCAACAATTTCATCTCATTAATTTTTTTTTTACTTTAAAGAGATAATGACACAAACTTGAACTCGATGAAGTGATTTTTTTTTTTTTTTGAGATGGAATCTTGCTCTGTCGCCATGCTAGAGTGCAGTGGCGCCATCTCGGCTCACTGCAACCTCCACCTCCTGGGGTCAAGTGATCCTCCTGCCTCAGCCTCCCAAGTAACTGGGACTGTAGCTAATTTTTTGTATTTGTAGTAGATATGGGGTTTCACCATATTGGCCAGGATGGTCTCGATCTCTTGACCTCATGATCCACCTGCCTCGACCTGCCAAAGTGCTGGGATTACAGGCGCAAGCCACCATGCCTGGCTGAAGTGATGTTTTAATGGAAAAAAATTGGAGCAAACTTTAATGCCAGTTCATAAGGCACATGTATACCAAAGAGCCATTCTGACAGGCAACTTACATTATAACATATACCTTTATTATAATGAAATAGAGTTTGCCTGTGGTTATTAACATTTCCAGGTAAAATCCAGGGCTGGCTGCTGAACTTTTACACTGGGAAGTTTAAAGGAGCAAACTAGTTGAAAGTGAATGGTGAGGACTTCAAAGAACAATATATTTTAACCTTGATTGTTGCTTATTTAGGGTGGTTTTTGGAAGGAAATGCTTGTAGAGATCATTGGTGTTATTGATCAATTCCAAATTATCCAATACTTTCTAGGATCCAATTTTGCTAATATAAGTTTTACCATACTTTGCCTTATTTGCAGGCCTAGACCCCTCAAAAGCCTCCAAAGTCAGTTAATCATACTACACTGGCCTCTTTTAAGCTAGGAATTTTATCCTTATAAATGTTTTAAATTCTAAACTGAATATGTACTATGTGTTCTCCCAAGATTGATCATATCTTTTTTAGCCCCCTTTTGTCCTGGCCTGACACTGAAGAGACAGTGATCTCTAAGTCCCTTGAGCAGACTTTTTCTATACTTATAGTGGACCCTTTTTCTCCACCAAATCATCTTATTAAGGAGAAGATTCGACCACTGATGTATTATCTACCTCATATTTTGTCTTTAAAGACTGAGTCCAAGTAGGTTAGAGGCCTGCTTCTTAGATTGGTAGTTTGGTGCCCTCGGTGCACATGGGATAAACATGCAAAGCTTTATTCTATGAAAAATGATAGTCGAATTGGTTTATATTACAACCAATAATCATTCATTACAGAGTGTATTACATATTTCTTTTGGGTTTTATGGTAAACCAGGAGAATTCAAAGATATTTTGAAATTGTTGCTAATAGAACTTAGGGATCTTTCACAATTCCTAATCAACCCATCCCAACTGAGACTATAGTAGGTTCATGTTTTCACTCTTCTGTGCCATTAGGGAGTTCATGGAAGCTTTAGAAACGTATTGGGTTGGAGGCCTGTTTTCTGCTTTCTAGAGTGTTACACTATCCAGCTTGCTGTTGGATTCCTTTCCCTTATACTTGGCCAGCCCGCCCATGTTGATGTATAGGCACACATGGACTTACTCCCTGATACCTTCTCATAGCCACAGAGCTTCCTTAAGATTCACCTGTCAGATCTGTTCATGGTAGTGCTGATCCCCCATGTGAAGTGTGTTTTCATGCTTGCTTAGGGGCTTTGCTGAGTTTTCAAGGCAGACATTGTCTGCATGGCTGGTGTCCTCCAGCTTTGATTAAAGTAATTCATATAATTCAAATGAACTAATGTGAACATAGGTACCCAACTCACATTATCTTCCCATTCTTGTTTCATGGATGCTAAAGAGCAACTTAAAGAGATAGGGGTTGTAGCAGTTGGAGAAACCAATAGAGGAAGCTGGCAGCATTTCTTCAGATATTCCTTCTCTGGAAACTGCTAAGTTTAGAGAGGACTTGAAGGGCACTGAAGTTCTTCCATGATTACAGATACCTGCAAGAGACTTAACCTGCCCATCTGTGACACCAGCACAGGCGACAGTCATATCCTCACTCTTATCACACCAGCAACAACTTTTTATTGATTTTTTTTCATGGTTCAGAGAGTAGAGTTTAACTGTTAGACTTATCTCTGTCTTTGTGTTGCTAGGCTATTTGGATTGGAAGTCATAGGAGCAGAAACTCTTGGTAATGTTGAAAAAAAGTTCCGTTAGCTTTCAAGTATTTCACTCAGTGGGTGAATCAAAAAATTATTTTGAATCTGAAGGTTACTCATGTAATAATTAAGATGACACATTTCAAACTCACCCTTCCTGACAAGTGTTTCTTTAAAGAGACACTGATGCCTCATAGAAAACTTGCAAGACATGACACATCAGCAGAAATTGTTTCTGTACAGAATGTTTTCCAAAGATTTTTTCCTGAGTAATCACTGGCATTTCCCCCCTTTTTTCTATAGTCTTTGCAAAACCTTCTGTTACTTCATGCTTCTTATTTTTTGTGCTGTTAGTAAAGGTTTCATTTTTTAAACAACTTCTAAAACCACAGTATAGGTAAAATTGGGTTTAAAATAAGTCAAATGCTCTGATTTGAATACTGATTAGGATAACACACACTCATCAATAAACATGGAGCCACAATGACCTCAGGAGGACAAGGAGCTTGTGATGTGCATCAGTTGTGTTTGGCAAATAGCTTTTACTTATGACTCTGAAGTCTGCTTAAATCCAGGTTCCCAAATGTAAAGGACATGAAGCTTCTACCTCAACTGCCAGCACTGCATCAGGCAAAGCTTCTATTTTTGTTAGGAAGTCAAGCAGCATAATAACAACATAGTCAGTTCTCTAGATCATCTTTCTCGTCTTCCTACTCCAAATTGCTTTTTAGGGGTTTTAGGAAAGGTTTTCCATCCTGGACATGCACTTAGGGAGGTAATGAATCATTATTCCTAAGCCATATTCTTATTCTATTGCACAGATTTAAAAACAGAAGAAAAAAATCAAAATGCACTAATTTCCTGTGAGAGGAATAGGATGGTTTCATGCAGTATGACTAGATATTGATCCTGTAATAGGCTGATGAAGGGCAGCGGCTGGGAATTCAATGCAATTGATGTGATTGCTGCAGGAAGGGTCTGTTTAGGTGCCCTGGAAAGGAGTTAGGGAGCATCTGATAGCACCAAGCGTTTCAGCCTCTGTTTGGGGAGCTCATGGGCACAACTTTTGTAGTGTGTCCCACTGGGCTTCGGTGGCGAACAGAATATAAGTCAGCTGGAAGCTTTCCCTCATCCTGGAAGCCCAGCTCCAACAGCCTAAGGCTATGTGCCTTGGACTAGGATGGATGCCAGCCCCAGGAGGAAGAGGAGTGGGTGTGCAGGTCAGAGTGGGCAGCTCCATTCTGCCCCATTGGTAACTGGAGCCCCAGGGGGGACACTAAATTTGTGCAGAGGAAAACCTTATCTAGAAATTTGTGCCTGCTGGGTGCTGCTCTCCCACTCATGTACCCAAACGCGGCATTTCTCTCTCGCCCCTTTCCTCTTCTTCCTAGTTGGTGTTACCTCTCTCATGAAAGCTAAGACTCAGAGCAGAAATTTTCCTTGTTTGTTGCTGGAGAAACCTTCCACGATGTGGTAATTTCAGTACTAATTTGAAACTGAAAAAAAAAATAATATGGTGGTTGGGAGGAGGTAAGGAAGAGGGCAGAAAGAGATTAAAGATTAAAAAAGAGATTAAAAAAGAGAGAAGCCACATGAAATCAGGAGAAATTCCTGAAAGCAGCAACCCTTTGAGGAATTTACAGCTCTACTGATGCCTATTTAGCCACCCATCTGAAAGATCCTGGCAGGTTAATATGCTTTGACAACTGGTGGCTCTATCTCATTTTTTTTTCACAGCTTTATGAAATACTCTACAGACCCCAGCTTATTGATAATTGATATTAATGTTGTAACAGCTGCCCTGGCTCACCTGGTGTGTTATCAAATGCTGTGTGCTCAGCCCTGCCATGTGCCATGCCCTGGAGCTGCTTCCTATTCTGCACACAGGCCTGACTAGCAGGAGCCATCCCACACCTTTTGCAGGTGTCTAGGGCAAAGCTGTCAGCACAGGTACCCTCATGTCACTTCCAAATTGGGATCCTGGTGATTCGTTCAGATTTGACACAATTTGGTAGATTTCAAGGTGTAAAATGTCCTGAAACACAGGTGCTGGGGAAAAGATGTGCTTTGTTTTAGTCCCAGGCAGCTTTTGGCTACATTCTCATGAAGGAAATAACTCATGGGAAAGTAGTTAAATGGGTTTGCCTCATTCAGAAAGGGAGAGGTGAGAATATCTTCTTTTAGCAAGTTCAGTAGGCACAGTTGGGACGCACAAAGTAATGCTTCACACTGTAAACACAGCCCTGAGAAGTACATTGACTTACTTCTAAATTTTAAGCATTCTCCAAGACTGAGTTTATGACTGAGTTCTTATGAAACAGCAAATTATATTAGATTTACTAAAAATCACTTAACAAAGAGTAGCTGTGGGGAGGAGACAGTCCTACTAGTGAATGATCTCAATATTGATTTCTGTTTGTGTTTCCTAATGGAAAATAGCTGCAATGAAATGCAATAAACATTGATGGAGAAAGATCATTATAACTAGAGGGTGTTACGGTAATAAATTGGTGATTATCCTATGATATCAACAGCAGCTGATAGAAGGTGGGCAGGCAAAGAGCAATGGCCAGTGGATTACAACTATTAGTGATCCCAGATGGGGTACCGGCAAGTTTGGAATCATCTTAATCTTTCTTGGTGACCTTTCTTTACTATGTGGCTTTTGTTATGGAAATTTGGTGCTTTGACATAGAAGTATGAAGACATTTATATGATACACAGAAGTCTGTACTGTGGTACAGTGAATAAAAGAGAATCTAGAGGCTGAAGCATACTCTGAAGGAAGATGGCAAAATGATGATATAATGCATTTGCTACTAGGGAGAGCTATGCCTCAGGAGAAATTTCTCTCCACGAATAGGCCTCTGTTCTTTCTTGCTCATGTGCTATAGTTCACTCTCTCATGGTGGAACATGAGGCAGTTCATCTCATAGTTGATTTCCTCATCTGTAGAATGGAAATAACCACATTTGCCTAACTCTTAGGGTAATTATGCAGTTCAGGTGAGGTAATAGGAGAAAATGCCTTTGAAAAATTATAGAGCCTCCTATAAATAACAGGGACTGCCTTAGTCCTTTTGGCCACTATGACAAAAATATCTTAGACTAGGTAATTTATAAGCAATGGTAATTTATTGCTCTCAATTCTGGAGGCTCCCAAAGTCCAAGATCAAGTCTCCCAAATATTCAGTGTCTGGTGAGGGCCTGTTCCTCATAAATGGCACCTTCTCTGTGTCCCCACATGGCTAAGGGCAAGAAAGCTTTCTTGGACCTTTCTTATAAGGGCAGTAATCCCCTTCATGAGGGAGAGTCCTCTTGACTTAAGTGCCTCCCAAAGTCCCCACCTTCCTGATACCATCACCTTGGTGATTAGGTTTCAATATATGAATTTTGGAGAGACACAAATATTCAGACCACAGCAGTGACCTGAGTTTGAAGATCTGTAATGTGTACATTACCTTGAATGTGCCCATCTGAAATGGGGTGAGGCAATATGAGAATGGGTGATGGATGTTTGTTTCCATTCTCAGCCCATAGCAAAGACAAAGAGTCATGAATAACAACATGCTGGATCCATTCACTAATCAATAGGTGAATGGTTTCCTGAAGTCTGGAGGGACTGATCGTTGAAGAATGAATATAATTTTACCAGATATCTAGAGGAGGTGAGAAGGGGAAGGGCACTGGAGCACCTGTTCATATTTCTAAAAGCTTGGGGTGCTTCCTGCTATGAACAATTTCTCAAGCCTTTAGTAAAACTGACCCCTCCTACTTCTCTGTCCCATGTGTACCCTGTGTGAGATTTTTATAACAGAACTTATACCATATTTTAAAACGTACTATTTACATGTCTGAGGTGCTCTACTCAATTGAGATCCTGAAAGTTGCAGAGTGTGATTTATTTTTAAATGGCTCATTTCTAGTATAATGCCTGGCATGTGGTGAGTGTCCAATATTTATTTCTTGAATAAATTCATAAATGAGGTCAAAGGCATGGGAGCCTAGAACACAAGATGTGAAGCTAGCATATTCATGAAACTGTAGTGCAGCAAGTCTAGTTTGTAGGCTACTTGGGTTGGGGAAAACAGAGTTACGAATAGGAACTCGTGGGCAATCAGGTTAAAACGGGAAGATGGATCAGATTAAAAATTTATGTTTAAGGAGTTGAGGTTTAATTTTATGAACCTTAGAATCTATAAGAGTTATTAAGTAGGAGAGTAACAAGATCAGAAAAGTCTGACAATGAGGAAGATGGATGGAAGGGAGAAAAACTAGAGGTGAAGAAACCAGTCAGGATACTATTCCAGTGGCCCTGGGAAAGATGATGGGATGATGAGTGTTTGAATGATAGCAGTAACAGCTCTGAAGAAATAGGAAGGGAGAAGAAAGCATAGATTTGACAGCCATTTCAGGATGAAGCTGGTTAATTTCTGTAATACTTCCTCTTGATCGTCATCATACATGCCTATTGAAGCAAATTTGGTTCACACTGTGTTATGGGTTGAATTGTGTCCCCTACCCTACCCCTGCTCCCAAAGATATACTTAAGTCTTAATTCCCAGTACCTCCCAATGTGACCTTATGTGGAAACAGGGTCTTTAAGAGGTAATCAAGTTAAAATGATGTCATTAAAATGGGTCCCAATACAGTATGACTGGTGTTTATAAAAAAGGAAAATTTGAACACAGAGAAAGATATGCCCAAGGGAAGATGATGTGAAGACACATAGGGAGAAGATGGCTATTGGACTGGAGTGATGTGTCAAGGGCACATCCCTTGACAAGGGATGTCAAGGATTGCCACAAACACCAGAAGTTACAAGAGGCAAGGAAGGATTCTCCCCTAAAGCCATCGGAGAGAGCATGGCCCTGCTGAAACCTTGCTCTTGGACTTCTAGCCTCCAGGCTGTAAGACAATAAATTTTTGTTGTTTTAAGCCCCTCAGTTTTCGGTACTTTGTTACAGGAGCCCTAGGAAACTAATACATATACAATAGTATGTGAAATTAGGGAAAAAAACCTTAATACTAACTCACTGAAATAATTGCTATTAACTTTTTGCTACATTTCCTTCAAATCTTTTTCAAGCCTCTACCAGGAGTAAATGAAAGTGCTCGATTTGCCACATTCTGTCTAGCACTGATCATCATATTTTGTGTTTATTTTGCTGATTTTATAGGTAAAAGTAATTTATGCCCTTTCCAACCGGGGCCTTTTGTATAAAAAATGTCAAAGTATTACAGAGGATGAAGATCCCACTTCTCATACCAGTCATTCATAATTCCATGCTTTTGTGTCAATTAATCTCAATATTTTAACACTTTCTTTCAGTTTCATGTAAATATTTTCACAACTGAGTTTGTTATATTTAAATAAATTGAATTTTACTTTTAAAAGGAAATATTAAATTATATTTACTTTCCCATGTCATGGAGACTTCAGAAACTTGCTATTCTATCATCTATTAGAATATTCTGTTAATAGATGTACCATGACATATTAAGCAATTACTTAATGGGGAGCATTCATGTTGTTCCTATAATAAATACCCTTTTACTTTACAGAAATGATCTACATTTCTGGTTATCTACTTGGGACATTTCACAGAAGAGTGATTACCTGGTGAAAAGAAAATGAACAATGATAAGACTCTTGATACCTATTGCCACTTACTGTTTTCTGGTATTGTACCAATTTGTTCTCTCACAAGCACTATATGAGGGAATCTATCTCGTCCAATATCATTAGATGCTTTCATTAAAAAAAAAACTTGGCTAATTTGACAGGAAAAAACGACTGTATATTATTGCTCTTTTAAGTAACAATCCTTTCATTAATGGTAAGTCTGAATATTTTCCTGTATCTTATTTAGATATTTTCATTTTCACTTTTTAATTTGTTTACATTCTTTGTACTGCAATTTTAATCTTTTTCTTGTCAGTTTGTTTGACTTTATTATACATTTAAGATATCAACCCGGCCGGGTGCGGTGGCTCAAGCCTGTAATCCCAGCACTTTGGGAGGCCGAGGCGGGCGGATCACGAGGTCAGGAGATGGAGACCACGGTGAAACCCCATCTCTACTAAAAATAAAAAAATTAGCCGGGCGTGGTGGCGGGCACCTGTAGTCCCAGCTACTCAGGAGGCTGAGGCAGGAGAATGGCGTGAACCCGGAAGGTGGAGCTTGCAGTGAGCCGAGATTGTGCCACTGCACTCCAGCCTGGGCGACAGAGCGAGACTCCGTCTCAAAAAAAAAAAAAAAAAAAGATATCAACCCTTCGTAATATTGTTGCACATACACACACAATTTCCCTTTAATTCTTTCTTTTTTTTTTTACACAAAGGAGTTAATGAATTTTAGAAAAAAATTATTTTCTGTTTTTTTCCATGTATTCATGTCTCAAAGAAATGTAGTAGGGTCTCCTAGGTAACCTAAACTGGGATTCTGTTTCACTGTTTGTGGATCTTGTGAATGGTGCCATCTCATTTATGGAGCATGTGTTTATTAAAACTGATATTTATTTTAGTTTGGGGAATTGGCTAGACAAAGAATGAGAAGGTTATCTTTGCAAGCTCATTGACTAGTCTAATAGAGAGAATGGAACACCACTGGTTTCCTCCCTGATCTTGAGCCCGAGTGGTAGTTCTAGGGAGTGAAGGGTGAGAAAGAGGATGGGGTAGATTTCTGAGAGGCACTGTGAGAACGGAGTGCCTGTAATGCTGCTTCTAGTTCAGGAAACAGCATGCAGCCTGAGGGGGGAGGAGGGCCCTGTCTTCACATGCATATGAAACCTGACATTCTCTGCTGTCTCAAAGTGTATGGCTTTAGGAAACCTGTGGGAGAGGATTCTAGGCAGCATCATTCATTTTCCGTGATTGGGCACCATCCACAGTGGCAATTATGAAGCACTTAAAGGTGGCACCATGGGCAGGCCTCACGTTCATAAGGAGACACTAATGCAGGGAAGAGCAAACCTTGAAGTTGGTTTGTGAGCACATGCGAGGCTCTCCGTTAGAAAATTATGGATACTGGGAGATCTATGTTCAGAGATTGTAAAGAGAAAAGGAACTTGGGTGATTGCACCTACAGGTGGGTGAATCCCAGAACATTATTAACATTTAGAAAACCTTCCACAATTCAGATCAAGTTAATATTGAGAGATATTTTAAATGCGGATTGACAAGATTTAGTGACTGATTGGCCCCAACAGGTAAGAAAAGGCAGCTTCGCAGGACTGGCCATGCTGGAGTTTCTAGTTTGAGCAACTGGGTACATTCTTGCCTAAATCTTTTCTGTGCTTCCATGATATGTCCAGATAGAGGGTAAGAGAAAGGCCTTGGAACATAGTGAGTTGAGTTAGGAGAAAGATAGTACCAGAAGTACTTTTGGAAGTCATGGAATATGGTGAAAAGTTAAAGCCATGAAAATAAATTAGATCAATGATGGAGAATAACATCTATTCATGCATTCATCTTGTCTTTTATTCCATGATTCATTCTTTGGCTTTTGCAGAAAAAAATTTAAATCTGTGAAATGCAGAGCATTTAGAAGTCTTAGTTTCATTTCTGAGAGATGTTTCAGTGGAGTGAGCAGAGAGAAGCCAGATTGTAGTGGGCTGAGAAGCAAATGAGAAAAGAGGAACCGTGGGTACAGAATTTAGGGTTTGGAAGGAAAGGGAGGAAAGAGAGAATGTTGTAGTCAAAAATGGGAAGCAGAACCTTGAAAGTGATTTGATTTTGGATGGGAAGAAGGAAAGGAGAAGGATGTATATTTCTTAGAGTGAGCATATGTACCAGGCATTGGGCTGAATGCTTTATGTACAGCATCTCATTTAATTATCCCCTAAAATCTTGTGAGGCATGGATTATTACTCCCATTTTGTAGAAGAGAAAATTGAGGTTAGAGAGGTTGCCCATGGTCACATATCTAGAAATTAATATGATAGCTAGAAAGATCTGTTGGCTTCATACCTCTCTCAGTGGATACAGAGAAAATGAAAGTTTAAGAATAAGGTGGCTAAACATGGTCACATTTCTAGAAATTAATATCATAGCTAGAAAGATCTATTGGCTTCATACTTCTCTCAGTGGATACAGAGAAAATGAAAGTCTAAGAATAAGGTGGCTGATTGATGGAGAGAAACCCTGGAAGATGTTGAAAGGGAGGGAATCCATATATGACATTACCTTGTGAGAAAACAGCAGGAGAGAAAAAAAATAAAGATAGAGTTAAATAAGGAGGAAAGAAAGTTCAGAAGAAAGAAATCGAAGAAATTTGTAATTTGATGGCCTCTATTTTTTAGTAGGATATTATGACATCTGTTGATAGATTTTGGAAGTGATTTCAGGGGATTTGGGATAAGATTAAAAGTTTGAAACAGCTGCATGGGGCACGGGGACAGGCCACAGAGTGGGAAAAGTGATAGAACTGCAGGCTATCACCAAAGGCCCTGAAGTTGAAACATGTTTAGAATAGGTCTTATTAGCATGTGCATGTGATTATTCATCAGCTCTGTCAGATGCAAGCAAGAATAGATATTTTAGTTCCTTTAGGAAATACTCCTAATTCATTCATCAGACACTTGTTGAGTACTAGAACCTGTGTTAAATGCTAGGGATATATGCACACATGAGTCAAAGGTCTTTTGTTAGAACACTGCCTGTGAAGGAAAGTTGACTTTAAAGTTACAATATCAAGCTTTAAGGATTGTGTTAAACAACATTGCAGTGGAAGAAGCTGTCTGGGAAGTAGGGAAAGTCCTCAGAGAGGCAATTATTTAAGGTGGGCCTTGAAAGCATTCTAAGAATCTCTTATTTCTAGGCCTACTTGACTTAATTATTATCTTGGATGACTTTCTCCTTTGTCCTGCAACAATCAAAGAGTTCCAAGTGAACTATTGGTTTCTGGCCGTTCCTTAACCAGCCCAAACATGCAAGGCTCTTCCTAAGTACACTTGGCCTTAAAAAGGTGAAGACTCTCCCTTCATTGACTCCTAGCTTAGAGACCTGCATTTAGTGTTCACTAGAAAGTATGAAATAGACCAGGTAAGACCTAACTTATGATGTGGAGGGCTAAAATTAAATAAAGCACTCACTGTGTTTAGGAAAGAGGGAGAATTCACTGAATACCCCAGGGTAACCCAGGAAACTGGAACACATTTCCCTCCACTCTCCTCTGGGTATTTTGCTCCTTAACAGGAGTCCTCTGCTGCCTAAAGTAAATGCTATGTGATGGCTTTTTGAGAGTAAGCTGGAGCGGGAAATGTGATTTTGCCTGAATGCTGGATAGCTAACGTCCTTCAGTGATTTTTATAGCCTTCAGTCAGTACGTTCCAGGCAGAGGCTGTAGAACTGTGGACAAACATTCCTCTCTAGGTCAGACAGGCAGAAAACATTCATTCTATCTCATAATAACAAAACATCCTTAAAAGGTGGCCTTGGAATGATGGAGGGAGGCGTTGAATTGAATAGCTATTTCTTGCTTCCCTTAAATACAGTGCTAATATTCTTCTCAAAACTTTCTATATAAAGGCTATGGTATATTTTTCTTCCCTCTTTTCTCTGAGAATGAATATTTTCTAGAATATGCCTTAATGGTGAAACAGACTTCAAGCTTCTCATTTGCATTGTTGTGCTATGTTCTTTCATAGTTTCATGAACAATAACCTCCCACTTCTCCACAGGCTGATGGGATAATTTGCTCTGCTAAGAAGATGAAAATCAAAATGTAGAGATTTTTTTTTTAAAGAGTGTTGTTCAATGGAAAAGTTTCCAGCAGTGCAGGCAGTGAAGTTTTAGGTGTTTTAGATTATAGACTGGGATAAAAGATCTTCCAGTAAGGAAGACTATGTACATTGCATGTGATGGATTGTTTTAGACTTAAAATCTTTTAACAATACAGCTGTTTCTCCTGTGGTTTCCTGGCAGTGATACTGAGAGGAAACAATATGTCTCCCAGGCTTGGTTTCAACTTTGCCTGCTATTGGAATAATGACGGCAAGGGAAGATTCCCTCTATTCTTCACTTATGATCTGGTGTTTCCTAAATTTCCTTTATGATTTACAGTCATGATGAAAAGGGAAAGTTAGACCATGGAAGACTGCCCTTGGGAGAAGAATTTAGCTCTGAGGGTCTTGTGCTTGAGTTTCAGGATTCTGACCAACTGCCTCTTCTTCGGTGCTCCCTCTTGGTGTCAGGGTTGAGAGCTGCAACATGCAATTCTATCTGCTCACACTGTCCTCTGAAAGTTACATCACAAGGCCAGTGGGAGCATAGAGAAAAATCTGTGGAATTTTGTGATGTCCTGCTTAGAAGTATTGTCTGTGTTCATAATACTGGGTAGGTAAAAGGCTGTTCTGTTCAGCTTTTGCCTCTGAGACTAGTGCAAAACAGACAAAGGGAGACCCTTGACTTGCTCCCGTCCTTAGTGACTGGTGGTAAGAAGACACTTGCCTTCATTTCTCTAACACAGTCATTGTTAACTTTTTTCAGGGGAAGAAATTATGATTCCCCAGGGGACATTTTTATTAGTGCTCACAGGAGAGTCTAGGCAACCCTAGGAAAGCATAATGCCAAGAACCAGTAATAAGGGATTATGCTTCAGATTAACTTTGGGTGTTCAAGGTTTGTTTTGCTTGAGTGACTGACTCATGTGGTACTCTAATGGGAGCATTCTGTAATCATTACTGTTGTGCTTTCTGTAGGAAATGCCATAATCTTAACAGATGCAATTCATATTTATGGAAATGTCTAATGCTTTCTTTGAGTTTCACTAAGCCCCACACTCTGTAACAGTGAAGTCAGCAGGTGAGCACAGGGCATAGCTGGCTTCTCATGCTGCAATTCTTCATTTCCAGTCCTCCCACCCCTGACTCCCTGGCAGAAATGCTGCAGTCAATTTGACACCTCAAAACACCCACTTAGAACACCAGAGGAGTAGAAGAGATGTAGATGAGGCTGATGTGACAATACACATATGTCCTTCTGGAAAAAAAAGCTTCTTTAATACTTAATAACTGATTTTCTCCAGAATTCAACAAGGCTTCTGAGTGAATTAAATCTGTTGCCCAGAGATTTCAGTTAGAGTAGGCAAGGCTGTAGTAACAAATAGATTTCTGTTCTCTATTTCTCTTTCTTTGTGAAAGTTTTGAGGCTCTTATTGTTAGGTACATTAAAATTTTGTCTCTTTGATCAATTGAAATTTTTAGGTGAAATGACCCACTTTATCTCAAGAAGAGCTTTGTGTCTTAGAATCTATTTTCTATTTGTATTTGTAGTTTATATAGCCAAACCATCTTTCTTTTGATTAGTTCTTATTAGATGCATCTTTCTCTTATCTTTTGTGATGTTTTCCTTTGTCGTTTAACATTCAAACTTTCTTCATTTGTGTTTTAGCTGTGTCTTTCATTCAGTTTAAGATCTTCCTGATTCTTGGTAAGGTGAGTGATCTTTGACTGAAACCTGTACATTTTGGGTATTATGAGATTCTGGGTATTATTTAAAACTTCTGTTTTAACAGGTCTTTTCTGGCAGTGTTCTGACAACAGAAGTGGGGGTGAGGTTGAGACAGCCTTGTTACTGCAGAGTGGGGAGTGAGAGTGGAATTTCAGGTTCCCCATTTGGCTTTTGTTTAACACTCAAGGATGGGTGTTCCTTGTTATTGCTGGGCAAGAGTGAGGGTTCTGGCTCCCTGTTACCCTACACTGGTACCTCCATGGCTGGGGGGTATAGGAGTGCCTCTTTACTACTCCCCACATCTAGGGAAATGGGTGATGGTGAAAATCTTGACTGTCTGCTAAGACTCACTTACACCATCCCAGTGGGGGTGGGAAAGGGTGCTTTGGTACTGTAGGTTGGGGATGGAATTCCAGGCTCCCCGTGTGGTTTCTGATGACACCACAGAGTGGGTGATTCCCTGTTTGTTGTTATCTGACACCACTCTTGCAGAGTGGGAGGCTGGAGTGCCATATTACCTTTATTATAGCCCAATAAGGGTGGAATTCTAGGCTCCCCACAAGTCCTTTGCTGGCATGGGTAGGGCCACAGTGTTTTCTGTAGTGTTTGTCTGGACTTGAACAGTTACTCTCTAAAAGTTTTCGCCCTGCTAGGCTGCTCCTTTCTTTGTCCTTTGGCTAGAGCAAGCGGTATTTTTGTTGTTGTTATTTGCACTTTTAGTGTTTTCCAATTGCTAGCTTCTTTGGCAAGAAATCTGAGATATATGAAAGAAAAAGAAAACCTAGGGAGCTCTCTATTGTGTTGTCCTGGGGTCTTGAGGTCCCTAGTTGTTCTGCCTTTTTCTTTCCACTGTATAGGATCATCTTATGCTTGTTTTATATTTAATGCCCAAACTTTTTAGTTGCACTTAGTAGGACAAGGAAGGGAAAGTAAGTCTACTCCATCTTCCTGGAAGAGAAAGTCTCCAACCTGCCTTTTATAAACGCATTTAGCTTTTGTTTTTTCAAAATCCATTTTGAAGATGTGTGTTGTAAATGAAGCATTTAGTCCTTTTACATTTAATGTAATTACTGATGCAACTGTATATACTGTACTGTCTTATTTTGGGCTTTCTGTTTGTTGCCTCTCTTATGTGTTTCTCTTCCTCTTTGTATTTCCTAAGATTAATTTTTCTCCTTTGTTTTTTCATCTACCTGTTTAGAAATTATATACTTCACTTCTATTATTTTTTGTAATGACAATATACATGCTTAACTTAACAAAAAAAGACCTTAGATGTGTTAATCCTATTCACCCTTCTCTTTGTTAATTTTTTTTTGGTGATTGTCTATTTTAATTGTCTTATTTACCGTATAACACATTGTTATTGTAGTTTCAAATAATTAATGTTTATTTGACTGTGTTCATCAGTTTCTGTGTACCTCATTTCTTCTTAGTGATCAGGCCATCCCTCTAGGATCACTTGCCTTCTTCCTGAAATGCATCCATCTATGTCTCACTCTGGACTCCAAGTAGACATAAGTAATACTTTCTCATTTTAATTGTTTATGTCTCTTAAGTTTTGTTTTCTACCACTTTATCTTTCTGTGCTACCTTTAGCCTGGGTAAATTCTTCACATCTGTCTGCCAGTTACAAGTTGTCTCTTTATCATTTATTTGCTGTTAAACCTATCCACTGTGTTTTGAAATTTCACTCATTTTATTTGGTTTCTAGAAATTATATTTGGTTGGTTTTACATATGATTTTCCTATCATGCATATATTTGTTCTGGCTTAAAAAATTTTAAAACATATTAAACATCATCATTTCATGGTCTGTGTCTGTTGTCTGAATGAAGTCCTTTTGGATTTCATGTTCTTTCTGCCGGCTCTCAAGCATGGTGCCTCTTTTCCTTTTGTTTTTAGTTAATATTTGTGAGCTGATGATTTCTGTGAAATAAGGGCAATTTCTTTTGAGAAGATTTTTATTTGCTTTTGTCTGACAGCTAGGGGCAATTCCATTCCAGGTTAACTAATTTTAATTATTAATTTGAAGCTTTTCCAAACACTGAGGCAGTGTGCGTTTGTTCTGTGGACATTTGCGAGGGTTTGGCTTGAGGTTCTAAATTCTCCATGAAGATTTTTCCCCCTCTATTTTGAGATAGGCAAATTTTCTTGAAGGCCTCTGGGGTTGAGGGGCAGAGCATTCTTTTTGGTTGCCTATTACACTTAAGTTTTGCCTCTCTGGGGTTACAGCTCCTAAAATCTCACAAGTCTAAAATTGAAGCTTAAATATACTTAGGCAGATGACCTCAGCATAAAATAAGGCTTCAGTATTCTGCTTACTTCTTTGAGTTCT